>NC_000011.10:132912304-133221493 GCF_000001405.40 Homo sapiens
ATAGGTGACCAAGATAGTTTTGAATGATTTTGAAACTGTTATATTAGGACCAATATACAACTCAATATATGAGTCACCAGGATACAATAAACCCCTTTCCACCTCTTGGTTATGAGGTCGGGAAGCACAATTAATAATTAACTTCATCATCAACACTAACATCAATGTCATTATTATAAAAAAGCATATTTTTTATGAAGCACTTCATGCAACTAGTTAAATAAACATTTGGAAACCTGCAATCTATATACTTACAAATGAAATGAAAGGAAAACTCTAAAATGGATTAGAAAAATATCACCAAGACAACCCCTATGACAGCTTTCAACACAATCCTATTTTACTATGCAGACCAACAATTCTCAAATTTATCATCTCTTGTATCAACTATTTGGAATACCATCCTAACTGGGGTTGCTTTTTGTTTTTGTCTTTGACTCTCATCTCAGCCCACATCGCTCCATATTCCATGTGCTGCTGCTGGAATGACTGGTTAATACATCTTGACTTTGCTCAGAACTTTCAGTGGCTTCCCGTAGGATAAAATCCATGCCAGATCTTCCATGGGGACTTTGAAAACAACTTAGCAAATTAACAGGCAACTTTTCACCATATATCAAATATATGTCAGGGACTATTTGATGCTTTCGTATTTATAATCTTAATTTACCATTAGAATAATCCTTGAGGAGAGGCATTAGTAGAGTTGGAGTTGCCTGGAGAGACAACCTGGAGAATGTTATACACAACCTGGCAAATATTCTACATATTACCACAATCTCCTATTTTTTCTGTCCTTTCTTTTATTATTTAAAAGTAAGACATAAACAAATCACAGATTGTCATAACTGCATTGATTGAAATTGATACATGGCAACATTATGAGATTTTATGCATTTGTGCTGGCAAAGTAACTTAAAATCAATGATTTGGAGAGAAATTATTCAGGAAATCTTAATGACTTATTATGGTAAAAACACTTCTAAGAGCGGATCCATTAATGGAGGACTATTACTGGAAAGTTAAATTTAATATTCAGGAAATCAATTAACTAGTATTTAATTACTTAAAATTATGATCCATTAGTAAACATTGGTAAAATTTGCTTACAAATATCACTTCTGATTATGAGTCATCGGGAAACAAAATGACTAATATTCTACCATCGAAAGCAATTTGATTCACTTCACATTCCCCCTTTCTGTCTTTCTGTGAATGACTATTGTGTAAAGCCAGAGACCATTAGAGCAGAAAGATGCACTGAGGCCATCTGACCCCTCCTCATTTCACAAGGCCGACTCTCAGTCCAGTATAGTGCCGTGGGCCTCCAAAGGTTGCACAGCTCAACCCGCACTGCCTTGGGACTAGAATCGAAAGCTCTCAGCTTCTAGGGCAGCCCCCTTTCTGACCATGGCTCCTTCTGAAATGACCCACAACTCCAAGAGGGAACCATAGGGCACATACCCTCATTCTTTTTCTCTTTTTGGAGCTAGTAAAAATCCATATCTGCTTTAGAAAGTCATGGGGCCAAAGTCCTTTCTCTCAGCTCCACAAGAGAAGGTGGGCTACATAGCACTCTCGACGGACTCCTCCCCTCTCTGCCTCTGCTGCAGCTCACTAGGCATCCTTTCGACTCATTTTCCGGTGTTTTCTGTGTTGCTATTGGCATAACATCCTATCAGTGCAGTTAATTACATCCACTTGGAGTGTGAAGGACAACTTGATTGTCTCAAAAAGCCAGAGGCCATATAATCCATCTCACTGCTCTCACAAAACAAGTTCCCAATTGTCTCTGCTGCGAGGAGGTAAGAGGGACACCCCTGGCAATGTGCTGACACACATTCCCTGCCGCAAATGGAGAAGTCACAAAAGAAGTGTCTGTTCCTCTCCCTCTATGGGCAAAGAGAACTGCCTTGTGGCCCTCTGCTCCAGATCCACGACTGAGACTCTTCGATATCTCCACAATGCTTAGTGTCTTCCCAGTACAAGTCAATATCGCTTGATCCATTCTGAACTTGGTAACATTTATATGCAACTGAGTTTGCACATCTAATTACACGACCTGGTAATATGGTTCGTCTCTTGTGACCATACATTTTCTGTTCCAATATAATATTTATGGACTCGTTTAGATTTACTACATGTTACCCAATGTCTTGCTTCTGTATACGGAAAAATAACCAGAAATTAAAATTTGTTGTAGTTATGGCCATGATGTCTTTATCCCTTTGTCCTTAATCCTTGAAATGGAAAGCAGACTAAGAAACCAGAGTCCCAGCAGAGAGTGAACGGCTGTGCTGGAAGGCGGGCTCTTTACCTGACCTCAGTCACACTGCCCCTCAACAGGGCACCTTGCAAGACCAGGATGTCGAACTGCCTGTGGTTTGGCTGATTCCTGTACCAACCCATAGCAGCCACTGAGTCATGAACAAAGTTGGGAGACGGGATGGGGATCCTCCAGGCAGTGTGAAACCAGAGCCCCAAGGAGCTGGCTAAGAAAGTGTTGCAGCAGAATTCCATACGCCATTACACAACACAAGGTCTTTTGTGTGACTCTCAAGAAGCTCTGTGTGGTCTTTGTGTGAGAGCTCCTGATGCTGCTCCCTGCAGCTGATTTGCTTTATGAGACAAATGCTATAAGTTATATAACCAATCACATTGCCCTCCAGGTCTGACAACCTTGCGGCCTGTGCAAGAGCTTTGTTCTTCTCTTTATGTTATTACCCTTATTTTCCTTTTCTTTCTAACAAAAAGTTTAAAATTACATTAACTCAACATCTATGACCTTCTAGTAATAGAGAAGTATACAGAACATGTGTATCCCATCTTTACCTTGCTGCCTCATTCTCATTCACCTCTTCAGGGGCCCTGTTTCTTGCTTGTGTGTAAACCACCAGACCCTATCTCCCCATTTTCAACATTATATATGTGAACGTGTATACACATCTATCTGGGTTATAAACATGTCATATGTACTGTGGCACAATCTGCTTTTTACCTCCCGGTGAGGCATGCACATTTCTGGCATCCACATGTGCTATGATACCTCATTCTCACACCAGCTGCAAGGCATGACATGGGAAGGCTGGCAAGACCTCAGCCTGTGCAACCATTTAGGCAGTTTCCACAGCCTTGCCCAGCCACCACTCCTTCTGGGATTGGACCATCAGAAGTACATCCCAAGAGTTTTTCTAAATTCCCCCTGCAGAGCCTGGGACCAAAAGTCAATCAGCATTCAAATCTCTAATTTGTATAGATATGGACAATCACCGTCTCCAAAAGACTCACACATTGATAATCTCACCAGCAGTGTGTAAGTGTCACCTTTCCCTACAGTCCTCAGTGACACAAACTGTTTTTATTCATTTTTGAGAGGTAATTTGTATTTAGTGCTTTAATTTGTATTTCCCTGATAACTCATAAGGTTCAGCATTTTCCCACATATTTATTCACTATTTTATTTCAAGTAATTGCTCATTCATATTTTTTGTCTACTTTCTATTGAGTAATTTATCTTTTTTTGGTGGTGATATGTGACTGTTCTTTATATAATCTAGATATTAATGCTATAAATATTGCTAATCATGTTTTCCCAGTCTACTGCTTATCTTTTCTACAGAGATCTTTCATATTTAATTAGGCCAATCTATCAATATATCAGTCTTTTCCTTTATTGCTTTTGGGTTTTTCCTCTTAATTACAAAACATTTCACAACTTCCATAATTTTGTAAGTGTGCATGTATGGGTAAAATTCTTTATTTTTCTGATGCTGTCAGAAGTTTCATATTTATATTAATATTCAGATCTCGGATCCATCTGCTATTACTTTTTGATTGTAGTATAAAGTGTAGTTTTACCCATTTCTAATTGATGGTAACATATATATGCATCCTTATAAGCCTCTTTATACTCCTTGGAAATAGGACACTAATTCAAATCAGCTTTACAGTCTCATCACACTAAGAGAGACTCCCTCTTGTCAGGCATTTGTGCTGACTCTCCCCACCCATGAGGGCCCCTTTTCTCCATGACTCTGGGGTTCCATGGCCTAGTCAAGCTGTATCAATGTGAAACATGAAAAACGGAGTCAGTGGCAAGCCTTCTACTGTGGATGCGCTGGCACTCTAGACAGGCATGGACGTCACTGAATTCCCATTAGAGTTGTCAAGGTGGAGACAGGTAAGTAAAATTCACAGTTCCTAAGCTTGAACACACAATCTGAATATCCCAGACAGTAAACCTGGAAAGAAAGCAGAATAAAAGAAGATGCACCATGAGGATATGAAAACTTGCACAGAGTAGTAGTACACGTAGAGCTTTGGCGGCTGAAGGAAGGTGGTAGAATAAAGAGGTAGAAGTCACCGGAAGAGAAGAGGAAATAGGCTATGTGAGTGTTTAAGTAAAGAGAATGTCATAGAAGACCATCTAAGACTTTGTAGGGGTGTTCGAGTGAGCAAAGTAGAAAGGGAAGAGTTGAGGCTACCCTCACCCTGCCTCCTCCCTTCACAGAGGGGCTGAGGATCTTACTGCAGTCGGCAGCAGCATGGGGTGCTTACCAAGACAGACGACACATTAGACCTTTCTACTAAGTAGGAAATTAAACTTTCACTAAGGCAGCATGAGTCTTCCCCTTCCTATTTTATTGTAAGATATGAAAGGAGCTTCCCATGAGGTCCCAGAGTTTGTTTTGCAGACACTGGTCCCTGGAGATGAGTCCCCCAGAGCCTAGAGAATGCACCCCTTCCAGTGACCAAGCCCAAGCTACCATAACTAATCCATCATCTGTGGCTAGCAAGGCTGGCTCCTGAGTGTCAATGTGGAGTTAATTAGACAAATACCGTACGCTCTAGTCCAATTGATTATTAAGACACCGTAACGAGGATTTAACATCACGGCTTGTATTGGAAACACTGTATTATAACTTGCCTGCTCACCCTAGAAACTCTGTGGAGTCATCAAGGGACAATTAGCATTCAATAGTAGCTATGGCCTTTTTTTATCACTGCTGATTTAATAAGACAGTTATTGTTCTCTATGTTAATTAATATCTATTGATTAAAGTTGAAAGCTGGGCATCAGGAATATATGCTCTGGTTCACTCTGGAGTAGTTAGCATGTTTTTCTGCTCAGCCTGACTTGCTACTTCCTCTCTATGCTCTGAAAGGGATTCTTTCAGGCCCTGAAGAGATCCCAGACAGATCCAACATTGGCCTAGCAATTAATGGAGCTGGGAGACAGATGCTTCTTCCTGGGAATTGGGGAAAGAAGAAAATTAACAGTGTTCTGAGGTACCTCGTTCCCTCCAAAGAAATTCTAAGTCTAGAAGCTGTAGGTTTTCTTGTTGCCATGGTACCTGGAACTAGATTGGCCAAGGTCACCCTTCCCTGGTGTCTACATGAAGGGCTCACTACTGTACCTGGGGAACGCTCTGATTTCCTTAACATGAAGTAGCACAATGGCTTGCTTATCCATCTCTGCCTCTTTGGGCTGGGTTTTCTGCTGTGGTGGTGATTAATGTAATTGGAGGGCCTACTTGGATCATTTCAAACTCCTGTACTTCTGCCCTGAAATGAAAGAAATGAGACTAGATCCACTGGGTCTTTATACAGAAAACAAGCTTTTAATCTATGGTGCTCCATGATTTCTGGAAGAAACTCATCCACTTCTACCTCCATGCTTGTGTGGAGTGGCCACTTTTAAAAAATTGTTTTAATATGTTTTCCTATTTTATGATTAGAGTTAGTTCTATGTCACTGGTGTTGGAAATTACCTCACAATAAGGTAAAAGCACAATGTAATCTTTAATTTACTAATTTAATTAAATGAATAAAATATGATTTTTACCTTTATAATGCGATTTTTAACATTCACGTTTTAAACTGTTTTTGTATCCCTTTTTTCTAGTACTATGTTTATTGAGGAATAACATTCATAAAGTGAAGTGCATATAAAGGGCACTGATCTTAAGACTGCAGCTCAGTGATTTTTCTACACATCTACTCTTGGTTGACCACACCCAGATCAAAATACAGAACATTCCCATCCTGCTGCAAGTTCTTCTCACGTCCATTTGTAGGTATTGACTCTCAAGCTTCCCTGTACCTCCTGCAGCACCTGTACTGACTTCCATCATCATTAATTTGTTCTGTCCTGTTCTTGAGCTCCATAAAATTGGAATCATACAGCGTGTGCACTTTACTGTCTGGGAAACATTCCTTTTTAAAAGTAAAAATGAGTGTATCAAAAGCAGGGGTCTTTGATTTTTTTAAGTCAGTTTATCACACTTTATGATATCTCCAATAATTTTTTCTAGTAGGTTTAACTGAAATTTTTCATCTTTCTTAAACTCTTAAGAACCTTGACATTCTAAGTTATGATTCCCCAATCACCACCAATCTTACCAGAGGACATTTAAGTTACAAAGGCTATAGAGGTGTCTATTTCACATTCTTTTTCTCAACTTACACGTGCCAACATAAAGCACCAGGGTTGAAAAAAAACATTGTCACTTTTGTCACTATAGCCACCTTATGAAATAGGAAAGCTGGGATTAGGAAACAATACAATGACATCTTGGACTGACTGTTGTCTTATCTTTGGACACTTGTGTATGACTCAATTAATTATGCTTGGAAAAATTCAGGCCGAATTAAGCCTAGGAGCTAACTGTGGATAATGGTAAAACATAATAGACAGAACTAGGAAACATGAGATGTGGCAAGATTCAGTACATTCACTGGCAACTGAGAAGACCATCAAACCCAGAAATAGGCAACATTTGAGAGTATAAGTAGATAGATAATGAGTTGGGCCTATAGCCTTAAGCCTGGATTTAATCACAAGGTTTTGGTCCTTGAAAAGAGACTAGCAAGAGAAAGCCAGGGCCTCAGTTTCAGGGAAATTAATTTACTAGGCAGGCTACCAGGACGCAGACCAACAAGGTAAAGGCATGTTCTAAGACAGTGGTTCTCAGAGAGGGGTCCTTGGACAAGCAGCATCAGCATCACTGGGAAACATGTGAGAAATTCACATGTGCAGACATCCACCCAGACCTACTGAGTTGGAAGCTCTGGGTTGAGGCCCGGCAGGGTCCAGATGACCCTGACCCAGGCTGAAGTCTGGGAACTACTGGTCTAAGCTGTTAGAATGAAGAGTGCTAAGTGGAATTAGGTGGAATCTGTTCTCAGGAGTTAGGGTCCAATGTTAGAGCTGAGCTAGAATCACAGAAAGCAGTGTTGGGTGCCAGGGCGATTGGCTGCAGCTCCCAAAGCCTCTCTGGTGTCAGGGCTGATCCTGGGGATGAAGAAACTCTGGAACAGAACCATCGGAATCAGGTAGAGCCTGATGACACACGTGCCCCTTTCCAGTGGATCTCAGCAAGTACCGTGATGTGTTGAATTGCTCGCTTCTGTCTCCTCACCTCGGAATTACAAGCTTTTTAAAGATAGAGGCCATGCTGTTCATCTCCACCCACAGTGCCTAAAAAATGCCTGAACCAGGACAGGAGCTCAAAGAACATTTGTAGAAAGAATGACACAGGAAGTGAGTGAATGAAAGAATGGATAAATAAAAGACAAGTTAAAAGCAGAGAATGCGTATTGTGCGAGTCCACATACATGAAATGTCTAGCATAAGCAAATTCATTGAGACAGAAAGTATTTGAAGCTTGCCAGGGGCTAGATGGAAGGGGGAAATGGGGAGTAGCCGCTAATGGGTTTGGGCTTTCTATTAGTGGGGATGAAAATATACTGGAATTAGATAGTGGTGATGATTGCACAACCTTACGAATATAGTAAAACCCACTGAATTGTACATTTTTAAAGAGTGGATTTTATGATATGTGAATTATATCTCAATAAAAATAATTACATTTCTTAAAAAGCAGAATGTGTGAATATCAAGCAAGGCATTTTGGAAGAAACATTTCATAGGCCAAAAGCTATGCTGCAAAGACCTGGGAGTCTAACGCAGTGACACTTCACAGGACAAAACTACAAAGACAAAAGGAGACTCATGCAAATGGACTGCATCCCACCTCCTGGTGCAGCTTCCTTCCTCAGGCTCCTCATCTGTGAAGTGGAGAGAACGTTGGCTCTAAACACTAAAACTAAAAGTTACTGTGGTTTGCGGGAGAGGGCAAAAGAGCATGTGAAAAGCTACATCAGTTAAAAGGACACTGGGTGCTCTGGGTGCTGTCTTGGATCGCAGCCCCCCTGGAGAAGGACAGGGTCTCTCTGGGCCCAGCCCACTGCCTCCGAAGCCAGGGTGCACACATGGCCCCAGGACAGCCGCGGCCCCTGGGAGAGAGCTGCAGCCAGCTCTCCAGGCGCTTTACGAGCCCTTCTTGTTATTACCTCCTATTTCTTTTTATGCTACTGCCAAAATACCACCATTAATCTTTCGCACTCCCTGAAGGCAAAACACGGGTAATTGGATTTATCTGGTTTTAGAATTTGTTAGGTTCTGTTGCAAAATAAATAAATAACTGACCTCGAAAGAGAGGGTCGTCTTCTGGGCCCGTGCTGTCATGTCACGGCCTGGCCGGCGGGAGCCCACCTGGCGTCTCCTGAGCTCATTAATCTCGGCTATCTCCTCCCCACACCTTGTCCCTCCTGTCTTCCAGCCAGTCCCTTCCTGCACTCGGCTTGATTTAAGAAGTTTTCCTTGCCTGACCCCCTCAGCTCCAGTGCTTCCCGCTGCGTCTGATTCTCCCTGCAGTCTTCTACTCCCCGCCACATGCTGGCCTTGCTTCATCACTTTTTTCTTTTTCCATCTCCTTCTACCATGGCTGTTTTCTTTCCTGATAGTACTGTGTGAGGTTGTTTAAAACTTCCTTTCGACAGCCTGGAACCCTCGTGTTTGTCACCTTGTTTCCCTCAGCTTTTTTGTTTTTCTTAAGACACAGATTGCTGCAGACATCATGGGTGATCATGGAAGACAAGTTCGCCTCCCTGTTTGGCTTTTGATCACGGTAAGGCCACGACGCAGTGAATGCAATGGACGTGCGTTCTTTGGTTGTCCCTTTATTGCACGTGTGTTAAATCCAGTAGAAACACCCACAGTGGGCCCTTCCAGGCCATGCTCATCCTTCTCTAAGAATTCTGACCACCTCCACCTCCATGGCCCCCAGCCATAGCACAATGTGTGGGGACTACATTTGTGGCATGGGGCTTGTGGACATTACTATTTGCCAGCCCAACTGCAATTTCTCACTAATAACTTGCTGACAGATCCTTCATCCAAGTATGGGTAGGAGGGAGGGAATGCCAGAAACCCTCTTTCCAGGACCCTAGCTCCTCCAGCTAGAGCCTGGACATAAATGGGATCCTAGCCAATGATCCCACAGGGAACCCTGCTCAGAGAGAAATTCTGGAGAAATTTTTTTATAAGACACCCACAAACCCTTAATGACTACATTTGGACTTTGTTGTATGAGAAGGTGATGTCTGGGGCTGCTGCAGTCATCTTGTAGCCATAAAAGGTGCTGATGTCAGCACTTTAGCTGATGGAAACCATTCCTGGAACTGCCTCGCTCTAGCACCTTATTGAGGCCCTCCATTGAGTGAGACTATAAATTTTACCTTTTTTTTTTGAGACAGAGTCTCGCTCTATCACCCAGGCTGGAGTGCAGTGGCATGATCTCGGCTCACTGCAACCTTCGCCTCGCAGGTTCAAGCGATTCTCCTGCCTCAGCCTCCTGAGTAGCTGGGATTACAGGCACCTGCCACTGCGCCCGGCTAATTTTTGTATTTTTAGTAGAGACGGGGTTTCACCATGTTGGCCAGGCTGGTCTCGAACTCCTGACCTCGTGATCCACCCGCCTCGGCCTCCCAAAGTGCTGGAATTATAGATGTGAGCCACTACCCCCGGCCAATTTTACCATTTTTTACATATCTTTAATGTTACATTTTATTATTTGGTGTTAAGAGCATCCTATCTGAGGCATGACTTTTGCCCCTAAGCATGGCTTGATTGGATCAGGAGTAGACCCTCGACCCAAGCTGAGACAATCTGATTTTATCTCCCAGAAATTTGGAAATGAGACAGAGAAATACTGGACAATCTGTGGAGACTCGCTTGAACGAGAACTATGAAGCCAAAAGAGGTCGGATGGGCACCTTCCACCCTGTGCAAACAGAGAAAGCCACAGGAGCAAAAGCAGCACGTGTGCGGGAAGACGGAGCACCGAGACCAGGAGACCCCGAGGAAAGAGGAGGGCGGCAGAGTGGCTGCCTCTGTTCTGAGAAGGGTCTGACTCCTGCTTCCCTTCCTTTCAGAAGCCAAAATTCTTCACTCTCCTGCATTCCATGGTCCTTATAACACAGCCTACCTCTTTATTTAAACAGCTTGAGTGGAGTTTTTGGTACATTTTAACAAAAAGAGTAAAGCAAAAAATTGTTGTACTCACAACTTGAGATACAGAGGTGAACTAAATATTTTCCCTCCCAGGAACGAAGTCCTGTGAAGGGAAGACACAGCGGGAGAGGCTGCACACAGTGGCTCACGTCTGTAATCCCAGCACTTCGGGAGGCTGAGGTGGAAGGATCTCTTGAGCTCAGTTTGAGACCAGTCTAGCAACGCAGGGAGACCACATCTCTACACGTTTTTGTTTTTTGTTTTTTTTTAAATTAGCCAGGTGTGGTGGTGCATGCCAGCTCCTCCAAAGGCTGAGGTGGGAGGGTCGCTTGAGCCTGGGAAGTCAAGGCTGTATTGGGCCACGATTGCACCACTGCACTCCAGCCTGGGTGACAGAGTGAGACTCCGTCTCAGAAAAAAATAAATAAATAAATAATAATAATAATAATAATATGGCCGGATAACCTGCAAGATTATGTTACAGTTAACAGTATATACATTCCGGGGGTATGAGAAGAGAACTAGTTCATTCCCCCTGCATGCTCTGGTAAACAGAAAACACTAAAAAGGTCAGACACATTTTTTTCCAAAAAATAGTGCACCAAACTAGTTTTCCTTGTATGAGAACCAGACTCATGGATTTGTACCTAAGCATTCCTGATTCTGTATATCTGAGACTGGGTACGGGAATCTGTATTCTAAAAAATCTTCCTGGATTACTATGACGCCCAGCCGGGCTTGGAAGGCCTATAAACCATTGAGACAAAGGTGACAGGAAAATCAGAAAATATTAACAAATTGGAAGTAGCATTTGAGAGAGATCTGAAAGATGAGTAAGACCTGTCATATATAGAAAGAGGTTGGGAAATAACTTTTCAGGAAGAAAGAGCAAATTGCAAATTACCACACAAATAAAAGTTGCTTATGTTCACTATTATTTCCATTTTTGTTATGGTCACAAATATATACATGTCTGATTGCACCTACTTACACAGCTGGGAAGAAGATAGGGCTAACAATAGATTCAATCTACCTGCCTCTGTCAAACAGACATTATTAACATGCCCTGCGAAGTATCACAGAAGTTACTTGAATTTTTTTTTTTTTTTTTTTTTTTTTGAGACAGAGTCTCACTCTTGTTGCCCAGGCTGGAGTGCAATGGAGCAATATCGGCTCACCGCAACCCCCGCCTCCCAGGTTCAAGCAATTCTCCTTCCTCAGCCTCCCGACTAGCTAGGAGTACAGGCTTGTGTCACTACGCCCAGCTAATTTTGTATCTTTAGGAGAGATGGAGTTTCTCCATGTTGGTCAGGCTGGTCTCAAACTCCTGACCTCAGGTGATCCGCCCGCCTCGGCCTCCCAAAGTGCTGAGATTACAGGTGTGAGCCACTGCGCCCAGCCCCTAATTAAATCGAAATCTTGTTCCTGCCCTCAAGAAACTAACATCAACTGAGGAAAAAAAACTATGTGTGTGTGTGTGTGTGTGTGTATGTGAAGAGGGACAGAGAGAAAAGAGGAAGTAAAAATAAATAAATAATCTGATTACTAAAGAGTCAGCTACACCTGTAAATGCTTGGGGGATGGAGGATGGAGTGGGGTGCGGCATTATCAGAACTAGCTTAAGTTAATCATCTCCTCCTCCTCCTCTTCTTTTTCTTGAAATGGGGTCTAGGTCTCTGTTGTTGCTCAGACTGGACTCAAATTCCTGGGCTCAAATGATACTCCCTGCCTCAGCCTTCTAAATTGTTTGGAATACAGGTGTATACCACTGCACCAAGCTTGAAGAACTTTTAACATTTCTTGCAAAGCAAGTCTATTGAAGACAAATCTGATCAATTTTTGTTTGTCTGAGAAAGTCTTTATCTATGTTGATGATTCTTTTCTTGCAATGCTTTAAATATTTCACCCTGCTCTTTTCTTGCTTGCTTGGTTTCTAAAGAGAAATTCAATATAATTCTTATCCTTACTCTTCTATAAACAAGGTGTTTTTCCCCGCTAGTATCTTCCAAATAATTCTCTTTGCATTTGACATTCTTCAGTTTGAAAATCATATGCCTAAGCATAGGCTGTTATGTTTGTGTGTTCGTTTGTTTGCCATTATCCTGCTCAATGTTCTCTGAGCATTCCTGGATCTGTGGTTTGGTGTCCGGCATTAATCTTGGGATATTCTCAGTCACTATTTCTATACATATCTCCTCTGTTTCTTTCTCTCTTGCTTTTGTTTCTGATATCTCATTACACATACGTTGCATCTTCTGTTATGATCCCACAGTTCTTAGATTTTCTGTTCTGTTTTCTTAAGTCTTTCTCTTTGCTTTTCAGTTTCAAAGGTTTCCACTGGCATATTTTCCAGCTCACTGATTCTCTCCTCAGTTGTGTCCAGTCCACCAAAGAGCTCATCAAATGAGCCCATTCTTCATTTCTGTAACAGTATTTTCTTTCCAGCATTCCTTTTGATTCTTTCTTAGAATTTCCATCTCTCTGCTTACATTACTCATCACTTCTTGCATGTTGTCCATTTTTTCCCAATATTCCTTTAGCACACTGAGCACAGTAATTTCAAACTGCCAGTGTGATAGCTCAAACATCCCTGCCATATCTGAGTCTTATGCTGATGTTTTCTCTGTCTCTTCGAACTCTGTTTTTTGGCTTTTAGCTAGTGTGGGGTAAAGTAGGGTATTTCCCATCCTGCAGTGGGATAGGTTCTGGTTTAAACAAAAAACAATGTAATTAGGCTGTGGGAAAATAGTTTCTTTCAAGAATAAGCTTTTGTTAAGAAGAACAGAATCCTCTGGGAATGTTTCCAAATGGTTACCCTGCTGTACCTACGCCTTTTCACCCTGAGAACCTGGTGGGGCTTCTGGAGGTAAAACCCACGAAAGTATGGGGACTCCGCAAGGACTTATTCAAAAGTTTTACATTTCAAGTTAGTCTACATCTAGTTTTCAGCCATCACTCAATGGTCTTTTTAAAGATCCTAGAAGACTCTGACTCCAGGGGTAGTTTCTGGGTGGTTTCTGCCCAAAATAAACAGTGAATCTCTGTATCTACCTGTCTCTAGTTTTTAAGGTAGTGGCCTTATCCTATGACTTCAATTCTCTGACGGATCTGAGAAGAATTGTTGATTTTCAGTGTGTTGAGGGTTTTTTCTTGTTGTGAGGATGGAGAGCCAGCCCCCAAGCTCCTTACATGTCAGACCAGAAGGTAGAAGTCTCTGTCCATGACTCTGTTATTCCCTACCACTCATTCTCTTGCTTATTCTGGCCCAGTCTCTCCTTTCTGTTGCTAGAACACAGTGAGCACACATTTGCCATGAACCCTATTCCCTTGCCATCCCTGTCCCTGGAACACTTCCAGTAGGTGTTTGCATAGCTCACTTTTGCACTTTGATCAGGTTTCTGCTCAAATGTCACCATCATCAGACACGTGGTTCCTGACCACCATGGCAAGAATAGAGACCCTTGTCCCTCTCAACTAATTTACCCTACTCTTTTATTCTTCAGAGCACTCATCACTGTGTAACATGATATTGTGTTTAGATGCATTTACCTTGTTTATTACCTGTCTTTCCACCCTAGATTGTAACTCTAAAGATGTCAGAGGCATGTTCTGTATTGATCTCTGTGATGACGACCTCAGAGTCCAGAAACCAAAAGCAGCTTGGATCTCAGGCAAGGGGAGGCTGTGGTACGCATCAAGACAGCATACCTTCTGCAAGAGATTACTTGCAGAGAAAAATAAAAGAACATTTAAGGCCCCTGAGAAGAAACTGTAGTGAGACTCTTTGAGAAATTGAGACATTTAAAAATAGCCATGTGTATACAGGAATGGAAAAAAAGGATGCACACAAGACCAGGAGAGGCATATACCAAGAAAAGGCCTAAGAACTTAAGCCATCACATCCTGCTGATTAGTGAAGGTCTTCCCTTGCATGG
The DNA here is from genome assembly GCF_000001405.40 of Homo sapiens. Classification (NCBI taxonomy): domain Eukaryota; kingdom Metazoa; phylum Chordata; class Mammalia; order Primates; family Hominidae; genus Homo; species Homo sapiens. Next base: position 132,926,597 of record NC_000011.10, read on the forward strand.
AGGCAGCTTACAAAGACTTGAAGAGGTGGTTGTTTTTTCAAATGCCAAATTTTCAACATAATGTCACTAGGCATACAAAGAAACAGTAAAATATGCCCCATTCAAAGGAAAAAAAAAATCTCCATAAGATTTTCCGGAAGAAACATAGACTTAAAACTTACCTGAAAAGACTTTATAAAAACTGCCTTACATATGCTCAGAGAGCTAAAGAAAAACATAAGAAATAATAAAAAGTAATCATGAAAACAATATATGAATAAAATTAGACTATGAAAAAAGGGATGAAATAATAGAAAAAGAATAAGAAAACAACCAAAAACAAATTCTAGAGCTGAAAAATACATCAGATTTGAACAAGCAGAAAAAACAATCAGTGAACTTGAAGACATATCATTTGAAATTACTGAGTCTGAAGATTAAAGAAAGAAGAAATGGGAATAAAGCCTAAGGGACTTAAGAAACACCACAAAGTAGACCAATATATGCATTATGAGAGTTCCGGGAAAAGAAATAGAGAGAAAGGAAAAGAGTTTATTTGAATATGTAACTACTGGAAATGTTCCAAAGTTGAAGAAAGAAATGGACATATACATATAAGAAGCTCAATGAACTTTAAGTAGGATAAACCCAAGGATACCCACAGTGAGATACATTATAAAAAAATGTCAAAGACCAAAGAGAAATTGAGAATCTTGAAAGTAGCAAGAAACTAATTTATCATTTACAAAAGATTCTCAACAAGATCATCATTGAATTTCTCAGCAGAAATCTTGCCTCCCAGAAGGCGGTGGATTTTATACTTAATGTGCTAAAAGGAAAAAGCAAAAGCAAAATCAAACAAACAAACAAATCTGTCACCCAATAAATCCATATCCAGCAAAACTGTCTTTCAAAAATAAGAGAGAAGTTAAGACATCCCCATATAAACAAAAGCTGAGGGAATTCATTACCACTAGACCTGCACTTCAAGAAATATGAAAGAGAGTCCTTCAAGTTGAAACAAAAGAAAGCTGGAAAGTAATTTAAATTTGTATGAAAATATAAAGTTCTCTGGTAAATATAATATATGGACACCTACCAAAAAACCTGTATTATTGTCATTTTAGTTTATAACTCCAATTTTATTCTTTCATAGGATTTAAAATATAAAACTATACATAATAATAAATCTATGTTCATGGGTACACAATGTATAAACCAATAATTTGTGACATCAGTAACATATAGGGGGATCCAAGCTGTCCAGGAGTAGAGTTTTTGTATGTAATTTAAGTTGTTATCAATTTAAAATAGTTTTTCTAACCTTAGGATATTGTATATAAGCCCTATGTGCAAATCATGGGGATATAGCATAAAGAAAATACCTATAGAATATACACAAAATAGAATGAGAATTAATCAAAATGCAAGCCTACCAAAAACTAAAATAAACACAAACGAAGGCAGTAAAGGAGGAAATGAGGGACAAAAAAACTATAAAGTGTACAGAAAAAATATATAACAAAACAGCATAGTAAGTCAGTGATTACTTTATCAGTGATTACTTTAAATGTAAATGGATTAAACGGCACAATCTAAAAACACAGATTGGCAGAATGGATTAAAAAACAGCATCCAACTATATGCTGTGTCCAAGAGACCCAGTTTAGATTTAAATGCACACATAGTTCAAAAGTGAAAGGTTGAAAAAGTATTTGCTATACAAATAGTAAACAAAAGAGACCAGAGGTGGCTATGGGATAGCACACAAAATAGACTTTAAGTCAAAACTCTCACAAAAAACACATGATGTTATATAATAATAAAGAGGCCAATTTACCAACAAGATACAAAAAAATAAACATATATACTAAATAGCAGAACATCTGAATATATGAAACTAAGTTTGACAGAATTGAATAGAGAAATTGCTCTACAAGACCAGTAGGAGACATTAGCACTCCACTTTCAATAATAGATATAACAAACAGACATAAGATCAATAAGGAAATAAAGAGCTTGAACAACACTACAGACCAATTAGACGTAACAGAAATGTACAGAACACTCCACCCAGCAAAGGCAGAAAACACATTTTTCTCAAGTGGACATAAAACATTCTTCAGGATAGATCATATGTTAAGGCAAAATATAAGTATTAGTAAATTTAAAAAGACAGAAATCATACTAAGTATCTATTCTTATTAGAATGAAATAAAACTGGAAAACAACAGCATAAGGAAAACTGGAAAATCTACAAATATGTGTGAATTAACACATTCTCAAACAATCAATGAATAAAAAAACAATTTTTATAACAATCTTGTGACAAATGAAAATGAAGACACAACATACCAAAAGTTATAGGATGCAATAGAAGCAGTATTAGGATAGAAATTCATAGCACTAAACACTTACAACAAAAAAGAAAAAAAAACACTCAACAATCTAATTTTAAGCCTTAAGGAACTAAAAAAAAGAAGAACAAACTAAACACAAAACTAGCAGAAGAAAGAAAATAATAAATATTATAGGAGAGATAAACAAAATAGAGAATGGGAAAATAGAAAAAAATCAACAAAATAATGAGTTTTTTCCTTAAAATGATAACAAAATGGGCAAAACTTTAGCTAGATTGACTAAGAAAAAAATAAAATTCAAATAACTAAAATCACAAAAAGGTCATGGTATAACTAAATTTATAGAAATAAAATGGATTATAAAAGAGTACTGTGAACAAGTATGTGCCAACAAATTGGTTAACCTAGATAAAATGGCCAAATTTCTAGAAAGACAGAGTCTGTCAAGACTGAATCACAAAGAAATTGAAAATCTGAACCTCCCAAAAAAGAAAAGCCCATGACCAGATAGCATCACTGCTGAATTTTATCAAACATTTATAGGAGAATTAACAGTTTTCCTATGACTCTCCCAAAAAATTCAAGAGGAGAGAACACTTCCAAACTCACTCTATAAGCCAATATTATTTCGATAACAAAATCAGACGAAGACATTACCAAAACAACAACAACAACAACAAAACCAATACTAGTCTAATGTGCCTTGTAAATATTAATGCAAAAATCTTTCACAAAATGTCAGCAAAGTGAATTCAAAGCATATTAAAAGAATTATACTCATAACCAAGTGAGATTTATTTCTGCAATGCAAGGATGGTTCATCAATGAATATACCACATTAACCAGTTGAAGGAAAAAACAAAACAACACATGACCATCTGAATTGATACAGAAAATGCATTTGACAAAATGTAACACCCTTTAATAATAAAAAATACTCAATAAACTAGGAATAGAAAGAAATTACATAACCTTAATAAAGGTCATATGTAAAAATTCCACTACTAAAATGTACTCAACATACTAAATGAGAAAAGATGGAAAGTTTTTCTTCTAAGATTAGAACCAAGGCAGGAGTGTCTGCTTCTATCACTTCTACTCAATATAGCACTGGGCATTCTACCTGAAGCAATAAAGAAAAAGACGGGCTGGGTGCAGTGGCCCACACCTATAATCCCAGTACTATGGGATCCCAAAGCAGGCAGATAGCTTGAGCCCAGGAGTTTGAGACCAGTCTATAGAACATGGCAAAACTCTGTCTCTACAAAAAATACAAAAATTAGCCTGACGTGGTGGCCTGCAACTGTGGTCCCAGTTACTTGAGAGGATGAGGTGGGAGAATCACGTGAACCTGAAAGGTCGAGGCTACAGTGAGCCATGATTGTGTCACTACACTCCAGCCTGTGTGACAGGGTGAGACAGTGTGGCACCCTGTCTCAAAAAATAAAAATAAAGATGATAAAAGCATCAAAAAAGGAAAGGAAGAAGTAAAACTATCTCTGTTCACAGATGATATAATCTTATGTGTAGAAAACTCTGAAGATTCCATAAACATGCACAAAAATTAGAACTAATAAATTACATTGTAGAATACAAAAATCAACAAAAAAATCAATTGCATTTCTATAAACTAACAATAAACAATCTGAAAACATAAAAAAAATTTTATTTCCAATAGCATCAAGAAGAATAAAATACTTAGGAATAAATTTAACTAAGAAGGTGAAAGTCGTATGTACACTGAAACATCAAAACATTGTTGAAATAAAGAACACAAAAATAAGTGAAAAGACATGTTGTGTTTATGAATTGGTAGACTTAATATAGTTAATTCAATCCAAAGCAATCTACCCATGCCATTGAAATAGAAAAATCAATCCTAAAATTTATATGAAATCTCAAGAGACTGGAAATAGCCAAAACAATCTTGAAAAATATAAACAAAGTTAGTGGTCTGGAACTTCCTGGCTTCCAAAACATACTACAAAGTTACTGTAATCAAAATTGTGTGGTCCTGGCATAACAACAGACATACAGACCAATGGAATGAAATACAGAGCCCAGAAATAAGCCCTTGAATACATGCTCAAATTACTTTTAACAAGGATACCAAGACCATTCAGTGGGGAGAGGACAGTCTTTTCAACAAATGGTGTTGAAAAAACTGGATATTGACATACAAAAGAATGAAGTTGGACTCATATTACACCATATACAAAAAAAAAACCCTCAAAATGGATCACAGGCTTAAACATAAGAGCTAAAACTATTAAAAAAAATTTTAAGATAGGAAAAAAGCTTCATGAGATCGGATTTGTTGGTGCCTTCTTAGATCTGATACCAAAAGCACAGACGACAAAAGGAAAAAACAAGAAAAGATAAATTGGACTACAGTAAAACGTTAAAGCCTTCTTCATCAAAAGACACTATCAAAAGAGTAATAAGGCAATCCACAGAATGGGAGGGAATATTTGTGAGTCATATATCTGATAAGGGTCAATATCCAGAATATATAAAACTACAAACGTTGAAAAACAAAGAAACAATCCAGTTTAAAAATGGGCAATCAACTTGAATAGACATTTCTCCAAAGAAGGATATACAAATGGTCAATAAGCATATCAACATCACTAATCATTAGGGAAATGCAAATCAAAATCACAGTGAGATGCCACTTCTCAGCCATTAAAGTCACTATTAATGAAAATAATAGAAACAGAAAATAAGTGTTGGCAAGAAGGTGGTGAAGTTGGAACTCTTCTGTATTGCTGGTGAGAATATAAAATGACTCTACCACTATGAAAACTGCGTGGCGTTTCCTCAAAAAAATTAAACATACAATTACCATGCAATCCAGAATTGAAAGCTGGGATTCAAACAGATATTTGTACACCTAGGTTCATAGCAGCATTATTCACAAGAGTGAATGCAATCCAAGCATCAATCAAAGGATGAATGAATAAACAAACGTGGCCTATACATGCAATAGAACACAGCCTTAAGAAGGAAAGAAATTCTGACCCATGCTACAGCATGGATGAACCTTAAAGACAATATGTATAGATAACTTAAGTAAGCTAGTTACAAAAGGATGAATGCTATAAAATACCAATTATCTGAGGTACCTAGTGTGGTCAAAACATAGAGACAGAAAGAAAAGTAGTACAATAGAATAGTAATAATAGTAATAGAATAGTAGTTTCCAGAAGCTGGGGGGAGGGAAGAATGGGGAGTTATTGTTTAATGGATTCTGAGTTTCAGTTTGGGAAGAAGAAATAAGTTCTGGAGAGGGATGGTGGTGACAGTTGCACAGCAACGTGAATGTACTTAATGCCACCGAACTGTATATTTAAAATTGGTTTACATGATACATTCTACGTATTTTTACCACAATAAAAACAGGGGCATGGAGGAACTTTTTGGGGTAACAAAAATGTTTTGTACCTAGTGAGGTGGTGGCTACATGGGTAAATATATGCGTCCAAGTATACTGATGTGAACCCTAACAGGGTGCGTTTTACTTTAAGCAGATTTCGTTTCTCCCTCTTTTTATCCCTCTCTCTTCCTCCATCCCCCTTTCCCATTTTGTGGGCTCTATGTTCTGCCAACATAGTCACATATTCAACATACATGGATGCTCAGAGAGGAGAGTCTAGAATTAATTTAACTGTGTAATTCCCACACTGCCTAGAATAGTGCTGGTGGGTACCCAATAAATGCTGCATGGATAAATTGTGAATTCAGTTATATATATATTATATATATATATATATATATACAAATGCTGCATGGATAAATATATATATTTAACTTAATAGCAACTGTTTATTGTGCTCTTGCTGCAATGTAAAACTTTAATCTGAAATCTTTACAAACTTGGTATCATTTACTGCCTCCCATCAGCCCAGTGAAGTGGATATCTATTCCTTATTTTTTTTTAATCAGGAAATTGAGGCTTAGAAAAATTGAGTCACTTGTCCAACCACATACAGCCATTAAGTACCAGAGTTGGGATTCAAAATGAGCCTTTTGACTGTAAAGTCAGTGTTCTTAACCTCTTGATAGAGGTTATACTTTATCTTACATTTCACTAAGCACCCATTGACTCGCCCATCATAAAGCAGAGCATATAATCAAGGACATTCTATGAACTGTTTCCACTGCACAGGTACAGCGGGAGGCATGTTGCTGATAGGTATTCAGGGACCTCATAGTGAGATCTTGTGACAGAAGCAGCTGCATTTTAGGACCCAAGGAGATGGGTCCATGAATCCCTTCATCCTGAGATGGAATGTTTAGAGATGACTCACATTGGCTTTTCCAAACCCTGAAATTTGCAGGTATTCTTCCAGAATGTGCCAGCCTCTATTATGTGACCTTGATGAAGGGGAGAAAGCAGACATTCCTCCCTTGCAAATCGTTCAGAATCTCCTGCCTGTGGCTTCAATGATATTGTGCAATTGTCAAATCCTCCAATTATAACAAGCAGGCAGAGAAAGGACAAGTGAAACAGCAACTATTTAGGGAGATATTAGTATCTCAACTAGGGTTCAAATGCCAGGCCCTATGGTTGTAATTTCAGTGACTTGTGAATTATTCAACATGGATGAGAATATCTTCATTAGAAAAGGGAGATGTGTGTGTGTGCGTGTGTGTGAGAAAGAGAGAGAAGAAACAGAGAGAGAGACAGAGAGATAGAGATAAAGGAGAAACATTCATCTTTTCAGAAAACTTAGAGCACCTACTAAGCATTAGGTATTCTGTTGGACACTGAGAATGCAAGATAGATAGAAGATATTAATGCATTTAACAAAGGGCTTGGGAGAAGCAATAAAAATGACAATTGGAAGAGGAATATCTTTAGAGATGGCAGAGAAAAGCACACGGCGGTACAAATTTGAGTTCTGTAATTCCTCCCCCCTCTTACACAGGGTGCCTTACAGACAATATCTCAGTGTAAGCCCAGCCTCTCTAATAAACCCCTGACTCATTCAATTCCCTGGGTGTACAGATGGTGACTCCTTTTTTTCTCCATCACAGGAGGTTCCAAACAATGACCAGGAGGCAACAGTGGATAGTCAAGGTGGACCAATAACTGAGACACAGGCTATGTGCCTGAAAATAAATGGTTTAATTACACATAAGCAGGGTAGACAGGAGCAAGCGTCACTTGGCCTAGACCTCCCCTGCTGCCTGGATGTGAAGTGCTCTCCAAAAGATCCTTTGGGTAAATAGGCAGATGGTAAGCATTGGAAAGTCCTGGAACCACTAGGCCAGTCAGAGCGGGGTTAAGGGCAGGCCTCGACCCTCAGAGAAGAGATCCTGGCAGGACAAGGCAGGGTACCCAGTCACCCAGGGCCTGGGGTAGGTCCAGCGTGGATTAGCAATACAGGGACTAAGACCCATTGACAAGAGGGAGATTTACAGCTGTAAGGCAGGTAGGAACCGAGGTTCAGAACACGCTGGAACCTAGCAGCAAGTGAGAACTGACCCTTTGACTGTTCTCGCCTTGACTTAGAATGGGTGCTGGACATCAGGTTATGTGTGGTCCTGTGGCCTGGACAGGCAGAGAAGAGGCTCTCAAATCCCAGAAACTCAAAAGTAGGGCCCAGGCATTCTTATCTGCCAACTTTCTTTCTTTTCTCTACCTCTGACTATTCAGTAATTCCACTTGAGGTTTTTGTTGTTGCTGTTGCTGTTTTTCTCACAGGTACACACTGTCCCCTTCTTTAGCTCCTTTCTTTCCTTCCTTTCAACTTCTACTTCTGGAATATCTCTCTGCTACTCTCTCCTTTCATGAGTAATTCCATTATTGTCTTTTCTGTCCTTTATCTATCTTCCTTCCTTTGTTAATATTTATGAAAATTTCCTCATCCATCAGAGTAGTGACAAATGCATACAGGAATCAAATAATACAAAAGCGGCTGGGTGCAGAGGCTCACACCTGTAATCCTAGCACTTTGGGAGGCCGGGATGGGGGGAACACCTGTGGTAGGGAGTTCGAGACCAGCCTGACCAACATAGAGAAACCCCTTCTGTACTAAAAATACAAAATAACCCGGGCATGGTGATGCATGCCTATAATCCCAGCTACTCAGGAGGCTGAGGCAGGAGAATCGCTTGAACCCAGGAGGTGGAGGTTGCGGTGAGCCAAGATCGCACCATTGCACTCCAGCCTGGGTAACAAGAACAAAATTCCATCTCAGAAAAAAAAAAAAAAAGCTACATATTTTAAAATTAAATTTGGCTCAATAGAAACAATACAACAAACTCCAAAACTTCAGAGAGCATTCAGAAATATCTTTGAGAAAATGTTTCCATATTATCTTCTTCTAATTACGCCTACTTTTCTTCAGCATTGGCATTCACAATAAATAGAAAATTATCGTATTCTTTTTTCTCTCTTTTGCGTAATTACTTCTGCAACAACGTTGTTTTCTGTTATTCTTCATTGCTGGTGTATAGCATTTTGGGTAATTGTGAGTTGAATTGTCTTCTGTGGACTAGCCAGAAAACTTAACAACCACTGATAACATTCTTTATGATGATTATGCAGTGGAAACTTGATTAATTGAGATGCCATAAATCTTCAGATCCACTGAAAATGTTTAATATTCAAAACCAATTTCTAAAAATTGTATTGATCAGCACTTTCATGGGAAGCCAGGTCAAGACCTTCAGCATCTCTTTGATTTAAGTATTATGTATCTCCAGGGACCAGCAAGTCAAAGCGAGTCACATGGTTTTCTCTGGGGTATGAATGCATGGCAAGGCCTGCGCTCTCTGTGTTCACAGTCTTAAATTAAAATGTGAATACAAGGATGGGAGGGAGGATAATGGAGTGACGTATTTTAGGGTTTAAACAAAATTACTTCTCCTCCTTCTATACTTTGGTATCACTCATTTCTTCACAGGTCTCATTGTTGGGTTCTTACCAAGAAGTGACCGGCTCACGTTGTCTTAGGTTGCAGGCCCTTTGAGGTTCCATATGTGCTATGGGAGGTCAAGTAACGGGATAGTACAACATTTAGGGCAGGTTCAAAGCCATGAGCATCCATGATCCCCCTGGACAGTATGTTAGATCCTGGTGGGTGTCATGTTGCTCAGTGTTTGCAGCGTGCACCATTTCCAGCCTCAGAAGGTAGTAATAGATGGGCTTCACTTGAGTGCGGGTGAGGGGAGGGAAGCCCCCAAGAAGCAAGGAGACTCTAAAGATGGGACAGCAGACAGCTGCAGCCTTCAACTGAAATGCAGATTTCCTGACCTTCAGGAACAGAAAGGATGTGTTTGGTTTATTTCTGCTTGTGGCACTTGGAAGTTTTCTCTGTCCTCTACATCTGGGGAGGGGGACATACTATGAATTTGAAAAGAAGCATAAAGGTCTTCTAGGAGCAAATGCAGACTCTGACACATGATAACCATGTGACCAAAGGTAAGTGGTTTAACTTTTCTAAACCTGGACCCGTAGGCTGTTAATAGGGATTGTAATGGTCTGAAAATTACATGACATGTTAGGTAATTAATGTGGCATCTGACACATAGTAAACCATGTACAATAGGAGCTTTTGTTTGTTTCACTAGCATCGGCATGTCCCCGCCCCACAACCTCCCCTCACCCCTGGGCTCTTGCAGGTTTTGTTCAAGGCTCTGCAGTATTATCCTGTAGTGGCGCTAGGTACAGACAGTTCCTTTCTCTAAACTTCTCTACCGGGAAAGCCATACACAGATCTAGGCTAGGCAGTGCTGAGCAGCCTAGATATCACAGCTTCAATGTTCATTTCTTAAAAGAAAATACACCAGGTATAAAAAGCATCAAGTAGGTAGTGTCATTTATTGGGAGACAACAAGGGCCTGAGAACGGATCAAGATGAAAAGAGTGCACCCCTCCCCCAAACCCATTTCATGCAAACTTGAGCTCCAATTATACCTAACATGAGCAAGAGCGGCTTCATTCAGGGCAAACAATAAACAAACAGACCTGAAATAATTTGGTGCTGTCTTGTATATGTTAAAAAAAAGGAAGAAAGAAAATGAAGAAAAGTTAGCACTTGGTTTCTAACTTATTAGGCAATGCAAATTTCTGTCAGCCCTAAAGATATCTTGGACTGTAATTCCCTCTTCTCATCTCATGACTGAAGACAGCTTCCCGTTAATAATAAGTAATTTTAAAAGACCTCCCCTGGGAAGGTCAAATGAGACCTGCTTGACTCTTCCCCTCCACTGCATCTTGCTGCCGGATCCCATCAGATCCATAAAAACTGCCTGGCGGACCGGCTCCCCAGCTCCCTCAGAGCCAGCCACCTAGTGAGCACAGTGAGTGGGCCAAGGGCAGAGTCCTTTTTTAGAAACCAGAAGGAAAGGAAATGAGAAAGACAGACCTAAACCAAGCCCAAGGGCCAAATTTACTTAAAAAGGTTAAACAATTACCCAAAGGGCTTAGATAAGAGCTGCTGAGTTTTCCAGAAAGGTTCAGAAAGCCAGGGAACATATATTTCTAATGCTTTAAAACGTCTTCTCCCACAGCCTGCTTCAAACAGGGGGACAGAGAGAGAGAGAGAGAGTGTGTGTGTATGTGTGTCTGTGTGGTGTGTGGTGTGTGTGGTGTGTGTGTGTGGAGTGTGTGTGTGTCGTGTGTGTGTGGTGTGTGTGGCGTGTGTGGGGTGTGTGTGTGTGTGTGTGTGTGTGTGTGTGTGTGTGTGTGCTGGGGAGGCAGACACATTCCCACCAATCAGGGATGTCAGAGAGTGTCACGGACTCAAGCCAGCCTTGCTCTCCCAGGCCTGCCAGATCCGGCAGCCATGACCCAACCCAGGACATGCCAACATTCTTGCTGCCTCCCTGCATTGTGTATCTCCTTGGGCCCACAAGGCAAATCTCTGCAGAGACAGGTATGCTTTCCAAATGTGCTCCTCTACTGCTTCTAAAAAGCACTAGTACTACTGCTCTTCACTCTGCCACTCTGCTTGTTTTCTTGACCTCAGGGATAGTGAAGACTTTGCATAGTTTGGATCAGACTGCCATCATTGGTGGATTCAACTGTCCCCTCTGGCAAGTGATTTGAGTGGAATCCAAAAGTCCCTCAGGCCTCCAAGACCGCTAACCAACTGCTGTGCCTGAATATCCCAGGATCATATTTTGAAGACAATAAAATTGTTTAGATATAAGGGTTTCATTGCTGTAGAGGCAATAATACACTAGAAGTGGTTGTTTCCCATTAAGATGGATTAAAGCATTAAACCAATACTTATTTGTTGTAATCTTTAGTATCCACCACAGTATCTATAGTCAACACATAAAGCACAGCTCCTAAGCTCCAGGAGCCCCCAGACTAACCATAACCACACATGAAAAAATAACAGGTCCTAGTGTGGATCTGTTAGAACAGTGTTAGCAGCAAGAGTTACTGGAACTCTCATGAGGGCAATTCTTGACAAGCAGAAAGAATTCTGGGTGGAACTGTGAAAAAACAAATATACTTTAAAGCTGTGTATAAGTGTGGGGATAGAGGAAGAACGAGATGGAGCAGACAAAACTGAAAAAAATGTGTGAGTATTGTCAGTTGTTATTGAGGAGTTCAACTTAGTACCAGTAATAACTTGCACACATATGTTGCTTTATGGCTCACAGAACAACCCATATACTTCCTTTCCTCTGATAATGCAGACCAGTTATAATAGATATTGTTCCTGTATGTACACAATTCAACTGAAAGTGCTCAAGGCCGTGGAGTTAGTGAGAGGTAGAGTAAGAATCAACCCCAGGTGCCTAGGCCCCCAGACACAGAGCTTTCTAGGGCATTAACATTGCCCATGAGGTGCAGGCACCCATGGGGAAGATGCTTCCTTGGAAAGCAGGGACGCTGGATAAGCCTTGCTCAGAGGCTCTAGGGCCAGAAAGGGCTTTAGAGCAGTGTTCTCAATCCTGGCTCCACATTAGAAATACTGGAAAAGATGTTTTCAATGGCCACGTCCATCCCCAAACCCAGGAATTTTGACATCATCAATCTGGGAGACTGGAAATGGAATTTCTAAAAAGCATCCCAGATAACTCCAACCAGGTTAGTGCCACCACTGGAGAGGTCCTTTATGGACCTGTCCCTGCTTGAGTGTCTTTTAATGTCTTTGTCTTCCCAGACTAGGAGTAAAGTCTTTGCATTTACCCAGTTCTTATTCAGCTTGGACAACTGAAACACTGAAATGGAAAAATAATGCATTTGTTTTGAATAGTCTAATGGCTACTCAAAATCTTTTAATTTACATAAGAAGGAGCTGAAGGTAGGTGCAAAGTACAGAAACACACCCAGGCAAACAACAGAACTTTAGCTTTGGAAACTCTACTGCCCAGGTTGCTTTGGCAAAATCCCCACTGCTCAGATTATTCCTTGGCAGTAGTTAAACCTCAAATACTTGGTTTTGAATGGATTAGCTCAGAACTCCAAATGAAAATGCAGGGACATTTTAGAAAAGAGCCATTAAGCATAATCCCAGATCAGCAAGCCTGGATCAACAAAACTGATTATCCTGCTGTTGAAATAAAAAACACAAAACACCAAAACAAAAGCAAACCAGAAAGAAAATCCAGTATGTTGGTGGGAACTTTTCCCGTTGAGTGGAACAGTTACAACCACCACCTTGCCTCCATCTCACCGCAGCCCCTCAAAATGTTCATGTACACAGATGATGTGGACCCACAGAAGAACTCAAGCAAACTTTGAGGAGATTGAGGCCTGTGAAGAAAGCACAACTGGCCATCATCCATTCTGCTGAGATGGCTTAATAGACACCAGCTGACCACACTGAACATCCTGGGCTCCTTTCCTGATGTGGGCATTGATTCAGACACATGACTTCTGGATTCTTGTCATATCTAATCTAATGCAGAGCCACAGAACATTTTCAACCCAACAGCAGATAATTGTAATGAAGTGATTCTGGCCAAGAGGGCCCATTTGTAATAATGAATTCAAATCAGATTCATGGAAGCTATAATTCAACCATAGTGAAGAGCACCTTCATTTTCCATATCATCTCTCTTCCAAGAGGGCAAAATAACTCAATATTCAAATAATTATTTTTGCTTTTCAAGTAACCCTATGAAGTAGTTATGAGGAGGATAATATTGCCTCACTTACAGAAAACGAGTTTCATCCACGTTCAAAGCTTCAGTGTCTTCTTTGGCACAGCACTTCCTAATGTCCCTCAGAGCAATCAAAGACCTGTCACAACAAAACTGATATCCCAAAGGAGGAAAATCACTCTTCTCTGAGCTGTGCAGTTTTTCACTGGGAAAGTGAAAGGCAGGCCCAGGTTTCGTGACTCCTTTGCTTTTCCTAGTAGGTCTCTGGCCTCCTTATGGGACTTCATTCAAGATTTAGAAACAGATTCGAGATAGTTTGACCCAGGACAACCACATTAAAAGAGCTTTCGTGTGATGGGCATGGGTATCATTCAGTGTTTTTTGGTGCAATCTAAACATGTGATGCGCTTGGAACACTCAGTTCCCAGGTAATGAATCCCTAATGAATGTCTTTAAGGAGGCAAAAGAGTAAGAAACCACACTTAAGAATTACAGCTTATACAGCAAAAAACACCACCAAATAAAACATGGTATATTTATCTGGGGTTGAAGCCATGGGCTTCTAGAAACTGAAAACATGGACTCTCCCTCAGAGTACTGACAAATCAGTTGTTTGTTAAGATGGGAACAGAACTCTTCACCAATACAGCAAAAGAGTGAAAACAAAAGGAGAGAGATGGGGACACACAGAAATTTGCAGAAGATGTTTATTTTCTTTTAGGAAACACTGTGGTAGCAGTGAAATCAAAACCTTAAAAAATCAAGGAATAAGAAGACTTAAGTGATAAAGACAAAAAAGAAAGAAAATAATGAGTAATAGACGAAAGTATACATTATGGGAGCATCTGATAAAAATGAAGGAAGAAAATAATAAAAGAGAAGATGACATGAGCTAAGAGAATGAGGATTTAAAGAGATTAAAATGTAGATAACGTGCTGAATTTCCCTATTCTGGGGTAAATGTATAGAAGAGACGCAAAATCAACATGATACATGTGCTTACTTAAAAAAAAAAAATTACGCCATGCAATCAGATAACAGATAACAGTTATGCTAGAACATGTAAGTTGTTCTTTTTTTCTGCAAAGAACAAAAAGCAACTATTCAGCTTTTCTTTTTTTATTCCCATTCCCATTCCCAAGCCCAGCTGCTCAACATTAGAATTGAAGATCATGAAAACAGGCCAACAGCTAATAAAAAATTGGTAGATGGAAGCTGGCCCTCTGCTGGTGGAATAGTCTTACTGCATCTCAGAAAGCAGAAAGCTCAAGTTTTGAAGTTTCTGGTTTAATTTTGAGGGACAGGAAGAGGACAGAGGATTCTGGAAAATTCACGACTGAGATCCTATTCAATGCTAGACCTCTTTGCCCCCAGTGGCACATTAGATGGTAAAGAGGTGTGTGGCAGCATCAACATCCCTGAACACTGGTAATATTTACTGACATTTTCTTGGTTAACATGTATTATAACCCGTGTGCTGCTTATATCTTTAAGCCAACTAGCTCACTGCAAATGCGTATTGGGAAATGTTCCCTGATTCCTCATGGGACCTTCTTTGAAGCAATGAAGTAGGGATATTACATTCTAGTCTGGGGCAGGCTGAGTGGTACCCACATGGCCAGGAGGACTTTTCCTTCACATCTCCAGGAAGGGCCTCTCTATTCTCCTTTTTTCTCCATTTGCTTTGGGCTTCTGAGAAACAGCACACAGGATTCTGGGACCTGTTCTCTAACTAAAAAGAAGATCCAGCTAAGTATCACCCAAAGTGGCAGAATCCAATCTTCACCCTTGGGCTTAGAAAAAGAATTCTGGTGTCCCAGAGACAGGTCTTTCCTCCTCCAGGGAGAGGCTTGTCTAGATGCAGGAAAGGTTCCACCAGAAAAGCCAAGGGAGGAACAGGAAGAACCCCCACCGTCACACTGTCCTAGGGGAAGCCAGGCATTTTGGCTGCAGAATCTGGGTCAGGATGTTTTATTGTCACCATAACCATCAAAGTCATAGGCAGGGCAAATGCATTCGCCCTGTGTACATTGTGAGACATAGTTAAGCTGGGACGTCCCTGAATCTGTCTCCTAGGACCAGAACTGCCTCATTAAAGGGATAAAAGATGATATCTGCTGAGCTGGTGGAAAGTGGTGGCTGCATTTTTATTAAAGTATCTGCTGCAGCAAGTCCAGTCCCCAAAGGTTCATATTCCAAGATTCTCCACCTCTCTGCCTGGAGCATGCAAGTGATTCTCTGTAACTCATTAAGGTAAAACAAAAAGCTCTCCTATTGTGCTTTTCACACAGAAGTGATGTTGTTGCATAAAAGCTACATGTTTCCTTTCCTTGGACCCAGTCTGCAAAAATAAAACTGCTGTCATAATTTACAATAGGGACCCTAGGAGCACTACACCAGGTTTGGCACGAGTGCTGGGTCTTGAGGAGACTCATAACAGGCCGTGGGCTGACACTGGTAATTCCACAGCCTCACATTTGAGGTGCATCTCTGATAAGGGCTAGCCTGGTGGTCCTGAGGACGATCCTGCCTCATCATGTACCTTCTGGCCTGTGACAGCCATCCAAGGGGCTCAGGCTAGCCCCCCAGTGTTTCAAACCCATGCACTCATGTTCTCATCACGGTGCCCAAGCAGGAGAGAATCTAGCCTGTCGTGGCTTCAAAGAACCATGGAGTCCCACACGTGGACTTCAAGGTTCACGCATAAGATCCTGGACCAGCATAGCCGGAGCACAGGACAAACCTGTCCAGGGGCACGGCAGTCGGCACGGCAGCACGCAAGCGGGCGCCCCTCGGGCCTGCACAAGGCCCACTCGCGTTCCGGTCCCCCATGGAGCCTTCTGCCCCCTCTTCCCTCCTCTCCCCAGCGACCACAGCCCAGGGGCTCGGCCCCCGCGGAAGGACAGCTCCCTACCTGAGGGTGGCGCTCTCCCCCTGCCGGACCGTCACGTTGTCCATAGCTTTGGGGAAGGTGGCATCTCCGCTGCGCACGGGCACTCCTGTGGGTACAAGGAACAGCAGCCTGAGAGACACGACCACGAGGCACTTCCAGGGCAGGAACAGGTACCCACAGACCCCCATTCTCGACAGCCACAACTTCCCAGGACTCCGGCAGCCGCACAGTCCTGGTCCCCCGCCCCGCGCACCAGCGGGCTCGGGAAGCGGTGCGGGGAGGAGGGAAGGGGCAGAGTTCGCCAGGAGCAGGGGGAAGGAGAAGAGAGGAGTCCGGGCTCTCCGGAGTCTGAGAATTCTTCCTCAGATCCTGCCTCAGCTTTCCAGCCTAGCAGAACCAGATGCCCCCTCCTGCATCCAAAAAGAGCTTTCTTGACGCTCCCCTGGGGAGGAGGGAGGCGGCCAGGAGGGGAGAGGAAGAAGCAAGGTGCGGGGATGAAGGTCACAGATTGCGCTTTCTCTGCCTCTCTCTTCGAGACGCTACTTTAAGATTCAGTTGGGCACGTTCTGCAGAGCTCTGGCATCAAAAGTTTATAACCCAAAGAAGAAGGCAAGTGTCTCTGACATACAGGAGCTGTCATAAAAAGCTGCGGCTTCAAGGAGAGGAGGAAATGGTTTATTAGATCACACACATGGACAGATGTACGTGTCCCCCAGCCCCAGGTCTCGCATCTGGAACCCCAAGGCGGCAAAAAGTTCCAAGGCGGGGACGCGCAGCCGGCGCAGCCAGGGTCGTCCGGTCGGTGGCCGTCCTCTGCAGCCCGGTCGGCGACTCGCGGCCAGCCGGGGGAGCGCCGCCCGGCGCAGGCTCCGGGCGCACGGGGAGCTGGGCGGACGGCGGCCCCCGCCTCCTCCGGGGACGCGGCACGAGACGCGGGGACGCGCGGACGCCACGCTCAGCGGCCGCCCCCGGCCTCCGCGCCGCCTTCCTCCCGGGAGCAGCCCCGACGCGCGCGGGCCCGGACCGCCGGGGTTGTCATGGCAGCAGCTCCATCCCTGACCGCCACTTTCTCCCGGTGCCGCCTCGGAGCGAGCGGGCTGGCGGGCGGCGCGGACTGCGCGCTCATCCCGACGGGCGGGCGCCCACCTTAACCTCCGCCGCGCCCACCGGGCTGGGGATGCCTGCGGGGATGAGCCCGCACCGCGCCCACTTCGCTCCGTCCCGACACCCGCGCCAGCGGAGAGAACGCGGCGCCCCTCGCAGCGGCTTCCCCTACAGAGGGGCGGGGTGGGGGGAGCGGGGAGGGAGAGGGGAGGGCGGGAGAGGGAGTTCTGGGGAAAGCAGCAAACTGAAAACTGACACTGGCACCTTCCCTCGCCGATGCCAGCGCAGAAGTTGACAAACCCCGCCCTGGAGAGCTGAACTACCCTGCCCACGCCAGATGGGGCACCGGTGTGCGTGTCCATCGCGCTGCGAACGGCTCCCCGCCCAGCCAAGTCCAGCCCTGACGGCGCGCTGTCCTGGGCCCGCGCAGAGGTGGAGTGCACCCACCTCCGAGGACCCACCTCGGAAACGCCCGTGCCCCTCCACTGGACGCCTGTCCCCAAAGTGGCAAATCTCAATTTCTCCTTAAAACACAGCATGCAACATTGTCCCTGTCCTACACCTTATCGTGGTAAAAAGCAAGGGCTGGGAAAAACACACCAGATCCTAAAAAGTAGTAGGACTGATCCTCCTAAAACCCCTCACAGGAAGCGGCGCCGCAGTGGTGCTGGGAGGTGACTGGGGTGCTTTTGGAAGCCAGCCTCCCCCTTTCTTTGGTCTCGGATTTGTCTCTTTCTGCTCTAAACCCCAGAGCTCCGCTTCCCTTGGGCCCCTCGGGAGGCCCTCTCCGCTCCCCTGGCAGAAGCCTCCCCGTTGTATTCTAATTTAATGGTTGCTATGTGCATCTGCTCTACTGTATTTTCTCTCAGAGCCTTTTGTTAAATTAGACTGGGCTCTGCACAATTGGCAAAATGAAATTTAATTCAAAAATAAGCATTAAGCTCTTATCGTTTATTACTTTAGTTGCTGAAGGATACAAAGGCATACTACTTGCTTTCAGTTCTGAGAGAAGGAGCACAAATAAATACTGCCCCATTCCCCATTCTAAAAGGGTTAGCCCACATATATGTGTAGGTCTAAAATTTTTAATTAGAGCATCTTACCTAGAAGGGAGAATACTTATCACTAATTATATCAGCTATAGTGAAACATATATAGTCATATGCTGCTTATGGAGGGGGATACAATCTGAGAACTGTCTTTAGGAGATTTTGTCATTGTGTGACTATCCTAGTGTGTACTTCCATAAACCTAGATGACACAGCCTACTACACACCTAGGCTGTATGGTAGAGCCTATTGCTCCTTGGCTGCAAGCCTGTACAGCATGCTACTGTACTGAATACTACAGGCAATTGTAACACAATAGTAAGGATTTGTGTATCTAAACACAGAAAATGTGCAATAAAAATATGGTACAAAAGATTAAAAAATGGTACATCTGTACAGGACATTTGCCGCAGACGGAGCTTGCAGAACTGGAAGTTGCTCTGGGTGAGTCAGTGAGCGGGTGGGGAATGGAGGCCTAGGACATTACTGCACACCACCGTAGTCTTCATAAACACTATATAATTAGGCTACCCTAAATTTATCAAAACATATTTTTCTTTCTTCAATAATAACTTTAGCCTACTGTAACTTTTTAACTTTATACACTTTGAATTATTTTAACTTTTTGACTGTTGCATGATAACATTAGCTTAAAACACAAACACGTTGTACAGTTGTACAAAAATATATTCTTATATCCTTATTCTAAGCTTTTTTCCACTCTTTTTTGTTTGTTTGTTTTTGAGACGGAGTCTCGCTCTGTCACCCAGGCTGGAGTGCAGTGGCGCAATCTCGGCTCACTGCAAGCTCCACCTCCCGGGTTCACGCCATTCTCCTGCCTCAGCCTCCCAAGTAGCTGGGACTACAGGCGCCCACCACCATGCCCAGCTAACTTTTTGTATTTTTAGTAGAGACGGGGTTTCACCGTGTTAGTCAGGATGGTTTCGATCTCCTGATCTCATGATCCACCCGCCTCGGCCTCCCAAAGTGCTGGGATTACAGGTGTGAGCCACTGCGCCCGGCCTACTTTTTAAATTTTGTTTGCTAAAAACTAAGACACAAATACACACATTAGCCTAGGCCTACATGGAGTCAGGATGATCAGTATCAGTGTCTTCTGCCTCCACATTTCCTCACACTGGAAGAGCTTCAGGAGCAATAACATGCACGGAGCTGTCATCTCCTATGATGGCAATGCCTTCTTCTAAATCCCTCCTGAAGGACCTGCCTGTGGCTGTTTTACAATCACCTTTTTAAAATAAGTAGCAGGAGCATACTGTAAAGATAAAAAGTATAGTATAGTAAACATAAAAACTAGTAACATAGTCGTTTATATTGTTATCAAGTATTATGTACTGTACATATTTACATGTGCTAGACTTTCATGGGACCGGCAGCATAGTAGGGTTTGTTTACACCAGCATCACCACCAACACCTGAGTAACACTTTGAGCTAAGACATTAAGATGGCTACAGTGTCACTGGAGGATGAGAAGTTTTTAGTTCCACTGTAATCTTTTCTATACCACTGTCATATATGCGGCCTGTCATTGACAGAGCATTGTTACACAGTGATCCACTGGGTTAGGTCCTTTCCAGAAAGCAGGTATGACAAAGGCAGCAGTGGGGTCCAGGTCTCATCCATAAGCTCCCGAGGTACAAGGCTTTGGGGAGTTGTGATGCAGAGAGGAGAGGCTGGGGGCTCAGGGAGCAGCCCCACAACCTATTTTGGGATTTCCTACTAGCTTTCATGACACATGTCTTTTCTCAAGACTTGAGTGAACCCGGGTTTCCTGATTGACATTGTACTTCAACCTCTCAACTCTGAGTTCTAGTCTAGTATCACCAGACGGGAAAGGCTCTTTTTCATACTTTAATTTGTGTAAAGCTGAGAACCTGAGGCCGGGCTTATGATTTTCTTCAGTTGCAGAGTTTGGAGCTTGAACACAGGTGGGTGGCAGCCGTGGAGTTGGGTCAGGCTGCCCCTCAAGGCTCGCAGCTCTGCCACTTGGTTGTAGGGCATTCAGATCCCTTCCTCTCTCCTGGACCTGCTGGTTCTATTGCTTCTCAAGAGACAAAAATGGAGCAGTTGCTAAATCAACTCATAAAAGATTGCTTGAGACAGGAAGAGTTATTAAGGAAAAAGAGAAAGGCTAGGACAGCATGAGGTTCCCGATAGGAAAAGAATGGCTGAGGCAAGTAAAGAAGAGCAGCAGAGATGGGCAGAAGCGAGGTGTAAATTTTCTTAACAATATATAATAAGTCTTGCTCTTGCAAAGAAATAAACCAAGTATCCCATTTTGTTGCACAGCTGGCTCCCCTGAAATAAGGTATCTGGAGTCCTAAGGAAGAGGGCCTGTGTCTATTTCCTTCTGTAACAGCATTTCCTAGCTCAATATTTCTGAGTGAATAAACGGGCTCAACTCATGGGCTAGCAGATCAGAGAAATGACTGCAAAGGTCTCATTTAATGTTAATCTCTGTGAGCCTACAGTTGTGTGGGAGAGACTTCATTCCTCTGTAGGACACTGCTGTGGACTAGTCTGTGCATTTATAGAATATAAGGCTGAGACCAAATTGAAATTAGAAACAGAAAATGAGCTGAGGTTCACAATGAACAAGGACTAAGTAGTTTATGTCAGAACTTTTCTAGGAAATGCTTGGCTGAGTATCATGACACGGTGGCCCCTAGTGAAACCCTCTTAGATATGTGGAAACATATATAAAGACAAATTAACATCATGACTAAGAGTATCCCTTATCAGAAATGCTTGAGACCAGAAGTGTTTCAGATTTTGAATTATTTTAAATTTTGGAGTCTTTGCATTATACCTACTGTTGAGTATCCCAAATCTGGACATCTCAAATTCAATATGCTCCAGTGAGCATTTCCTTTGAGCACCATGTCTGTCCTCAAAAAGTTTCAGCTTTTGGATTTGGGATGCTCAACCTATACTACTTTTGAAGTTATATTGTCTGTTCAGATGCTGACTTGTCATCTCTCTAGCTGCCTGGCTGGTACCCAGGAATACCTATCCCACCTATGTTATAGGGTTTGAGGTTTCTTGAAATGTACCGGGCATGTTTTAAAATCAAGGCTGGTAAGAAGACAGACACAGAGACGACTGCCTTGAAAGATGAGTTTATTCCTTACAGTTCCCAAGAGGAGGGGCACACCGTGCCATGCTGGACCACATGGGGAGGCACCAGGGTTGGTCAGGAGGCAGAAGGAGTGAGAGGAAGGCCTAGCACATGGTCTTTATTGTGATTTCCATGGGAATAAATAGGGGAGGCAAGGTAGGCAAACTTCAGCAAGCTTAGGATTGTAAAGTTTGAATATTTCTGGCAGGCTCTGTGTTACGGCAGTGGGGGTGGTTCTAGTGGTTCTGTACCTGGCCCTGGGGTGATCTAGGGCAAGGGCAATATTGATTTGGTGTGTGAGCATTAGATAAAAGAAATGTGTGGGGTATGGGTTTTGGATGGATTGGTTTTCTCATAAAGGGCAGGCTCACAGGCAAGTTTTTTATCATCTCTAGGAATTAGCTAGCCCTAGGAGGGACAGTCTTTCCAGAATTAGCAAGACCTAGGATATCAAAGCATCATAAAATACAGAACATAAAAACCATAATTAATATAAGGGACAATTAATGACATAATGCATGCAACATTTCACCAAATTACTTGGCACACTGGAAAATTTAATAATCATGAATTATCGTTATGTAGCCAAACTCCCATTTTCACATGATAACGATTTGTGACATAAAAAAAGATGGGAGTGAAAGGTTATAAATGCCCTATGTACAAACTAGAGATTCTACTCAGACCTACAGAAGTCTCGTTTATGACAATTTGTAACAGAAAATGCAAAGTTGTATCCCGATTACAGGGCTGTAATGATCACAAGAGAGACCACTGGCTAGCCAGAGAAAAGTAATTATGAACAAGCTTGAGAATAGGAATCCTTGCCAGAGGGAACTTTCTCAGGTAGGAGAAAGAGCTGCAAAGAAGGCAAAGAGTTGTAAAGAACCCTAGGGATTTCCAGGTCAGTATTCAGGTGACTCTAGCAACTTGAAACTGACAGGTAGTATCTGCAACCTGGAGAAGATAGAATGCCCCAGAGAAGCTACATGAAACGTAAGGCGACCCACCTGGGAAAAACACCTGTAAAAAGTCTAATCACATTATTGCATTTCAAACTGGCTTAAGTAAGACTGTAGGCCTATAATATTCCTATGTATATGTGGACTGTGTCTGGTGATGGAACGTAGCTCGTGACACTGAAGAGATGCATCCTGTAAGAAGCAGCTGAACAATGGTGCACACAACTCAGGAACCCACAATTACGGAGAAAGACAAAGGGGAGGTGGGCCTTGTTGGGCAGCAACTTCTGTTCAGAACCTAAACTGAGCTGCCTGCTGAGTACTGCTGCTGCTTTGGGTATGGATGGATACTTCCAACCAGTATCCTGGGCTGTGAAAACTCTCTTGCTTGTGGCAGGACATTATCTGCCTTATAGTCTTTGACGGATCAGTCTCACACAGAGGGTGATAACCAAGACTAACAGTCAAAGAAAGAAACCAATTTAAAAATGACAAAAAATGTAACACGATTTTTACTTATTCATTTATGAATTTATTTACTAATTCTGTAAATATGTATGACACACCTATTTTATGTTGGACACTGTTCTAGGGACTGAAGATGCAGTCATTAATGAGATCAGCTTTATTACATGCTTTTCTGCACGGGTGTGTAAGCAGTGTTGAAGGAGGGGGAAAAAGACCATAAAAAGTAAACAGATGCAAATATTTAGATTGTGCTACAAGCTATACATTAAGAAAAGGTGTGATGATGTTGGAAGAGCGAAAAATCAAATAGCCAGGGGAAGCCTCTCTGAAGAGGGAGCATTTGACCTGAGTCCTGACTGATCGGCTGAGTGAAGGTTGGAGCTGAGCAAACAAACACCATAGAGGCATATGGCAGAGGTAGCCCGCTAGCCCCAGCAGCAGATGAAGGTGCAGCCGCGCTGGGCCTTGAAGGTCACAGTAACTGTTTTGGAATTGGCTCTAAGGGCAGTGCGATAACGTTGGAGACATTGCAGTGGAAAAGAGACGGGTTGTGATTGAAAAGTTTTGCACATCACTTTGACCGCTGTGTAGAGGACTAGATTGCAGGGGTACAGAGTAGAAGCAGAGGGCAAGACAGGAGCAGCAGAGGCCAGAAACGATGGCAATGAAGACAGAGAATGATGGAGAGGTGAGGGGTGCATTCCTGAAGAATAGTAGTTAGGACTTCCTGAGATTGGGGATTGAGAAAAAGAGAGCGATTGAGGAAGATTTGGGTAACTAGCTGCATTTTACAACTACCTGTAATGAGGATGATGCCAGAAGGAATGGGTTTAAGGAGGCAGGAATTGAAGAATGAATAAAGAGTTCTGATTAAGTTGTGAAGCTATCACCTCTATGAGACAGTCAAATGGAGACATCAGGACGACAGTGGGAGAAAGATTTGAAGCTTAGCATGGAGGACTGAGGGTGATGCTACTGTCTCATTGAAAGCTTGCTTTCCTAATTATCATAAAAAATAGTGGTAAAGCTCTGCTGTGTGCATTTTTGGAAGGGGGCATATTATCCATGGAACCCTCAATCTGGATCTAGAGGCTCCTCTGCCTTTGTTCATAATTTGGAAATAGGTGCCTTCAGCCAACCCCGTGAGATGTAACCTATTTCACTCCATTTAGTTGTCTCTTAATATATCTCCTCTACTTGGTCACAACTCATCTTTTGAGAGTAGTCTCTAACATTGTTTGGAGATGAGGCCATGAAGTTATCACTGTTTTTAAGAAAACAGGAAAACGCTGCTCACTGACCCTCAATGTGAGTCGAAGGACCTGGGTTTAAGACCTCGGCCTGTTTTGACTTCCCTGCTGTGATCACCTGCTGTGATCTAGGTGGACTGTGTGCCTGCGCTCTAGAGTGCAGCAGGGAAGACTGGAGCAAACACAGGGCAGTCGGGCGTCAGTCCAAGCCCCACCTCTGCAGCTCACTCTGTGGGACTTTACACAAGCTCCTTACATTCACTCATCTTACAGCTGCCACCTCTGTAAATGGAGACCACCGTAGCAATGAATCTGTAGAGTACTTGTGAGTGTATGTCTCAGTCAGCTCAGGCTGCCATAACAAAATACTGCAGACTAGGTGGCCTCACAGGAATCGGTTTTCTCACAGTGGCACAGCCTGCAAGTCTGAGATCAGGGTGCCAGCGTGAACATGCTCCGACGAGGGCTCTCTTTCTGGCTTGAGACAGCTACCTTCTCGCTCTGTGCTCACGTGGGGAAGAAAACTCTCTCTGTTCTTAGAAGGCCACCAATTCTAAGGGATTAGGGCCCCATCCTTCTGACCCCTTTAACTTTAATCACCTCCTAAAAGCCCTATCTCTAAGTAGAGTCACATTGGTGCTCAGAATTTCAACATACGAATTTTGGGGGCCATGATTCAGCCGACATCAGTGTTAAGTGAAATACTGCATGTAAAATAATTGGCATCATGCCTGGCACTCCCTAAGTCCATAATAAATGCTAGTTATTACTGCCTACAGAAAGAGGCCTAATTCCCCATTGTCACAAGTTTCTTCTCTGAAGTATCTCTGTGGGCAGATAAGCTGTACAGAGCAAGACACAAAAATTCCCAAGGCGTCCAAAGGCTTTTTTTCTGTGTGTGTATATAATAAAAGAAACAGGACAGGTTTTTCTCTGAGTTTGAAGAAGAGGCCACTTTAGAATTAGAAGTTGCCTAAAAATGAAAAGGCTTCTGTGGTTATTAATAAGCTTTTATTTTGCCCTGGAGGGGCTGTCCAGATGAGGATGGCTACTGGGGAATCTGGGATCACACAGAAATATCTGCATTTATCTAATAAAATTTGTATTCAGTTATAAAAGCAATTTCAAACTGTTATTCATAAATAAGGAAGACTTACAGCTTGTGTTTATCTGAGAGAAGATTGTACCCAGCTGTTCCATGTGTATATTAGGGAGAAATATAAAGTGAGAAGCCTGGGTTTGATGCGTATTTGTATGACAGAAACCAACCTAAGTCAGTGTGGACCCAGTGGAGTGGAGTGGCCGAGAAGACATGGTGGCTTAGCTTGAAGAAGGTGGCTCTCTGGGGCCCTCTGGTCATGGAGCTTTAGTGAACTCAAAATGTGTTGTGGTGAACAGAGTGGTAAGAATTGACTGGGGCTTCCGTTTTTAGGCTAAGAAAGTCACCAGAAAGGGAATTACATACCACAGAACACAACACTTTGGATGAGACACAAGTACTGTCCTCTAAAAAACCCAAACCAATCCCTATATGATAGCTGCTTGCACAATTAATGCAGGAAATCCATGTGGAACCTCGCTTCTCATTCTTGTTTGCACACTTCCAAAACTTATGCAAATACACATTCATTGGTTTTCCTAGTCAGCTGCTAACCTAAGGGCAGAATTCAGGACCCTTAAATCCCAACCTGCTTCTCTTTTCTATCACAGACCACATCACATCCTTTTCAACCTAGAATGCATCTGCCTGGACTGATGGAAGGAACCAACATTGTGCGTGAATTAAAATGCCTGGCTTCCAATCCCAGCTCTGCTACTTCCAAGCAGGGCGATCCTCTGAGTTTGTGTACCCTCCTCTGTGAGCGGCGTGCATGAGAGCTTCCTCACAGGATGGCTGTGAGCGCGGTGATGCATGGGAAAGTGCCCTTCCCAGAGCCTGGCACGATGGCAGCTCTCCATGATGGGGGATAGTCAATTCCTTTTTTCCATCCTTAATGCCAGAATGATGAAGTAGGCAAAACCAAAGCAAACAAAACAACAAAAATAACCAAGAAGACAAACAAAAGTAACATGACAACAAAAAAACTTTAAAATAAACAAGCCAACCTAAGGCATGTAAGATTTACACTGTAAAAAGTTATCTATGAGGTTCCCCAAGGCTTAGAGAGTGATCTATTGAGAACTTTAGAATCTAAGGAGTATAACATCAGCCCCTAGCCTACTCTTTTTCCTTCCAAGTTTCTGTGTGTATTGCATGCATGTAACTTCTCTGTCTCTCATTAGAATTGCAAGGTCCCCGAGAACAGAGTTTTTATTTTGCTCATCCCTGATTCCTCTGCTACAGACCAGGGCCCAGTACAGAGTAAGTACTCACCAAATATTTGCTGCACGAGAGAACTGATGTCCACTCTCCACAGTCTGCAGAAACTCCGTGAAGCTGTCAGCCAAAGATCCAATGCCATTCCCACTAAGGAACTCTCTTAGTATCCTTCTCCTTCCCTCCCTGGACCCCAAAGCCTCAACTGTGGGGAAGCATGGGCATCAACTACATTAAAGCATTTCATTCTAGAAAGGCTGGAGACCCCTATAAAGGGACCGATTTCCGCAAGCCATACGATAAAATCAGCCTCATTGCTTTATAGTCACACCTCATATAGTTCTATAAATCCAATAACAAAAACCATTATATTGAGACCTACAAGCCATAAAATGTGTTTTTTAAATGTTCAGTACCATTATTACAGTCTTACCCCTCCCTGGTCTCACTATAGTATCTAACAGAATGACCATGACAGGTGGAAAATGGATCCTTCCTCCCCAGAGAACCCAGAGTGTGGAGGAGAGAATGCCGCTGGAGGTAGGTTTGCCAGGCTCTAAATCTGGACCTGCCCCCTGAGAGCTGGGGGTCCCCAGCAATGGACCAAGCTTCTCTGAGCCCAGGATTCCTCCTTGGTTGCATGGGAAAAACAACATTTTTTTATTTAAAGAACGAGCAAAATGTATGTAAGGTGGCTTGCAGAGAGCTTGGCATATAGGTGGTACTCCATGACTGGCTGCTCCTTACGGGGCTGTACCCACTTCCTGCTAAAATGAATCTGATTTTCTGGGTCTTAGAGAGGAGCTAGAACTTGTGTTTTGTATAACATGTCAGTTACTTGAAATCATATCTCTCTTGCCAAACTTTTTTTATATTGTTCATTTATTTTGTTAACTAATTCACTACTTCATTCAAACATTCTTTCTTGGGTTTTTTGTTTGTTTTTTTGTTTGTTTTGTTTTTTGTTTGTTTTGGTGGGAGGACCAATGTTCATTGACCATCTAGGCATTTTGCTTGGCCTGGAAATCCAAAGAACATGGTGTGTTACCTGCCCTCAAGGAGTTTATAGTCTAGTAGAAGAAATAAATCAGGTGTCATAGTATGGTATGAGAAGATTAAAAATATGTACAGCATGCTACAGGATCTCAAAATGAGGCCATTAAAATTAGATCGGGTTCTTGGAAAGCTGCTCAAAGGAAAAGACCCCTCAAAGGAAAAGTTCACTTTTAAGTGAACTTTTTTAAAGACTCAAAGGAAAAGTTCACTTTTAAGGACTGGGTATGACTGACTGCCATGTGGCTTCTGATTTTGGCAGATGAGTGAACAGCGTTGCCAGTCCCAGAGACATAGTAAGAATAGTTGATACTGAGTAGAGGGCAGGGCGTTAAACATTGAACTTGAGGGGCTGGTGAAACATCCAAGTAAAACTACGCTGTTGGCATTTGGATATTTCGGTGTTGAGCCTGAGCAAGAGACAATGTTTACAGTCATAGATTTTGGAATCATCTTTGCATACATGGGAGCTGAAGCCCTGGGTACTAATGAAGTCACTGAGCAAGAGCAGGAGTGAGAAGAAATGTGGCATTAAGTGTGAATTCTGAGCAACGCAAACACATGGGGTAAGATGAAAAAGGGCTCATGAGGAAGCCTGAGGAATGGCCAAAAAAATAGAAGGAAACTCAGGATCGGTGCCCACACAGAAATCAGGGAGGAGACCTTTAAGAAGAAAAGAGTGGCTAGCGGCATCCACTACGAGAGACTTCAGGCTAGCAGAGGATGGACAACCATGCTTTTGATCTGCCACAGTGGAGGGCACTGATGAATTTTGCAGAAGGTGTTTTGCTGCTGAGGCAGCAGAAGTGAGGCAGTGGTGAGCTGAGGAATGAGTGGAACCCCAGGTGTGGAGAAAACAAATGCGGTCCAGGGTGTCGAGCTTAGCTGTGAAAACATGCTGGACGGAGATGGGGATCTGGGGGAGGTTGGCACGGTTTTGTCTTATTTCATCTTCAGCATGAGAGTCCTGAATATTTTTTTAATGTGTCTGAAGGTGAAGAGCTCCTTCAAGGTGTTGTACAGCTGCCTGTGTTCATCACAGCATTTCGTACACTGTTGATGATTAATAAACATATACAGGATGAATTGTTTCAGGTCAAAACACTTCCCTCTCTGGACCCATTCAGATGCAGACCAACCAACCAATATTTAAAAAATAGTGACAGTTGTCATTGTCATCATCATCATCATCCTACCAGCAGCCCAGACACTAGAACATACACCTGACAGATGCTATCTAATGTAATCCTGTTAACACCTCTATAAGGAAGGTATTATTTGATAAAGCAATATATAGAGAAGAAAGATTACTCCTAGTCATTTCTAGAAGTGCAAGGTAGAAAATGCTGAATCTGGCTGGGCGCGGTGGCTCATGCCTGTAATCCCAGCACTTTGGGAGGTTGAGGCAGGCGGATCATGAGGTCAGGAGTTCGAGACCATCCTGACCAACATGGTGAAACCCCACCTCAACTAAAAATACAAAAATTAGCAGGGAATGGTGGTGTGTGCCTGTAATCCCAGCTGCTCAGGAGGCCAAGGCAGGAGAATCGCTTGAACCCGGGGAGGCAGAGGTTGCAGTGAGCCGAGATCGCACCATTGCACTCCAGCCTGGATGACAGAGCAAGACACCATCTCAAAAACAAAACAAAGAAAATGCTGAACCTTTTCCTATTTCCCTCAACATTCATTGCTGTATTACCAGCACCCAGAATAATTCCTGGCATATAGTAGGTTTCCAATCAATATTTATTCAATTAATAATAAAAATAATTATGTATCTCTAACCCATACCCTCCAGTCTCACAGATATCATAGCTATTCAAGATTCATGTGCCAAATATTAAATAATCAAAGATATTTGTCCACATTTGGACACTGGATTTTATCAGTGGCAAATTAGCTAAAGGTGGAGAACAAGAATTAGAGTGATTCAGTTTGTTTTGTGCCCATACACTACTGATGTTGGAACACACTATTTACATGGCAAGAAGTTAATCACGGTGGAAAAGCAGGTAGCCGTACCACGTGGCTAACAAGCAATGAAGATCAGCTTCAGGTATTAGGATTCTAATCAATAAAACAGAGCCAGATTCATCAGAAACATTGCTTGTGATTTACATAATTATTGTGATATATTGTAACTCAGCTTAGAGAGCAAGCTTCTCATAACGTATGTTTACATGATAGTGCCCCGCCTTTATTCACAGACACACTCTCAGGGTCTCTCATATGCTCTTGTGTTCTGGGCATGCTTGACACAGCATTTTTATTGTAGGTTTTGACCAAAACCTCAAACATTTTGGTAGAAACCCACAATAAATTGGGTTTTGACCAAATTGGATTGGACAGTTTCTAAAATTCTGCTGGGCTGTATGCATCCTCACCACCACCACACTTATGTTAGACAACAGTATCTTGGATCTGTCTCTGACTAGCCTCTTTTCGTCCACTAATGCCCCATACCCACTCCTTAACCCAGCACTGACATTGTATTCTGTATTCGACCCTAAAAGCTTTCTTCTCCTCCCAGCAACTCTAGTTTCCTGTCTTGGCTGGATGGAATCAGTTTTACAAAGATAGAGTCAGGGAAAAATAAAACAAGGCCAGGCATGGTGGCTCACAGCTATAATCCCAGCACTTTGGGAGGCCAAGGTGGGAGGGTTGCTTGAAGCCAAGAGTTCAAGGCCAGCCTGGGCAACATAGCAAGATCCTATCTCTACGAAAATTTTAAAAAACAGGCAGATGTGCTGCCTCATGCCTCTAGTCCAAGATACTTAACAGGCTGAGGTGGGAGGATCACTTGAGTCCAGGAGTTTGAGGCTGCAGTGAGCTATGATCATGCCACTGTATTCCAGTCTGGGCAACAAAGCAAGACCTTGTCTCAAACCAAAACCAAAACCAAAACAAAACAGTCCCTCTGGGTCATGAGGCTCAAAATTTCCCATGATGGCAGGAAATGCAGTTCAGAAGACTGGGAAGGAAGGAGACGGAGAATCCATTGCTCATCCTCCTTCCTTCCACCTCCAGGCATTAGAAAGTCTCCAGAAAATGGGTGTGAAGAAAATGGCAAAGAGGAAGCAAAAGAAAAGGAAAGAAAGGGGCAGGGGCATAACACGGGAGAGAAGCAGGATGGGGTCTGACTGTCTCACATAATCAGAGTTCTCCAGGGAAACACAACCAAGGGGAGATTTTACAGAGATGGATCCCAAGACAGAGGTAGAGATAAATAAATGTATATACTTAAATATATATTTATTTATAAATAAACAAACACACATACATATATATTGTGTGTACAGGCACACCTTGTTTTATTGTGCTTTGCTTCATTGTGTTTTGCAGATACTGGGTATTTTACAAATTGAAGGTTTGTGGCAACCCTGCATCAAGCAAGTCTATCGGCACCATTTTTTCCAGCAACATGTACTCACTCTGTCTCTGTGCCACATTTTGGTAACTATTGCAATATTTCAAACTTTCTCATTATATCTAGTAGTGATCAGTAATCTTTGATGTTACTATTTTAATTGTTTTGGGGCAGCACGAGCTATGCTCATGTAAGACAGGAAACTTAATCGATAAATGTGTGTGTTCTGACTGCTCTACCAACCAACCATTCTCCAGTCTCTCTCCTTCTCCTCAGGCCTCCCTGTTCCCTGAGACACAAAAATATTTAAATTAGGCCAATTAATAACCCTACAAA
Source organism: Homo sapiens (assembly GCF_000001405.40). Taxonomy (NCBI): domain Eukaryota; kingdom Metazoa; phylum Chordata; class Mammalia; order Primates; family Hominidae; genus Homo; species Homo sapiens. The sequence goes on from NC_000011.10 coordinate 132,957,951, forward strand.
GGCCTCTAAGTGTTCAAATGAAAGGAAGAGTTGCACATTCCTCGCTTCAAATAAAACTCTGGAAATGATTAAGCTTAATGAAGAAGACAGGTTGAAAGCCAAGATAGGCTGAAAACTAAATCTCTTGCACCAAAGAGTTAGTCAAGTTAGGAATGCAAAGGAAAATTCCTGAAGGAAATTAAAAGTGCCACTCCAGTGAACACACAAATGATAAGAAAGCAAAACAGTCTTGTTGCTGACACAGAGAAGGTTTTGGTGGTCTTGATAGAAAGTCAAACCAGCCACAACATTCTATTAAGCCAAAGCCTAATCCAGAGCGAGGTTGTAACTCTCTTCAATTCTATGAAGGCTGAGACAGGTAAGGAAGCTGCAGAAGAAATGTTTGAAGCTAGCAGAGGTTAGTTGATGAGGTTTAAGGAAAGAAACCATTTTTATAACATAGAAGTACAAGATGAAGCAGCAGGTGCTTATGTAGAAGCTGCAGCAAGTAATCCAGAAGATTTAGCTAAGATCATTGATGAAGGTGGCTACACTCAACAGCAGATCTTCAGTGTAGCTGAAGCAACCCTGTGTTGGAAGAAGGTGCCATCTGGGACTTTCATAGCTACAGAGGGGAAGTCAATGTCTGGCTTCAAAGCTTAAGGACAGGCTGACTCTCCGGTTAGGAGCTAATACAGCTGTTGACTTTAAGTGAAAACCAATACTCATTTATCATTCTGAAAATCCTAGGGCCCTTAAGAATCATGCCAAATCTACTCTTCCTGTGCTCCATAAATGGAACAACAGAGCCTGGATGACAGCATAACTGTTTACAGCAGGGTTTACTGAATATTTTAAGCTCACTATTAAGACCTACTTCTCAGGAAAAAAAGATACCTTTCCAAATATCACTGCCCATTGACAATTCACCTAGTTACCCAAAAGCTCCAATGAAGATATACAGAGAGATGAATGTTGTTTTCATGCCTGCTAACACAACCTCCGTTCCGTAGCCCATGAATCAAAAACAAATTTCAACTTTCAAATTTTATTATTCAAGAGATACATTTGTAAGGCTATGGCTGCCATAAATAGTGATTCTTCTGATGGATCTGGCCAAAGTAAACCAAAAACCTTCTGGAAAAGATTCACCATGCTAAATGCCATTAAGAACACTTGTGATTCATGGAAGGAGGTCAAAGTATCCACATTAACAGGAGCTTAGAAGACGTTGATTCCAAGCCTCATGGATGACTTTGAGGGGTTCAAGATTTCAGTGGAGGAAGTAACTGCAGATGTGGTGGAAATAGCAAGAGAACTAGAACTACAAGTGGAGACTAAAGATGTGACAGTCTCACAATAAACTTGAATGGATGAGGAGCTGCTTCTCTTGGATGAGCAAAGGAAGTGGTTTCTTGAGATGGAAACTACCCTCGGTGAAGATGCTGTGAACATTGTTGAAATGACAACAAGGGAGTCAGAATATCCCATGAACTTAGCTGATAAAGCAGCGGCGGGATTTGAGAGGACTGTCTCCAATTATGAAAGAAGTTCTACTGTGGGTAAAATGCTATCAAACAGCATCGCTTGCTACAGAGCAATCTTTCGGGAAGGGAAGAGTGGGGCACAGTGCAAGGGATTAGATGGCACAGAGAGTGGAAAAGAAAGTGGAATGCAGAGAGGCCAAAAATAGCTCTGTAAGCATCCTAGTGGTTCACAGCGTTTCCATTTACCTACATTGACTTCGGGAAAATATCAGGATCTACACACAATACAATACTACTATACACAGGCTCAGATTTAGAAGTGGCACCTTAAATCTGGAAGGCAGAAAGGAAATTGGAAAGAGAGAATACTTCAGGACACACCCTGCTAACATAGCAGCCTGAGGAGGAAAACAACCCAAATCTGTCTCATCTCACACATAGTAATCTCAATTGTTCTTTCAAAATGAAACTGGGTGATTGCCTGTATTATGTTCCAAAATGGAACACCGTCCAAAACACTCACTGTTACGGGGCAAAACTCCAACCTTCCATTAAGAAACGGAATCTGGGAAACATGTTTGGCTCTAAAATTGAGCTTAAACAGGCTGCTTGAACCTCTTGACCTTGACCACAAAGATTGAACTAGGAGGTTTAAAACACCAGAGACAGAATTTAAAATTTACTACTCCTACTACTGCCACCGTTAATAACAATAGTAAACAATGTACTGCGTGCACGCAGCATATCCAGTTCTAAGGTAAGTGACTTACGTGCATAATCTCATTTAGCCGGCCCAATAACCGTAACTTTACGTGTAGAAAACTGAGGCCCAAGATAAGATTAGAATATCAAGAGTCAAGATGTCCCTCGAAAGCCCCAGTCCTTCCCTTCTTACCACGGTCACATGGGAAGTTTGCTGTGCTTAGTACAGAGAGAATCCCGTTCTGAACAAACTGGGAATCCCACGTGTGTAAAAAGCACAACTGTTGTGGTGGAAGCAGGAGGTTGGGGCGAGGCCAGGAGCGGGGACTGCGGATGGTGGAGGTCAACAGGGGAACAGAAACCGGAGGCAAGGCAGGATCCCTGCAAAAGCACAGGCTGCTTCAGTGGAGAGTAAAGCAGGGCTGCGAAATAAAGCTGCCTCTTCTGCTCTATTTTCCACCATCTCCCTCCCCCTCTCCATCTGTCTGTCTTCCCTTTTCTCTCTCCCTCTGTCTCTTCTCCCTTTGCAAATCTTCAGCTGCTAATTTCCATCCGACACGTTTATGAATTAATTCCAACACTTTTCTCTCTCTGTCAAGATATCCTGCTTTCGAATCTCCCCCACCCTTTGGCAATGTGCGCATTTCATTCCACACACTGTTTTACCGACAATTCCCAGACGTGGTGATTTGGTCTGACATCTTTGTGTATGCAATCAACCCATGTTACTGGGGCCCCGAAGAGAATACTGGAGACTGGGTCTGCAGCTGGACAACCTTGTAACTGGGGTGAGGCTGCAGTGATGCTGAGGACACAGCGGGGCTGAGGGGAGAAGCAGCAGGTGCGGCGATGAACAACACCCTGCCCCTTCCTGCTGAATCTAGCAGCCTCCATCTAGAGCAAAGCTGCCGGATTCCGAAAAAGGGCATGAGTGACTTTCTTCTTCAAGTAGCAAGGGTCTGTCAGAAATAACCCTCGGCATCCTCATCGTAATTAACGGAAAACTAATAAATAGTGCTGGGCAGGGAGTCCCAAAAATAGTTTTCCTGGAGATATAGACACTGACACAGACATGTGAGCAGCACCCTGAGCTGAGCTGCATCCCAGTGTCTTTTCAGCTTTGAAACACGATGTTTCTAAGCACATTGATGCCGTAGAAGAATGGATTCTAAGATTTCTACGTCTTAAATTTTAAAAAAAAGTACATTTTAAGGATAAGCAGCACAAAGATATATGTAGCTCTAAAGAGCCCAAGATATAAACAAATAGTGTATAGAGTGTCTGACATGGCCGTTCTGGTTCCATATTTGATAGATAGCTTCAATGATGGGGAGGATGATGGACACATTTAAGGTGGAAGAGTCAAGCGATGCTATTCGTAGATGTAGCAAGGAGAAGAAAAGTCAGTGCCGAGCACACTGATGTGAGATGTAATTCTATTACCTAAATATGTGTGAAGAATGGTAAATATAAATAGGCCCACAGGGCCGGGCTAAGCAACTGAAAAAATCATGGTTTCAGACTTTGCAGAAGTTAGGTCAGCTCTGTGGCCTTTGGTTTCCTCATCTGTACGATGAGCCCCTTTGACTGATGATTTGCAAAGCCTCTTTCAGATGTTAATAGCCTACAGATCCCTGGCCATTGCTGGACCACTGGCCTTTCTAGGAAAATATTGACATTTCCATCTCTCTCTGCATTAGCTCCTGTTGCTTCTGCCATATGAAAGGTCTTCCTCTGCCAGCCAAATTACAAGTCTTGCCTCTAAGGTCAGGCTCAGAAATTACCTTCCCTGGGCAGTCTTCCAGTTTCCTCTGCAAAAGCACTCCCTCTGTCTTCTGGATGCCCTCAGAATTCTATCCTCCGTACTGTAATCTTGTTACAATACATTTGACCTAGTTGAGTCCAGGACACTTTCTCTTTGCTACTGCACTGAGGTCTTTCTTTATTCTCAGTACCAAGCACAATGCTTGGCAAAGAGGCCGTGCTCAGTGCATGTTTGCTAAATGAATGAGTGTGACACTTTTCCGTAGGAGGTCCATTTTCATCCTGGCGTTTGTTTTAACTGGATGCTTGTAACACTGTACAACAGAGGGCCAAGGAGGCTTCTTGATGAATCATCTCAGGAAGAAAACTGAGCAAGGGGAAAGCACAGCACAGAAACCAGCCCAATTATCTCAGCCAATCCCGGCCCGGGCTCTCTCTGCCTGCTCACCCTCCCCCATCATGATGAAGACAGCATCTGCAGACCAAGAGTGTGCCTGGGAACTCACATTCGTTTGCAATTAGCAAGCTCCCACATGGTAAACAGACTAATTTTGCCTGTGCATCATCAGTTTGCCTAGTCAGTGATTTCTACTCAGAGCTTGAGGAAAAGATTTTTAAGTCTAGACTGTCGCGTGAGAGAACAGAAATTGTGGACCAAAGGAAAACCCTGCTATTATTCTCATATTTGTCACAGAGGGGGCACCCAGTTAAAGACATGTCATTTATTTCTTCAAACACACTCCCCGAATGGACAAGTCTGTGTTTAAAACCATGTTTCCCACCGACCCCAGCCTTGGCTCTACTCTGTACCATCCCCACCTTGGAGCCCTCCTCTGGGAAAGAAGGCTGTGACAAAGGTTGTGGGAGGCACTATTTTGATCCATTCACGGGCAGGCACTTCACCGCATTTGGGTTTTCAGTCTTTGCTGTTTTTCGTACAATATTTACTTTACACCAGGAGCTCTCCAACTTAGCTTTTTGCTTCAGCATCTCCAACCTCAGAAGCACTTCATCCCCACCAGCCTGCCTTCCCCCAGTAGATAAGAAGACAAAACAGAGACTGTTTTCTCTGCCAGACAGAGCAGGAGGCCTGCTTGACACGCATAGAGGAATCTCTGAATGGGGACCTGCAGCCGTGAAGCCTGACGTGACCACCCCTGGGCTCCAACACGGGAAACTGGCATGTCATTATCCACCCCACCACTAGAACCCCAGATGCTTGCAGGGTGGGCTTCAGGTTACTTGAAAATCACCGTGTCATAGACTTTAGGACCTGGAAAGGGCCTCCGATATCATTTTTGTAATGTGTGTTAACGCTAACATCTCCCATGTGCAATTCCCAACTCATGGCCCTCAGGTTCTGCTTGAAGATTTCCTTGAACACAACAATCACTACACCACAAATTGTCTTCAAATACTGACAGGTGGGCTGGGCACGGTGGCTCACGCCTGTAATCCCAGCACTTTGGGAGTTCGAGGTGGGCGGATCACGAGGTCAGGAGTCTAAGACCAGCCTGGCCAATATGGTGAAACCCCGTCTCGACTAAAAAATACAAAAAATTAGCCAGGTGTGGTGGAGCACTCCTGTAATCCCAGCTACTCAGGAGGCTGAGGCAGGAGAATCGCTTGAACCCAGGAGGCGGAGGTTGCAGTGAGCCAAGATCGTGCCACTGCACTCCAGCCTAGTGACAGAGCAAGACTGGGTCTCAAAAAAAAAAAAAAAAACTGTGGCTCTTGCGGTGAGAATGTCCTTCCTGCTTCCACTTCCTTCACCATTCTTATATAGAGGAAGAGAAAAGTGAGGGAGCAGAGAATGCCAGGGTCTAGGTTGTCAGCAAATATTAGCTCTTCTTCCTATCCGTATTACGATATTATTATTATTATTATTAATTGTTGCTGGTCTTACTTTTTTTTATTATTATTCTACATTCGAACATTGTCTCTGTCCTCATTCTACCTATATCCTAGCTGCACGTTAGGGTCGGGCACCTAAGATTTCAGGGCCACCAGCTGCATCTTGAACCCTTCTGTAGTTACACACTTGGAATTGAATTTACTCACTTCCTCATTCGATATCAGTTCAGGTGAGTGAATGTATACGGCAGGTCAGGCTTGTGCCCACTCTGCAAGCAGCCATTGTGTGCAGGAGGGAAGCCTCTGGAGGCTGGCAGAGAAATCCTTCTGTGCTGAACCCAGAGGGCAAGACACACCTAATGGTGCTGTTGAGAGGAAAGTCACAGTCCAGGAAACACCTGAAGGTGCAGAGGGAATGACAAAGGAAATGAGAGAAGAAGGATATATAAGTAAAAGAGAAGAATCGTTTCAGTGCAGTGTCTGAATCGTGTTGACTACAAAAACACATGGGAATATTATTTGAAGCAGAAGAGAGAATCTCCAGTTACAAGCCTGGTGTGCAGTCTTCATGATACTGCTTTTCACAGCAGATGTTGTTATGTAACAGATGTTAGCATGACATTATGGTAAGAGTTTGGACTTTGCGATCAATCCTTCAGATGTGGGTTCAAATCCTGATTCCACCCCTGAGTAACTATAAGAACTGAAGACATATGCCATAACCTGTGTGAGCCTTAGTTTTCTCACCTGAAAAATGAGGATGATAACAGCCCTACTTGGCTAGGAAGTGATTGCATGAGAGAGTACATAAAATGTCTAGAAACGTTTGTTAAGAAAGCCATTTGTTCCTTCTCAACCTACAAACCTGCTCACCAGTCCTCCCTGTTACATCCTACCGCTTCCTCCTGCCCAGTCGCTACCATGCAAGGCTCTGCCAAACGTCCACTCCTCCGTGACCTTACAGTTGGCACCAGGGTCCTCTGATCCCCTCAGCAGGCACATGTGGATGACACATTTTGACATGGAATAGTGGGTAATACTACTACCTGCTATGTAGATTCTATCGTTCCTTTATGAAGGCCAGAGAGGAAGCTGTTATACGCCAATTTTGAAAATGGGAAAACTGAGGCTCAGAAAGTTTATGTGAGTTGCCCAGAGCCATCAAGCAGAGACTGGTGGATTCAGACCTAGGTCATTTACTTCAAATCTCTGCATTCCTTATATTGCAACACACTGTATTTTGCATCTTGTTTCCTCAGAGATGTTATTCTTATGTGTCTAATTAGACAGTTTGTGTCTTTGGAGATAGTAACCATTTTCTACACTTTTCTGTATCTCTCACTACATGGGTGACACAGAGTAGGAAAATAATTAGATAAGCAGAGTTCAGATCTTCACCCTATCGCTTGTAAGCTGTGCAACCTAGGGAAGTTTATTCGTCCTCGCCAGCCTCATCTTCCTCATCTGGAAATAAGTACCGAAGTGTTCCCACTTCTTCCATTTCTCTCTCTCTCTCTTTTTTGGGGGGAGGAGGTGGAAAAGAGCTTGTAAAAATTAGTGTTAATTCTTCTTCAAATGTTTGATAGAAATCACCAGTGAAGCCATTTGGTCTTAGGCTGTTTTGTGTCGGGGGGAGATGTTTAAATTACTAATTAAACCTCTTGCCTATTTACAGTTTCTATTTCCTCTAGAGTCAATGTTAGTAGTTGTGAATTTCTGGGAATTTAGCTATTTCATCTAAGTTATCTAATTTATTGGCACATATTTTTGTCGTTGTTGTTGTTGTTTGTTGTTTTTTGTTTGTTTGTTTTCTTTTTGAGACAGTCTCGCTCTCTTGCCAGGCTGGAGTGCAGTGGTGTGATCTTGGCTCACTGCAATTTCTGCCTCCTGAGTTCAAGCGATTCTCCTGCCTCAGCCTCCTGAGTAGCTAGGACTCCATGCAAGGGCCACCACGCCCAGCTAATTTTTGTCTTTTTAGTAGAGAGGGGGTTTCACTATGTTGGCCAGGATGGTCTCCACCTCTGAACCTTGTGATGGATCTGCCTTGGCCTCCCAAAGTGCTGGGATTACAGGCATGAGCCATTGAGCCTAGCCAGCACACAACTGTTGATAGTGTTTTATTATTATTCTTATTTCTGTAAGGTCATTAATAATGTCCCTTCTTTTATTTCTAATTTTAGTAATTTGCATCTTTTCTTTCTTTTCATGTTCAGACTAGCCAAAGGTTTGTCAATTTTGTTGATATTTTCAAAGAATCAATTTGTAGTTTCATTTATTTTCTTTACTATTTTTATTATTTATTAATTTCCACCTATCTTTATTATTTTCTTTTTCTCCTTTAGCTTTAGTTTTCTATTTTTTTCCCATTTTTTGAGGTGGAAAGTTAGATTATTGATTTGAAAATTTTTCTCTTTTTAAATATAGGTGTTTGCACCTAAAAATGTATCTTTAAGCAATGCTTTAACTGTGTTTTGTATGTTTCGCTATGTTGTGTCTTTAGTTTCATACGTTTCAAAATATTTTCTAATTACCCTTGTGATTGTTTTTCTTTGATCATTGGTATTTGAGTGTGTTAATTTCCATTTTTTTAAATTTCTCAATTTTTTGTTATTTATTTCTATTTTAGGTTTAGTATAGTCAGATACTACACTGTATGATTTTGATCAAGTCATATACCATACTTTCCATTATTTCAATCATTTAAAGTTTATGAATTCCTGTTTTATGGCCAAGCATCTGCTGTATTCTGGAGAATGCTCCATATGTACTTGAAAATAATGTATATTCTGCTGTGGTTGAATGGAGTGCTTCATAGATGTCTTTTGGTTATAGTTGGTTCATAATGGTGTTCTTATCTTCTATTTCCCTGTATCATCTGCCTAGTTTCATATATATTATTAAGAATGAAGTACTAAAATCCTCAATTATTATTGTTGAATTGGTTATTTCCCTCTTCTTTTAAATCAATATTTGCTTGGTATATTTTGGGGCTCTGTGATTTGTTGTACTTATGTTTATAATTTTTGTATATTCCTGATGGATTGACCCTTTTATCATAGTAAAATGTCCTTCAATCTGCAGTAAATTTTGTTGTTTTAAAATATATTTTGTGAAATAGCCACTCCAGCTTTTTAATTCCTGTTTGCATGGAATATATATTTTTATTTTTTAAAGTTCAACCTATTTGTATCTAACATGTCTCCCATAGATAGTATGTAGTTGGATTTTATCATTTTTATCAAGTCTAACAATCTCTGCCTTTTGATTGTTTAATCTAGTCACATTTAATGTTACTAGTGATGTACTTAGATTTACTTTTTTGTTTACTACGTGTCACATGCCTTTTTTGTTCCTCTGTTTGTCGTTTGCTGCTTTCTTCATATTATATGCAACATTTTAATCTCTTTAATATTAATACTTTTTCACTCTATTTTATTGAGATATTTTATTAGTGATTGCTCTAGGACTTACTGTATATGTCTTAACTTATCAGAATCTACTTCAGATTTATACTTACTTAATGCCAGTGAGACATAGAAATATTATTTCTATATAGCTTTATGCCCTTTTCCCACATTTTGTTTCTTATACATATTACAACTGTATTGTTACAAACCAATAGTGCATTTTTATAAGCTACTATTTAATTAATTATATGACTTTTACAGAAGCTGAGAAAAGAAAGGAAAACAAGTATCTATTTATAGAGTTGATGGTATTAACCATCTTATTTGCCATTTCTTGTTTTCTTTATTTGACCCTGTGGAATCAAGTTACCATCTGGTGTTATTTCATTACTCTAATAAAAGTTGGCACCCACCCACCACTTTTACTGTTGTTATTGTCAGATAAATTACATTTCTATATATTATAAGCACAACAATACAATTATGTACACATTGCTTTCTACAATTGTTTTCTTAAATCAATTAAGAAAGAAGGAATAGGCATTTATACTGCCTTTTATAATCGCATAATTACTTTTATCAGTAATATTTGCTTTTTTGTATCAATTTAAATTACTCTCTAGAGTCCCTTTCTTTCAGCCTCAAGACTATGCTGCAGTATTTCTTGTAAGGTGGTCTGCAAGCAAGGTTTCTCACAGTTTTTGTTTACCTAGAAATGTCTTTATTTCACCTTCATTTTTTTTAAATTAAGGAATTAATGTCTTCAGAGCATGTTTAGGTTCACAACAAACTTGAAACGAAGGCACATATGAAGAGCTTCCCTCATCTGTTACAATTGCTGAACCTATACTGATACATTATTGTCACCTACAGTTTGTAATTTTCATTAGGGTTCACCTTTGGTGTTGTACATTCCGTGGATTTGACAAATATATATCGACACATTTATCTTGTACATATTTTGTTAGGTTTCTAGTTAAGTATTTTATTTTGGTGGGTGCTGATGTAAATAATATTGTGCTTTTAATTTCAAACTCCACTTGCTCATTACTGGTATATGGGAGAGTGGTTAAATTTAGCATGTTTACTCTCTTAGTCTGTTTTTCTGTTGCTATAATGAAATATTTAAAACTGGATAATTTATTTTTAGAAACAAAACATTTCTTACAGTTCTGGAGGCTGGAAAGTCCAAGGTTAAGAGCTACACTTAGTGAGAGCCTTCTTGCTGGTGGGGCCTCTGTGGAGTCCTGAGGTATGGCAGGGCATCCAATGGAAAGGGGCCTGAGCATGCTCGCTTGGATCTCTCTTCCTCCTTGAAATTCTCAGCTTCAAATCTTTTTTTTGTCTTTTTTCTTCCTCTTGTTATAAAGCTACCAGTACCACCCCTATGATAACCCATTAATCCATGAAGCCATGAATGAATTAGTCTATTCATGAGAGCAGAGCCATCATAACCCAATCACCTCTTAAAGTCCCCACCTCTCAATCCTGCCACATTGGCGATTACATTTCAGCATGAGTTTGGGAGAGGACAAATATTTTAAGCATATCATTAATCTTTTATCTTGCAATCTTGCTATGATTGCTTATTAGTTCCAGGAATTTTTTTGTTGTTGTTGATTCTTTCAGATTTTGTATATGGACTATCGTGTCATCAGCATATGGACTATCATGTCATCAGCAAACAGATTTACTTCCTCCTTCCCTATTAATATGCTTTTCTTCCCTTTTCTTGTCTTGGACTTCTAGTACAATGTTTAAAAGGAGTGGTGAGAGAGGACATCCTTGCCTTGTTTCTCATCTTAGTGGAAAAGCTTCTAGTTTTCACCTTCATTTTTTTAAATTCCTGGTTTTATTTTATTCTTTATTTCCATAGGTTTTTGGAAACAGGTGGTATCTGGTTACCATCACCAGAGCGCTATACACTCAACCAAATTGGTAGTCTTTTACCCCTCACCCCCCTCCCACCCTTCCCCCTGAGTCTCCAAAGTCCATTGTGTCATTCTTATGCCATTGCATTACCTTCATTTTTTAACGTTAGTTTTGCTTGGTAAACTATTTTTGATTGACTCTTTTAAAAATACCATTTTAAATATGTCATTCTACTGCCTTATAGTCTCCACCATTGTTTCTAACGAAATGTCCTCTGTTAATATTGTTGGAGAGTCCTTGTATGTGATAAGTTAGTTTTCTCTTGCTGCTTCCAACATTTTCTTTGTTTTTGTCTTTCAACCTTTTCCCTATGATGCTTATGGGTGTGGATGTTTTCACATTTATCCTGCTTGGAGTTTGTTAAGTTTATTAGATGTGTAGGTCAATTTTTCTATCAAGTTTTTGAAATTCTCAACTTTAAATATTTCTTCTTTCTCTCCTCTTGTTCTGGGACCCCCCCTGCAACTGTGTTTAAATTGTTGTACTTAGTGGTGTTCCATATGCCCTTGTGGCTCTGTTCACTTTTCTTCACACTTTTTTCTCTGTTTTTCTGATTGCGTACTTTCCATCAATACATATTTAAGTTCATTGATTCTTTTGCTAGTTGAAGTTTATTACTGAGCCCCTCTCATAATTTTTTTAAACTTAGGTTATATTTTTCAAATACAGAATTTACCATTTGCTTCTTTTGGGGCTCAATTACGTCTTATCAATATTCTCTAATTGATAAAGCATTGTCATGATACCTTTACATTATTTCATTAAGCATTATTCCCTTTAGTTTTTTAAATATATTTATTATGTCTGTTTGAAGTCTTTGTTAAATCTGACATCTGTGGCCTCTCACAGGCAGTTTCTGTTGCTGTATTTTTTTCTTCTGAAAAGTCACACTTTCCTGATTCTTTTCGTGTCTCATAATTTTTTGTTGAAATCTGAATATTTTATATAACACATTTCAGCAACTCCGGACACTGACCCTCCTGGCTCTCTTGTTTGCTTGTTTGTTTAGTGACTCATCCATCTCCCTCTTCATGGTTTCCAGGTCATGGTGCCCCCTCACCTTCTACCTTAGAGGAGCCAAGTGCATCGAGGCCCCTCCTCTTTCACATGCTTCATTATGTGTTTTCAAAATACATGTTTTTCACTTTTAAATTCATTTTACTGTTTGAAAATCCTCAAAGAATTATATAGGCACATACGAAATATTTTATTTATACTCAGAGAAGTTTTACCTCAAGTCTAATTACCCTTTTGGGAAGGGTGTGTTTGAATATGGAGAATCATACAAATAAAAATGCAAAGGAGAGAAATATTAGGACAAAAAAACCCCAGCTTTTCCTTAATTTAAAAGAAGATCAACCTATTATAACAGTTTTTGAGAACTCCAGAATCATATTTACTTGATTTTGCACATACCAGGCTGATCTCCTTTGGAATCTCAGTATTATCAGTGCCTACAGAGTATATTTAAAATTATTTATTGTGGCATTCATGGATCTTTATAATAAAACTTTACTTTTTTTCCAGCTATGAAAAATTTATTTTTAATAAAGTCATTTTTCCATAAATGTCACATAAACCCTCATTTCAGTCAAATGTAACTCACTGTCTCCATATATACATTTTGGCCTATGTTGCTTCTCCTACTCATGATAATCTTACTTTTCCTTTCTGTCAGGGCCAGTTCTGTCTTTTCTTCTAAACAGCTTAAATCTTACCTTCCTCTAGAAAAGCCTCCTGTAGTACTCATAGCTGAAGTTATCTTAAATTTCTCTTAGTTACTATAGAATTTACTTCATTGATCTTTTCTTTGGCAATTAGAAATTCCCTACCTTATGTTCTCTATTCTATTAGGTTCTTGCCAATTAAACTGTGCATTGTTTTCCTGGTGTTCTAGCTCCTCAGGTAGACCATCATCTCCTTGGCTACAGTGGCAGAGTCTTCATTTCTCTCTCAATCCCTTATAGCACAGTACTAAAAGGACTTTAACCTTTTCATACACAGTGACCGACTGTCACAAAGAAGCCTTTTTTCTAGCTGTTGAGAAAGAAGGCAAGCTGAAAAACAACATCTTTCAAAATTCCTCTAGCTGAGGGCTCTGACAAGATTGATGAAGGCCTTAATTCCTTGACTACACAGACAAAATATTATTTTGTTCTTTATAATAGCTTGCACATAGTAGGTGATCAGTAAATATTGACTAAAATTTCCCAATGGCTTTCATACAGTTTGCTGTGCCACTTTTCTTCTATTGATTTTTGCTTTCCACTAAGTAATGAGCATGTTTCTAACATGCTAAAATGAACAACAGATTTTCATGACTTTATCAGGGACATGCGCGAGTCTTCAAGCTCCCTGCAAACACAGCCTTTCTTTATATCATTCCAGCTAAGCCCGTGCGTTCAGCCCCACCCCATTCTTGATTCTTCTCCAGCATTGATGTGCTTTGCACTATAGCTTTTCTTGACTTGATACATCTAGCTCTGATCAGTGACTTGGAATGGCCTCTTTGTAAAACTTTCAATGGCAAAGAGCTTTCTTCTCCTTATGCAGCTGTACAGAGGTGACAAGACAGTAAGTGAAGTGTGAAGACACATGATTATCAAAATTCCAGGGAGGCTCTGTCTGCAGTCCTGGGGCTGAGGGCAGGCTGTTTGGTCATTACACTGTCACCTTTCCCACCCTCTTCTTTACTCTCTTTCCCTCCCGCCTCCAAACCACACCAATACTGGCTTTATTATCTACTCCCAAATCTAGATATGTGGGCCCTAAAACCACTAGACCCTACTGGCCCCAATCTAGCCTGACACCTTGTATGTAACTTATTGTACTTCAATTACTTGTACATTAACCACCCTGCTGCTACTGCTGCTGCCGTTATCCTCTTGGCAAGCATCAATGTGGAGTCATTTGCTTTTACAGCAGAACCATTAACAGGAATCCAAGGGCCTAAATACTTGCCATCCCAGGTACTCAGAGACAGGGATGGGGCATTCTTGTTGGTGCTGGTCACACAGGCAGACATAGAGTGGCTTCCTGGTCCAGGCAGCTTCCCAGAGGCTGCAGTTTCCTGATAATAATGTCTTCCTGATTTTGGGTGGCTCTGACTGGGAGAGATGGCAGCTTCTTCGTTGTAAAACAGGAAGTCTTGGTGGCCCCAGTCCTGCGGTGTGATTTTCTAAAAATTCAACCTGTTTTGTCTACCCTCTTGATGACTGGGCAAGCCATTTAATGTCCCACACTAAACACCTCTCTGCTAAAACAAGTTGCGGTGTATTCTGGGCTTACAGCAACTGCAACCTGACTGGCATGAGGGCCATCCACCTGGCAGGGGTTGTCTGAAAGCAACAGGCAACACACAGTTACCAAGGTCATATTCATTGCTGAGTGAATATGCTCCACAACATGTCAGGATGGAAAGCCCCATTATTCATTTTCTGGTGCTGCATCTCTTCGTGTGCGTTTTTATTAAAGCCATCGTTTGTCATGTTAAGCAGCTGTTGCAACATAAAGAGAAACTGTCAAATAATATGGCATTTGGAAATGGTGACATTTTCCTTTTAATGTCTCTTTCCTCCATTTCCCTCTACCCTCTTTCAGACTATTGCCACAGTAGCAATGCGCAAGGACCGTCAGCCTGACAAGTGGCTCTGTTTGCTGCTGAACAAAAACAGAACTGGGAACAGGCCCTTCCTTGTTCTCAGTGAGTTCTGTGATCTTCATGGGAAACCGCAGCCCCCTGCTCCCTCTGCTTGAGGCCCTGAGAGGCTGGCTGTACTCATTCCACAGACCAGAAGTTGATTGCTGTTGGTTCATAATGTTGTTGATGGAAAAAAGCACCACCTAGGTCTGTCTGGCACCTGGAACTCCATGTTAGGAAGCCTGAGTGTACACAGGTCTGAGAAGAGCCTCACACAGCCCATACCTGGTACTGAGCCTCCAGCTATCTCCCTGCACCAAAGAGTGTCAGCAAGTATGACAGTTTTGTGTTGTTTGTTTGTTTTTAATCAACTTTTGTGCTAGTGCCAGACCCTGACTTGACAACCTTTTTCTCCTCATCAATGAGGTCTCTTCATCCTCAATTTCTGGCTCCATCCTGGCCTAGATTTTAAGACAAATGTCCTCCTTCTCCTCCTTCTAAGGGATTTTATGGAGCTTATGATGAGGCTCTGTGCAAGTGGGTATTGTCACAAAATATAATTGTTCCCTTCCACCTCCAAAATCACTTATTCAGACATCCCATGCTTATACCACAATCCCTCTTTCGTCAGCTTGCTTCTCCAATTATTCCCACCATGATGCATCTTTGACCATTTTGCAACTTCCTGGCCATTGACTCCTGTACTTTAACTCAATTCAAAAGGTTTCTACTTTCTTCAGTTTCCTTCTAAACCAGCTTGGATTTCATGGTTTGTTATTATAATTGCTCCAACACCTTAGACTTCTTTGCTCAATAATCTTTTTGTCACAAACTTGTCATCAAATTCCAAGCCTGGGTGAACTCAGCTTTCTGTTTTCTCTGAGTCTACAGCTGAGAAGTCAAGCACAGTTAAGGACACAACAAAGTTGACTGATTACTTAATAAACTCATGCTCACCAAAGGCAAAGACCCTTCAGCCTTATTCTACAATTTTCCAGCTAATCTTTGGTCACTTCATACATCTACTTTCCACAATGACTTTTCCAAACCTTCTCCAATCTTCTCATTCCCCTGAGTCCCCACTCATCTCCCCTTTGCTCTCGGCAGATGATCATCTTCTACTTAAGAGCAATAAAGAAAGCACGGAGTGGATCTGGCCTAGCCTACCCCTTACCAAGCATAGAGAAAGCACGGAGTGGATCTGGCCTAGCCTACCCCTTACCAAGCATAGAGAAAGCACGGAGTGGATCTGGTCTAGCCTGCCCCTTACCAAGCACACAGACCTATCTACACGTGGGTCTTCTTTCCCTCCAGCTGCTATGGAGAAGCTGTCCCTCCTCGCATAATCACTCATGTCTCTGGCCATGCTTTGGGTTTTATCCCATCTTGATGTCTCAGGAAAATTACTCTAATAAGCATTTCTTGCCTTTATTATATTTCAGCCTCACTATATCAAGTTTACCCTTTCTATTTGAAATATATGACAACATAAACTAAATTAACTTTTTAACTTGGTCCTTCATCTTCCAGCTACCTCTCTATTAGTTTCCTCCTCACTTCAGCCAAGTATCTCAAAGAGTTTTCCAAAATGTTCGCTTCCATTTCTCATCTCCCCATCACACTTTGCATACCAATACAGCCTTTAACTCGCCACTCTACCAAAGTTCTTCCTATGGTCACCGAAAAAGCTCATCATCACTGGTCATCAGAGAAATGCAAATCAAAACCACAATGAGATACCATCTCATGCCAGTTAGAATGGCGATCATTAAAAAGTCAGGAAACAACAGATGCTGGAGAGGATGTGGAAAAATAGGAACGCTTTTACACTGTTGGTGGGAGTGTAAATTAGTTCAACCATTGTGGAAGACAGTGTGGCAGTTCCTCAAGGATCTAGAACCAGAAATACCACTTGACCCAGAAATCCCATTATTGGGTATACACCAGGATTATAAATCATTCTACCATAAAGGCACATGCACATGTATGTTTATTGCAGCACTATCCAATGGGTATTCTTAAACCTTCAACTTCTCGAGACTTCTCTGTATCCTTCAACACTTTCTCTTCCTTCAAACACTATTGTCCTTTGATTTTCTCCTAGCCCTAAGCCTGTTTTCTCTTTGTTTTCATTGCAAGATTACCTTCTTCTGCTTGGATTCTGAATGTTGGGGTTCTTCAAGGCTCTGTTTAAGGCCCTCTCGTCTGTTTACTCTATACTTTCTCCAGAGTCTATAGCTTCAATTATTACCTATAAGCTAATAATTCACTAATCAGTCTCTTAAGTCTGGAGCTCTGTACATATATATCCACCTGCTATTTTAGTATCTTTTCTGGAACTCATTCATTCTTTCTCTCCACAGTTACTGCGCACCTACCTTGATGCCACTATAGGTGCTGATTATACAGATGTGAACAATATAGACCAAGTCTATATTGACATGAAACTTAAGATTGCAGTAGGATAATAAATAAGAAAGAAAGAAAATATAACAAATATAATGTAATGATAGGAAGTGGTAAGTATCCTGAAGAAAAATAAAGCAGATAAAAGAATAACAAATGATGGAAGTTTTGTTTTCAGTTGTATGGCTATGGAAGTCCTCTCTGATGAAGTGACATTTCATCAAATGAACCATGCAAAGTTTTGGAGGAAAAAATGCCAGGCAGAGAAAATAGCAAGTAGAAAGGCAATGAGGAAGAAGCATATAATATGAGTATATGGGTGCATAAACTCAGCATAAAAAATAACTTTTCAGATTCCCTTAATTTACCCAACTTCTCCAGCCTGGATGTCCCATCCAGGTTTCAAGCAAAAAAAAAAAAAAAAAAAAAAAAAAAAAAAAAAAAAAAAAAAAAAAAAAAAAACAAGCACACTTTTCACATCCAACCTCTTACTAAGTCCTGTAAAATCTATTTTTCTGGAAATTCTACTTTATTCTTCCTACTTAGTCATTTCCTATCATCAGCAGCTGGCTTTCTTTTTTGCACTCTGCATCCCCTATGCCAAGATCTGTCCACATAGTAGGCATATCTTCTAGATAGTACCTTCTCCTGTCTTCTTTTTTGTTTTGAGATGGAGTCTCGCTCTGTCTCCCAGGCTGGAGTGCAGTGGTGTGATCTTGGCTCACTGCAACCTCCACCTCCCGGGTTCACACCATTCTCCTGCCTCAGCCTCCCAAGTAGCTGGGACTACAGGTGCCCGCCACCATGCCCGGCTAATTTTTTGTATTTTTAGTAGAGACGGGGTTTCACCATGTTAGCCAGGATGGTCTCGATCTCCTGACCTTGTGATCCGCCCACCTCGGCCTAGCTATCTCTTGAAACATAAGACTAAAGCTCGTTTCAAAGATTTACTGATATCTGCTTTTGACTCTTCTTCCTTGTCCAACATAAGGTGTTACTTATCTGGTCATGATAGAGTGGATCGTTGGAGGTGTATTTTATTGTGAAAATCAGAATAAAGGGTAGAAATGCCAGCAATTTCCAGAAGATTTGTCTGTAGTTAGTTATTTGTTCTGTTCTTACGAAGGGTGGACAGCTGCTGGACCAGGGTGGAAAGCTGGATCGAATGAGGTGGGGGGAGGGGTTAAAATTCAGAACACAGGACTTGATGCTATCTCAGTTCCTGTTCTCTTAATGAAGTGGTATTTGCTGAAAGAAGCTATTTGTTTTCGCATCAGAAAGATCTCCTATAAAAAACAGGCAGCCATTTATGAATCTCTAACAGTTGATGTGACCAGTATCATGCCACCTGTGACTCGTGTTTATTTCCCTTGTGGAGGCCAAGGATGAGGTTAGCATGTATAGCCGCAACCAGTTCCAAGCTCCCATCAGGTGTTCAAGTTGATTTGCAGAAAAATGGGATGATGATTTTATAATAGCTAATAGAGTTTCTGATTTAATGCAGCTGCTAGAAATTAGCAAGGACTCCATTGAAAGCTTCCCAGTCACTTATAATAACAGGATAATAAATCACTCCTAGTACTTTCTGGCATTTATAATTTTATTAGAAACATAAGCCCTAGTTCAGCTACTCTTCTCGGTTTGTTTTTCATTTATTTATTAAATTACCTTTTAAAATTCAAGGAAAAAGAAAACAGTGTTCTTATTTGGCTGCCAAATATGTGAATGAGTGATAGTGTCTCCACGGAATTCCTTATTTCAAAAGAGATTAGAGAAGGGGCAGAAAATTTAGATGAAGCCATAGGGAGCTTTTTGAAATTTTCATTGTCTTGGGGACAATGTTAACGCATAGCAGAAAGCACTAGATGTTGACTGTGAAGACCCTTGTCCCACATACTTTCCTCTGCTCCCTGCCTGCACGACACTGGGTTACTTTCTCCACATCTGAGAGCTTAATTCTCTCATTTATAGAAGTGGGATCATCATCTCTTTTCAATGTCTATTTGCAAGGTAGTTGGTATGTCTCATAAAATAATACATGTGAAAGTGTTTTGTCATTTGTCAGGTTCAATGGATATTAGATATTTTTGTTTATGAAGAGCTTTGTTTTTTTGCTTGTTGAAAACACTTATTCAAAATAGGAGGCCCTGATTGCTAAGCTATTCACAGCTGCTTTGTTCCCCTGCCCTGGGCTCCTAAGGAAGGTCTACCTCTCTCTCTCTGCTGGATCTCTCAGCTGATTCTCAACTGTGTCAATAACAACTAAATAATATCCCAAAATACCCAGAATCTGGAACTGGGCCAGCTTCCCTCTAGATTTAGCTCATAGATAGCTATCTACTCATATCGCAGTCACAAAATCACAAGAAAATGTGTATCACACTCACTGTAAATGCAGCCACGCATTCACTCATGTGGCTCATGTGGCCATATTTTTTTCATATTCTTATAAATACACTTTGGCAGAACCCCTGTCATCTGGTCCTTGAATTGTATAAAGAAGAGATATTTGGGAGCCCTGGGAGTTACTGTACCCAGCCACAGCTGGCAGACAGAATTATATAGAGTGCATATAGGAGTCTTCGGTGACCCACCTGATCTACAAACTTGCTAAAGTAGGGAGCAGGTTCAATGTATTTAATTCAATTCCAAAAAGTATTTATTAAAATGGCTCTACACTGCTTAATGCTATGGAGAATAGGACAAAAAATGTGTGGTTTTATTTTTTTATTTACTTTTTTTGCCCAGAAGGAGTTTATGATCTCATTGGAGAGATAAGATCTGCACAGTCCCTGGAGAACATCAGGATTGGATACAGAATGAAGAGCAGAAATGGGCCAGAGGAGACACGGAAGTCCTGTGGAAAATGTAAGAGCTGCTGAAAATGGTTTGTGGACTTGGGAAGTTTCCAACAAAACAAAAAGAATGGAGGAATGGTGTTGAGAAACTGGTGGAGGCAGAAATAAATACCGGATGCCGGCGGGCTAAATAGGACCTCTGTCTGATAGTGGCAGACAGGGACATCACCTTCACAGCACAGGTGATACAAAGAAACACAAGTAGTTGATGACCAGTGGGTGCTGAGGTAGGAGATAAAAGGTAGGAAAATCGTTTGGACCAAGCTTGGGAAGCCTTTAAAATTATTTGACTTTTAACCTCTAAGAAGTGAGAAGTCACATGGGTTTTTAAGAAAGGAATGGTGTGATCAGATTTTGGTTTAACATAGTCCCCCTGATGTCACAGTGGAGAGAAGAGTTTGGTAGCAGGGAGGCCAATCAAGGTATCTTCTCCGCTGAAAAGCCTTAAAATGACAGGAGCTGAATCTCATCCAGCTGGAAGCAGGACTAGCATCATTCCAAAAGAAGTGATACTCATACTGTCTTTTTGTCCCAGAGGGGTTCCCTTTAAACCACTCATGTGAATGGCTACCCCGGGGGTCTGCAAGGTGTGGCTCTGCAGAAGCTACGAATAAAGGATATTTCTAGGATTCAGATGGCAAGGCTTTATAACCAAGGAAATATCCAGGGTGAGGGAACAGGGGTCAGTCTTTGGATCTCTGTCCTCCTCTGTCTCCATGTTCCCCCTTGGAGACCTCATCTACTCTTATGGCTTTAAATATAATTGCTATGCTAATGACTCAAATACATTTGCATATGTATAATGTGTAGATTATACATGTGTATATACACGCACACACAGACATACACACACGTATACACATCTCTTTCTCCGAATTCCAGAATTGAATATTCATCTGCTCAGTTACCCTCTCCACTTGAATTTTTAGTAGGCATCTAAAATTGAACATGTGCAAACCCCAACTCCTCATGTCATCCCGTTCCCAACTCACAGCCCCCACATGTTTCACATCGCAACAAATGTCAACTTCTTCTTTTCATTTATTCAGAACAAAAACTTTGGAATCAGCCTTGACTCTTTCCACCCTCTCATATCTCATACCCGGCCCATCAACAACCACTGCCAGATGTGCCATCAAAACACATTCGGAATCCCATGCCTTCTCCCTCCATCCATTTCAACCTGCTCTAAACCACCTCTGTCTCACACCCGGATCACTCCGCACTTTCTGCCATGCAATAGATTCTCACAACAGCAGGAGGAACAGCTGTTTAAAGCAAGTCTGTTCATGTCACTCCTCTGTCCTGAGCCCTCCCCTGGCCCCCTTTCACTCAGAGTACAGAGCCTCGTGTGACGTGGCTCCTCATCCCTGTCTGACCTCTCCTCCTCTCCCACAAGTCCATTCTAGCCACAGTTCCTTGTTCCTTAGACAGCCTGCTCACACTCCTGCCTATGGCATATGAAGTGGCAGCCACATATTCTTAAAAGGCTCTTTCTCCAAACATCCACAGGATGGCCTCTGCCGAGAGGTTTTTGCTCCAGTGTTCTCTCAGTGAGACCTCCTCTCCACAACCCTCCCACGGTCTCTTCCCTCCTCCCCAGCCCGATTTTTCTAGAGCATGTTGCCATCTAGCATACTGGGTTTTTGTTTATGTGTTTACAAATTAATGCATTTATTGTTATTTCTACTAGAACAAAATGTTGCTTAACATCTCAACACTCAAGAAAAATGTGAAGCTGGGAAAGTAGACTTGGTGGTCTTCAGAACGTAAGTAACAGTTGAGGCCCTGGGAGAGGGAGGGTTTAACCAGGAGAATTTGCTGGGAGAGCAGCTTGTAAGAGACTGAGAAGGAAGGGATGCTGATGGAGAAGAAGGCAGGGGGATTATAAAGGCAGGAGGAAGCCTGACTATTCAGAATGAAAGGGTGAAGAGTGTTGAAGCAAAATATTGAGCCATTTGGTCAAATATCATAAAGAGGCTGAGTAAGATAAAAGTTAAGTGCTGAATCTTGAGTCTAGATGTTAGAGAGAGGTTATTGCCCTTAAGGAAATTAGTTTTAGTTGAGTAGAGAGAGCAGAAGCCACACTATAGTGCCTCAAAATGTGAATAAGAGATAAAAGAAATACGGATGGCAAATGTATATTCACCAACTTGATGAAGGGACAAAGGAAGATGAGATGGATGCTGAATAAAGCATAGCTCTATGAGTAGATGGGGTATTTCCTGAGGTCTCAGTAACCTCTAGCTAGAACTATGAAAAAAGAAAGCCAGAGAGAGATCCTTCTTGGATAATAAGTAGATGTACAATATCAGCAAAATATTCCCCTTACTTTCTTAGTTGCCAGTTTATATTAAATCTCTGAAAGAAGAATTTAAGTTTGGCATTTTGTTATTATGAAAGTACTATATTAACAACAGTCTGACATCTTTAATCCATTCAACTAGAAATTATTTGTTTCCCCTAGAACTAAAATAGGAAGTGGGAAGAAAGCAAGGTTTCTGTATTTGTTCTAAGTATTTCTTATTTTCTTAAAAAACATAGGCCCTGTGGATTTATTACTGATAAGTGCCTTGTAATGAAGTGTTAGCAAGGAATGCACTTGAAGTGCCTTTAGCAAATTTAATTTTTAAGTGTGTTATGCAGTCAGAAAATTGACACTAAAAACAAGGATGTACGTTTCCATCTCCATTCTCCCTCGGTGGTTTCCGGGCCATCTCTGCTCAGTTCATAGACAAGAGATAATTTGGTAAATGGCACAGCCTCAAAGTCCATTTGGAACTAGAACAACGGGCCCAAGGGTTTCCCTTCAATTAACTATTTCCCTGTGGGCAAAAAGGAAAGTCCGCTGTGAATTTCGAGGTGTACGGTGACTTATTTCACAGCACATACAGTCCCGTGTCACTTAATGACAGGGATTCATTCTAAGAAATGCGCCATTAGGCAATCCTGTCATTGTGCAAACATCAGAGAGCACTTACACAAACCTATAGGCTATAAACCTGCAACAGCATGTTACTATACTGAATACTGCAGGCAGGTGTAATACAATGGTAAGTATTTCTGCCTCTAAGCCTATCTAAACACAGTAAAATATGGTATTCTAATCTTGTGGGACCCACATCACATACACAGTTCATCATTGATCCAAACGTCGTTACGCAGTGCATGGTTGTATTGGGCATTTATCTTATGCCTGCACAGTGCTAGGCACCAGGCAGGATACAGAAGAAATGGAAAAAGACAATCATTTTAGAACACTTTCAGCCCCATAGCAGCAACAAGACAGATAAGATGTAGTGAGATGATTAGGATGTGGTTTCTGTAGATAAGGCCACGTGGTGGTTAGAGCAAAGTCCAAGGTGACAGGGGCCCACTCTGCAGGCAGCACTGGGTCCTGAAGGCGGAGTTCTGTTGGGATTTGTCGATGGAGGGGGAGGCTGTGGAAGCTACTGGAAAGCCTGAGAGGAGGTTTTGGGAGAACACTGAGGGATAACGGGCACTGGCGGGAAAGGGCCTGAGGGAGGAATGTGAATTTGATACAATGAGCTCACACAGGAACCACCGCACGTTTATAAACATTAGCAGTTGACTATTGGCTGAAGAGGTGTTCAAGGAAAATTAATCTGACGATTACACGTAAGAATGACTAGAGGAGAGATATTACAGGGGGAAACAAAAAGACAGCGATGGATGCCATCTTGGCTCACATGGTGATCTTAGACTCAGCTTATTTTAGAAAAAGGGTTAAACGTAAAAATCAATGACATCACCAAATAAGAATTGACAGGAAACTATGATAGCTGAGTCAGCTGAAGTTTCCAAACCAACAGAATGAAGAAACAAATGGAAACTCATTTTTACTTGCCAGGTTCTGTGTTAGGCGTTTCACATTTTCATCATATTTGATCTCTACAATGACCTTGTAAGGAGAAAAATGAAGGTTTACAGGTTTAACGTATTTGTGTCCGTCACATATCCAAACATTTGTGAAACTAAGATGCAGAAGCAGGCCTTTGGGTTCTAAACCCAGAACTCTTTCCAATGCATAATGTTCTGCCGAGCCTTGTCCTGGATTCTACGGCTCGAATACGGGCCCTTAAGCTTTTTACATCTGCTCTACTAAGATTTCCCCAATCTCCAGACCAATTCGGCTACTCTTGTTCCTAGTGCAAGCCCCATTTTCTTCTGCCTTTGCTGCTAATATTCCCACAAGCCCCTGCTTCTTTCTCCTCTCCTTATCTCTGTTAGGATTTTTAAAGCTCATTTTAAATATCATCTACTCTATGAAGTTCTTCCATTTATCCCAAATGTGTGTGATCCCTCTCTCCTTTGAACACCTCTACCTTTCTCTCCCTCCTTAACGCTTATACTGCAGTTCCTTGGGTGTTTGTCTCATCTATAATATCAGACTGCACCCTCCTGAAAATAAATAAGGCTCTTTAGGTGTCCAGAAATCTTCATAATTCCTTCACAATAGGAATTCGTTGGACAAGACAAGAAAGTAAAAAAGGAGACAATAAAAGGCTTAGAGCAAAAAAAAAAAAAAAAGTTGTAGCTACACTAGCTTAAGAGACAGCTGGGTTTGACATCAAATGACCCTGAACTTGGAGGCAAGGGGAGCTGGGTTCTTTGGATAAGTCACTTCACCCTTCACCTTGGTTCCTCCTCTGAAATATAAGCAGTTTGGATATGTGGTCATCTCTAAAACCGTGTTCAGCTGTAATATTCTGTTACTGATATTTGCAGGCAGAAAATCAAAATCCAGACCTTGATCATCTTATTAAACTCGGATATTTTCACTTTTTAAACAATCAGCCTCACTCCACTGGTCAACTTTAATAAGCCAGCTCTCTCTATGAGCCCAGCACCAAGACAGCTCCACTGAGCCCCCAGCGTGGGATGCATGCCAGAGCTTTCTTGGGTGGCTTGGCCCCTTGTAAATCACAGAGTTGATACTCCTGTTCCCAGCCTGGGTAATGTGCTGTGGCTTATTTGCATAACAATTACATGCCTTAGGAAGGCTACTGATTGGAACACTCCTTGCCAAATTATGATGGCTTTTTGAATGAAGCTGCCTTTCCTGTCTCTGAACAGCTGCTGGTGCTATGCTTGGTCTTCCACCACCACAGGGAAAACAGCCCCCCTCCAGCTTGCAAGGTTGCTTTTCAAGAGGCAGTCACCCCAGCATCTCTCTACATCAAAATCTCTGCTAAAGCCATGGCCCGGTGACCTTTCCCAAGCAGGTCAGCGAAGACTCTCATAGCATCACAGTTTGGGAGAAAAACACAGCCCAAGCCAGCACCCAAGTGCAATGCTGGGTAAATGCCTCTGGGATTGGTCCAGGCCTGGTGCCAACTCCATCAAGTTCTCACTTTAATAAAAGCCTCTCAGTTACTCAAGCAATAAATATTTCATTTTTTTTTCCTGTGTCAACACTGCATCAGGTACCAGCAGTGCAAGAAGAAAGGCGCAGCCCTGACTCGCTGCTGGGACTGGTGAGTGACCACCCAGAGCACTGCATGCATGTTGTTCTCGCTGCTCATGCTGCTTTGTGCACTGTCTATGGTCCTGTCTTATTTACTGGGTAAGCTCCTGGAGAACCGAGATCACATCTCATTTTTCTATCACTTCATCCCCAAACATAATGGAGTAGCTCAAGCACTTTGAGAGCAAGGCTGATGTCTGCTATTGCTTCTTCCCTGTCTCCCATATCATCCAGGAAAGTTATTTATTTATACGGAGTACTCCACAAAGCACCACACACATCTACATTTTTAAAATAAAAATATCAGCACATCTTGCCCACATATGGCTATGTGTTCTTCTGAGGCAAAGCCAATTATGTTAATGGCCTATTAACATTCTACTGGTAAAAGTGAAGAAAAACAAAGAAAGAGATTAAAGAAGGCACTAAGTAATTTCCTTCTTAGTAAGTACTACTTTGTGCCAGCCACTTTGTCAGGTTCTAATCCATTGAGTTTACTATTGTCTGGATTCCTCAGAAGGTTCCTGGAGGGCCACATTGTGATAGAGGTCTCATAATTCTACCTCTACTACTAGAACTAAGTTTTACAGAAGAGTGAAATTCAGGAAAGCATCTGCTTCCAATGGGCTTTAGGTTGACCCTGCAGGTGATCTTTCCCAAGGCCAGAAAGCTTAGTGACTATTTCATTGACCCGGATCCAGTATGCTATGCCACCATCTAAACCCAAGGCTTAGGTCTGCTGAGACATAAGACAACTTACAATTATAGCTAAGCTGTATTGAACACTTATTATTTTCTTAGAGTCCTTATAACTACTCGATAATTATTCATTTAAGATGAATTTCACAAATATTTATTAAGTACTTACAATATAATGGCAATCAATATGTTATATATTCCTCAGTACTGGGACCTTGGGGAAATAAGGATTAGCACTTACTATCTGGCACACTGAATAAGACATACTAATAAATTTTACAAAGTATTGCAATATTTATTCTCTTTTTTATCCTTGCAATATTTAGTAATAGATATTGTTAATCATTATTTTCCCTTTTCGTAAGTATAAAAGGAAAACAGGGCTTAAAATGTTAACTAGTCCAAGCTGCCTGGCAGCCACAGCTGTAACTCTGATGGTCCCAGAACCTTGTCCAGTATTTTCCATCGCTATGTGTACTTCCTCCCAACCTCACACCAGCATCTTTCTTAGAACTCTAACCAAAGACCACTGACTGCTGATTGGACCCCAGACAGTGAACATCTGCAAGCTTCAGAGACCACCAGCAACAGCTTGAAGACACTATCTATTTACAGTAAGAATCCTGAGAACTTTCAGTGACCTGCACTGTCTCGCATTTTCACCCCAGTAGTGTTCTGTTCACCCTGCCGCCCGCTTCCTCTGCTTCCCTGGAGTTACGCGTGGTGTATCCATGATTAACAAATTCGCTCACAGGCTCAGCCAAACCACCAAGTATTTCTCTACCCTCCTGTCCTTTGTTCCCCCGTAGAACACCTGCTCCTTCCATCACATTAAGAAGGCTGTTTATTTACTCTCATCTACCCAGCATGAATTCAGCACCTTCCATTTACTCTTCAGCACACATAATCTGGCTTTCATTCTCATAGTTCCACTGCAACTTCCCTAGCCAAGACACCCATGGCCTCCTGTGTTCAATTCTTATTGTTATATAACAAATTCCCACAAATTTATCAACTTGAAACAACATGTTTGTTTTTCTATAGTTTCTGTGAGTAGGAGTTAGTAAGGCACTCTACTCAGGACATCACCAGGCCAAAATCAAGGTCTGGGGTGGCCAAGGCTGTAGTTCTCATCAGAGGCTCAGAGTCCTCTTCTAAGCTTACTGGTGGTTGAAAGAATTTGGTTCCTTGCATTTGTGGGACCAGAGTTCCCATTTTCTTACTGGTTGTTAGTAAGTCACCTTTCTCAGTTTCTAGACACCATCCTCAGGTTCTTGCCATGAGAACCCTCCATTGGCATATCACAACCTGGTCATTTGCTTCTGCAAGGCCAGCAAAAGAAAGCACAGTCACCTCACACCTCTCTCTTTCAAAGGGCTCTCACCTTTTAGGTCAGACTTAACCAGGAGAATATTCCCTTAGATAAATTCAAAATAAACTGGTGAAGGACCTAATCACATATGATGCAAAATCTCTTCTTTCCATTTAATGTAGCCTGAATATAGGAGTGAAATCCTCTCATATTCACAAGTTCCGTTCACCCTCAAAAGGAGAGGATTATACAGGGTACCTGCACTAGGTCCATCTTACAATTCGGCCTATCACACCTCCGTATTTTCAAATCTGCTTTTCTCTGCTTCTCCTAATAGGCCTATTCTTCCTTTTCCCTGCAGTAAATCATTCTGTTCTGCTAGTCTGAATGTATTTTCTCTTGGTTTTCCAATTGTCTCTCTGGCTTTTCATTTCTACCTTTTTCACAAGTTTTTCTTTCTTTGTGTTCTATGCTGAGCTACTTATTTTTTCCAAAAGGATAATTCTGTATCATACATCAGCCTGTTGAAATGTGCTTTTACCACTGCCTGGAATGTGTTTATGATGCTTCTTCTTTCTCTAGCAAACTGTCATTCATCCTTTAGAACTCACATCAAGCATCAGCTCTGAAAACTTTTTTTTACTTTCTTTCCCTCAATCTAATGGAAATACCCATAAAACCTCCAGTCTTCCCATAGCTTTCCTTGAAAATTCTAACTAAGCCATTATTTTATTGCAGAAAAATCACTGACTTACTCATCTATCACTCTGACTAGATTCCTTGAGATTAGAGAAAATATCTCAATTTTTTTTTACTAAAAACTACCTCAAGTAGTTTTTAGTAAAAAGTAAACAATCTGGATATGAAAGAAAGTATAATAAGCATTTTACAGGTGAAGAAACAGAATAATTAAGGTTAAGTAAGTCACTGAATTTTACACATTCAATAATAGAGTAGGAGAGAAGTCAGTCTCCAACACACTTAGGACCATCTCAGGATCCCAGATTTAGGAATGTGCATGATTATTATCAAAGTCAATCCTAAATGAGAATAAGCACCTAGCACTTTGCCTGGACCATAATAGGTGACCTACTCAATAAACAGTTTTGAATGAAATCAAGGAATCCTCGAACAAATAAATAATTTGGAAATAATTGGAAAAAATATAGAAAGTTAAGCTTGTAAGGGTTCTGTATCTGTATGCCTTTAGAAAGATTTT
The DNA here is from genome assembly GCF_000001405.40 of Homo sapiens. Classification (NCBI taxonomy): domain Eukaryota; kingdom Metazoa; phylum Chordata; class Mammalia; order Primates; family Hominidae; genus Homo; species Homo sapiens. Next base: position 132,986,698 of record NC_000011.10, read on the forward strand.
CTTCTTTTAAATGGAAATTGGTACTTGGTTCAGGATTTAAAACACTAAAATGAGAATGGGTAATCGAGAGTTAATTACCATCAGGGAAAAAGAAAATCCAGTAAACTAAAATAGGAAGTTCCCTATAGATTCCATGACCCTCTGGAAGCAAATTAAGCATATCTACAGAAGATGTAGAATGAATTCCAATAATGAGTCTTGAAAAAGTTGAACGTTTTAATGAATACTCTTACAGGTTATCCAAGCCAGCACTCTGAGTGAGATGAGGCGAACATGAGCCAGTGAGACGATGCGAATGTGGGAGGGAGCACAGGACTTCAAGACGGGTTTCTAACTCTTCCTACCCTAAGTAACCATGTGATCCATCCACGCTCTCCCTCTTCACCTCTTCTTTCGACAACACTTCCTGACAACTAATGTGCTAGGTGCCCCAATCCCTGTCCTCTAGAAACTGTCTGTCTTGTGGAGAAGACTGGATAGTGATTAGGAAATGACAACCCACTGAGAGGGCAATGAGATGAAAATTTGAGCATTCCTTGACAACAGTTTTGTAAGGGGGAGGGAGGAAGAGAAGCACCGGGGAAAGAATGACTTCTACGCTGCCAACCTGAGGAGCCAGGCAATGGAGCCTAGGGGAGAAGCTTTCATGTAGATGTAAGAACGTGAAGACCAAGGGGCCTCTGCGTGTACCTGGGGCAGCAAGCAGTTCCGTGTGGCTGCAATATGAAAGAAGAGATGGAGACAGTGGGACCAGACAGAAATAAGGATGCAGAGGTAAGCTAGTGGTTTGTGAAAGGCCCCATTGCGAGAGAGTTTGTGTTAATTCTGAAAGCCAGGTTGAACTATCAAAAGGCTCATAGCTGGGCTAGGGTGGCACAATCAGATTTGTGATTTCAAATGACTACTCTAACCACAGTTGGAGAATGTATTTTAGGGGGCAAGAGTGGAGACCAGGATGGTGCTAGAGCCAAAGCGGTGGCTATGAGAATGGATATGGAGAGAAATGAATGAATGCGTGGAGAAAAAGGAAGCATAGCGTCTTCCCTATGCTCCACCAACTAGCTCCTGAGGGCATCAGCATAGAAATCATTCTTTCCCCAAGGCCTCCCTTCACCCTGGTCCCCCACAAAACTGATGTCAAGGAATGCTCAAATTTTCTTCTCATAGTCCACTCAGAGGGTTATCATTTCTTATGTGTGGACAAATTATTAAATTATAAATAGGGAAAATATCAGCACTTTGCCTCATAAGTTAGTTGCAAAACTTAAATAAGATTATGGATTTGAAATTACCATGTAAACAAGAATGTGCTGTTAGTTATGACTCAACAAGAAAGAAAATGCAGAATTTGCTTTCAAGTAACCACAACAATAAAACAAGGACAGCGCATCCACGCCTTTGAAATAGTTCTCTTTTTTTTATTAGGACAACTTTGATGACAGAAAAGGAACAAGATCACCCAGGATGGATGAGGGTGGTCAGTATTCCAGTAAGCAGCCAGGCTGAGAGTTGACTCACTGGTCAAGGCTGTGGTTTTCTCCTCCTCTGTTTTAACCTCAGGGTAAAATGGCAGTTTTATTAATATTAATACACTTGCATAAAGTGCTAATTTACTCCATCATTTTCCTAATTAGCTCCATTGAATTGTGAGACTCATCTGCATGAATAATGTAGCCCTATATGCTTTTTCCAATGTCTGTCTCATCTCTGCCAAGGGAAGTACGGAAAGAAAGACTCCTCTGTAATTCTTTGATTACTTTGGAAAAATATAGTCCACTTTCTGAGAAGATAGTAAAGGCATCAAGAATGTCCACTAATTAAAGCTAGACAGAAATGGGGAGGGCTGCGCGGCCTTCTTTTAGAATAAATAACATGAAGCTTTTGCTTTAGGTCTCCCTCGCCCTGTTTGTTCCCCTTGGAATGCACTAATGAATACAGCCTTCTCTCTAGTTCTGACACAATGTCACTCCCTCTGCTAGTTTTGCAGAATAGAAGATTAAAGGCGATGAGGTGAGGTCAGGAATAGTGGGTTTGTTTGATCAAAGGATAAAATAAATTCATGCCTCCTTTAGTCTCTGGACTAATTATCTCAATTAGATTGAAAATGGAGCTATTCATATAACTGACAAAAATTAATGTCAAGAGTATTTAAAGAACTTCTAATAATAAGTCAATGAGAAGTGCACAGCAACACAGTCAAAAAATGGGCAAAATAAATGAACAAGCATAGCAGGGAGGAGGAAACACATAGGAAGAAATATTCTGTGGATTTTAAAGACTACAATAACGTTGCATTTTACCCAAACTCCATTGGCAAAAATTCAAATGCCGGGCATTACTAAGTATTGGAGAAGCTGCGAATGTTCAGGATCTTCATACATTGCTGGTGAGAGGATAAGGTGCTGCTCTGGTAGGCAGTTTGGCAACACCTTCCATATTTAAACATTCCCAAACTCTGTGACCCAGCGAATCCATTCCTCAGCAGATATTTTCATAGCAACCCTGTTCACAAGAGGAAAAAATCATTGGTTCAGCCTAGTCACCAACATAAAAATGGATAAATCAACTGAGGAATATTCATAAATTAGAATAATCTATTCCACCAACGCAAATGAACCACAGCACTACAGCAACACACAAAACTATGGATAATCTTGGAAATAAATAAGTGAAAACTAACCCCAAATCACACATAAAAAATGCATGTCCTATTTATGAAGATGAAAAATACCAAAATTAAAAGAATAATTTTAGAGACTCATATGTATGTGATGCAATTATATGAAAATGGAAGCATAAGATACACATGGAATTCTGAATGATGGCTAAGGTAGGAGGCAGGAAGGAGGATGGATGGGGGAGGACCATGCGCTGGAGATGCAGGTTGATGCCAAGGTCCTAGAGCGTGTGTGTGTGTGTGTGTGTGTGTGTGTGTGTGTGTGTGTGTGTGTTCAGAGGTGGAGGTGTGGATCTGTGGTTGCTTATGATACTATTTTTTAAATAAAAATAAAAAGGGGCTCAAACATAGAATACTGAGAGTGTATCATGGGCCACTGGTTATAAATAATACAATTCTGTGCACCTGAGATTCATTTAAAAAATAAAAACATTTGAACTATCAAACATCTCTTACCCATATGAGGTTGGTTTTCAAAGAAAATAAAGCCTTCCACTGCATCATTAACTTAGGTAGATTCCTAACAAATACATTTATTTTATCACCCTTGGATGATTTTCCTGGTGTACCAAGGTCATATCAAGAAAAGAAAGGCAGAAGGATCAACATCATGCAAGGGTATGTGTGGATTAGAAGGGCTGAAGTTCACTGAATCCCAAGACTCAGGCAGAGGAGCATGCCACCCTGCGTAGGAACATAGGAGCTAGTGGAGAGGAAAGCTTGGTTCAGACAGCAATCCATAGCAGCTACAGTGCCATAACCATGACTGAAAGCAGGCGGGGTCATTCCAGAAAGATGCTTTCCAGAGGCACAGAATCTGAAGCACAGCTTGTCCTAGTGGGTGCCTACAGGGCGTGCACCGAGTCCTTTGTGTGCACAGAATGTTGATAAGTTAGCTGTGCGTAACTCAGAGAGTGCCTGCACTTACCATCGATCTATAACTCATTGCAAAGAAATGCTCCTATAGCGTCAATCTCAGCCATCTCCTCTCTCAACATTTCTGTCAATGCAATTTAGCACAGAATCAAAAGAATTATTGCCTATATTCATAACACTAACACTTTACATTTGTACAACACCCCACTATGGCTGTCCAACTGATTTTCACAACTACTTCAGTAGGAAAGGTAGGCATTCTATTTTCCTATTTGTCATATGAGAGAGCTGAGGTCAGGAAAGACTTTACATTGGTCACCTAGAAATGAGAATTGCGGTCACTGGCCCTCTATGTCCTTTCCAAGATGCCCCCAGAAAGTAAGAAACTGGAGGAAACAGAGAGCCCAGACTAATATTGATTGAATACACTTTTTAAATATATGGCAAACCTCCATCATCAGATAAGAAAATGGAAAATGCAGAGAACTGAAGATTTTAGTTGTGTGACCTAGAGCAAGTAGCTCGAGCATTCCGAGTCTCTCTTGCCTGTATCTATAAAATAGAGTTCATAATGGTAACTAACCTCACTGGATTACTGGGTGGAGTCATAAAATGTGGTAGCTTATGTACTTACTTTAAGAAAATAAATTGCACAAAGCTTATAAATGATGAAAGTATGATTGAAATCACAGGTATATGATTCCAAGTCTTGCCTTTTCTCCTAAGGCCATATTGCCCCATAGAGGAATCAGAGCAGATAATGCAGACAAATTAGACTTGACCCGCTAAGCAAACCATAATTCTGACCTAATTCTCTGACATGTACTGCCCATAGGATTGCCATAAGAAAAATGTCTACAGCAATTCGCACTGGACACACTTCTTCACACCTGCCAAAGCGTCACACAAGGCATCTCCCCATAATTTAGCTATTATTAGAACCACAAACTAGAAAATCTTTTGACTGTCAAGAGAACAGGACATCAATTTTCATCTTGCATCTGCTTTAAAGAGTAGGAGTGAAGTTAGATTATCAGTGACATTTTCTCACTGGAAAGATTGCCTGGATCATATTTGTATTCATTTTCATAAATGCAATATACAAGCCCCTAATAGAACAAAATCTACTAATTAAATTCCACTCAATAATGCATTTTCACCTTAGATTAGCGGTGTCCTTGTACATTTCTGCCAGTATAATGCAACTAATGTCTTATTTAGCTTATAAATGGTGCTTATCATTAAATTTGAAATATTAACGAGCATCAATGAGCCCAAAGTGACAGCACAGTAAATAATTTGAAAGGGCTCTACGGTGAAGACCTATTTTTGCTTAATTTAATTTATTTATTAAAACTTAAACATATAAATCTGGCAGGTTGCTAGCTTGCTGCCATGGCAGCCCAGGCCTTCAACACAGCCCTAAAACAGAAGATACAGAAACAGCCACAAACCTGAGGCGTCTGAAGGGAAGGCTCTTCTCCCAGTGCCTTCATTTGCTGGGTGGGAAATGTGGCCACCCCAAGGTTGATTCCCGATCCCTGTTTTCCCTGCAGTTTACCTTAAGAGTTAAGACCTTTGGATTAAGTGAAATACCTGGAAAATGTTTATGATTTCCATGTTCATATCCAGAAAAGGGTTATAATATCTACATTGCCAACACTGTCTGTGTAGGATCTCGGTGTTTACAGCATGTGTGAGAGGGTTTGGGCAGGATATGGTATATATTAGTCAAGGCAAAATACATTGTGGATTAATGCTGTAACATTTGATCTCATGGATCTTTAAGGAGTAGGTTGGACCAATATTATTATGATGAAGCCATTGTATTGATGAAGAAGCTAAGGTTCAGAAATGCTAAGTTATCTTCCCAAGTTCACAAAACAAGATAGAAGCAGAGTTATATATAACTCAACTCAGAAAGCCCTCCAAGGCTTGGCTTCAAGTCTCTTCCAAACCTGATATTTCAGGTGTTTAGGCAACTGCTTCTGTACCTCTTTCTCCAGCCATATATATACACACACATACACACTCACTCATCCGGACACATATATTTCTTCTCTGAAATATATGTATATACATGTATAAAAATAAATATATATACTTATTGCAGAGAAGAAAGAGAAACTCCTATTCATATTGCAATAATATCTGTCTCCATTTTTATTCATTGACCACATTTCATTATCTCATTAATTCATTTACTTATACACGCATCTATTTAAAACAAATGTTTATCAAATACCTACTTTTTGCCAAGCAGTGTTTTAAGCATCGAGGGTGCGACGGAACAAAAACAGAATTCCTTGCCATCATGGAGTTGGTATTCTTGTGTGTGTATCGGGGAGAGGCAGGCAATGAGCAAACTAAATGGAAATATTGGATGGTCCACTAGGAAGTGTTAACTAAGGGAGAATAATGAATGGGGAGCAAGGGGTGCTAGAGGAAACGTGGAGGTTATGATTAAAGGGCAAAAATGACAAATTTAGAATTTGATAATTTTCCCTTTGGGGTTCTATCAGAAGGTTGTTGTCTAACCCTCCCCTTCCCCAGTACATTCATACCATAAACTGATTGCTGCCTAAGGATCAAACTTCCTTGTTACCAGCAGAAGATTATTGGAATGGCTGTTTGTTTTCTAACTGGCTGGAGCAACGTTGACATCCAGTGGTGAATTCGATTAATCACAGGTGCCCCCACTCTTGCTCTTTCATCTCCGTGTATGGGAGGAGGGCTAGGATACAAGCACTGGTTAGTAGTGCTGGTTAGGAGTTTGTGCCGCAGTTCAGCCCCAGGCTCCTCTGCAGATCCACACCCTCCCCAGCTCCTGCTTCCCACCCTCCTTCCACTGGTTTGCCTTGGTTTCAAGAGCATGCACGTTACCATAGCAATATAACTATGTCATCCTTAGTGCAGCTCCAGGACGTGCATGTCTATGTACGTAGGTATCTGCCCACCCGAGGTTTGCATACACATGCATGTGCTTACTATGTTTCTAGGTCAATCTGTATACACATGTGAATCCTGTGTTACTCACACACAGTATGACAGTGTGCTGTTCTTCCTCCCAGGGCGCCCTTTCTGTCCTCGGGAGCATATTAATAGGAACACAGAAGGGAAAGCACCCTGCATCCTGTGTCCTTTTCCATCTGGTTGATGTTACATTGTCTGTTTCTAATGAAGCAGAAACGAGCATGGATGCCTTGGGCTTACATCCCCCTGGATTTGCTAACCACCGTTGAGATGCCAGCAGGCGTGGCTGACCCTCCATGAATGACACCAGGCAGGAAGGACTCATTTCATTTTCTTCATGCCCTCCAGGGTGGTGGATGCGCTGCCCCGCTCCCTACTTACAAAGGGCAGAACACACTGCACACAGAGCCCCTGCCCTCCGCGAGCCTAGAGTCTGGAAATACCATAGACAGGGACAGAGAAAGATCTGGAATCAACTGGAATCACCCTTACCTTTGTCTCTAAATTCAGCACCTGTAAGCGCCACTACTTATCAGTTAATACATTTTATGTGTTCGGATCATTTCTAGACATTGACAGGCCACTGACAACTACCCCCCCACCCCGGAATCTGAGGCTGAGGCCGCCCCACAAAACTGCATTTTGAAATCCTTTCTACCTCTGGGTATGGGCAAAGGGAAGGAAAAAAAGAGGCCCTCTAACGAGTTGAACACACTGCACAATTAAATATGGATTGGAAAGTCTCCCTGAGTATTCTTCCCCGCATCTCTCCACCTCCGCAGGGAGACGTCTGGATGTGATTCCCAAGCTGTCCCCATCCAGTGATTACGTTCATCAGGACACCAGCCTTGTGGTTAAAGCACTTTCCTTACTGCTGCACGTTTAATTAGACAACCCTTCCCCAGAAATTATTTATAGCCAGGTTCCAGAGCTATTGTTAGTCCGAATGTAAATAAGATTCAGGGCGGGAGTCCCCGCGCCGCAGCGGCTGGTGCGCTCCTGCCAGGAGCCGGCGCGCGCGGGAGCACGTCCGGGGCTTTTACGGCCGGAACTCGGGCTATTAAAAAGCCCAGGCGCGATTTTCTAATTAAACTTTTGATACAGGACCACACAAAAGACTAAACCTACCAGGTCAGCGTGAGTACACGGAGGAGGAGCCTAGGAGAGAAGAGGGAAGGGCTGGGGAAAAGGGGCGGCCTCACCGGAGGAGCTGCTGGGGGCTCGCCGTGCAGGCGCCTCGTGGGTACCAGGGCTGCCTGGAAAGGAACTTCCAGCGACCAGGCACAAATAACTGCTTCGAGGGGGCCAAGGTAGTACTGAGTCTGCTGAAGGCTCAGGGCGGGGATTTTCACCTGTAAGCAGCGTTTGCAATCCCTCATGGCCCCAGGGGACACACCACCCACCCACCGGTACCTGACTTCAACTCTGCCTTCTGCACTGTTTCAGTTCAGTTTAAATTAAATGTGCGGAGCTGCCTCCAAATGCCAGGCTCTGTTCTTGGTGCTGGCATTATACCAGCTAAATGGAACACAGCCCCTGCCCTCAAGATCCTCACATTCTTGTGAACAATGCGGACATATAATCAAATGAATGGAAGCAATATAAGGTTATAAGAACCTCAGGAACGCTTAATGGATACAGACACTTTACATGCCTCCTTTCATTTAATGTGCACAGCACCCCTAGGAGTTGAATACTGTTATTGTCATACCCATGTGTCAGCTGAGAAAACTGAGACTCTAAAAGGACGAATAACTCCTTATAGGTCACATGGTTGGTAAATAGCTGACTATGAAACCCAAGCCCCTAAGTAACCATCACTTTCCTCTCTACCAGGGCACTGTGATGAGTGCAGCATAACCAAATACGTACATCTGCAACTAAGAAAGTAGAAAGGGAGAATGTGTCATATTATGGAGGGAAATGGTGGTCAGAGAGAGCTTTGCCAAGAAGACTAAACGTGAGCGGGTAGCTCAAGAATGAATGGAAGTTTGCTAGGCAGACGGGAGTCAGAGGGAGGATATTATATTTGGGTTATATGACAACCCAAATGAACTGTGCTGTGCTCGTTTATGAAGGCAAACTTACATCTAGGGGCTAAGGCTCTTACTCAATGATAGTATTAGTAGTCATAGAAGGAGTAGTAGTGATAATAATAAAAGAGGATGTGGAAAGTTGGAATTGGAATTCAAAATGCTAAAAAGAAGCTAAAATCTCTCCTCTTTCCCTCCCTCCCTCCCTTCTTCCCTCTGTCTCTCCTTCCTTCCTTCCTTCCTTTTTTCTTTCCTTTCTTTGATGTTGATTGTGCTCATATGATTGAAGGAGAGCAGGGAAATAAAGGGGATAAAACTTTGAGGAAAAGAATTAGATTATTTAAATAAATGCCAAAAATCTACCTTCAATACTTCCCTTTTAAAGACCCCTAGAAGAGTGGGTCTAGGGGTCAGGCAAGTTCTTGGTCCCAATGTCAGCAGGACGTGAGCCTCCTGTGAGGGCTAAAACCAACCAACCAGCTTAGGGACCCTGAAGGGAAGACCTGGCTTTAGTGAATCTGGAGATAGAAAGTGTGTCCAGGATAACCCCAGAGAAAGTATCAGCTCCAAGATGTGCTTGGTATAGTCAAGATTCCAAGGGTGAAAGAAGCAGCTAACTCTGCGAGGCAGGAATTAGTATTTGTGGAAAACACACAGGCTCTTGGAATCAACCAAAATAAGATGAAATGTGATGCAGCTCCTCTGGGCAGCCCCAGCCAAGAGTCTTCTCTTTAGAGTCCATGGTGGATGGTGATGAGGGTCCCTTCCATCCTCCCCCTGCCATCCATGGGTCTTGCTCGGCTCCCTGCTGCCTAGGGAGCACGCAAGTCCCTTCTTCAATAGCAATTCCCTTTGAAGGAGAGTTCTACACAGACTTTAGCATATTTTTCACCAATGTCTGTCCTCATTGTAGATGGGGTTATTAAGCATGTTGTGCCCCCTGAAAAAGAAAAGGCACAGAGAAAATACCTTGTCTGAGACTTCCTTACTCCCACTGCTCATCAAATGGTTTGGTTCTGATACAGGATTTGAAGGCAAATGTATGGGTGCAAAGAGGGATAAAGATTAAAACTTGATTCATAGCTGGGTACAGTGGCTCATGCCTGTAATCCCAGCACTTTGGGGGACCGAGATGGGCAGATCTGAAGTCAGGAGTTCGAGACCAGCCTGACCAATATGGTGAAACCCCATCTCTACTAAAAAAAAAAAAAAAATACAAAAATTAGCTGGGCGTAGTCCCAGCTACTCGGAAGCCTGAGACAAAAGAATCGCTTGAACCCGGGATGCAGAAGGCAGAGGTTGCAGTGAGTCAAGATTGCGCCACTGCACTCCAGCCTGGGCAACAGAGAGAGGCTCCATCTCAAAAAAAAAAAAAAAAAATACTTGACTCATAACTTTCTATGTATTTTTTTTTCCCCGGAGCCACAAAACAAGACAATCTGGCCAGAAAAGTCTATCTCAGTAATAATTTTAGTGTGCCTGGCACAAACAGCTCCATGGAGAGTCCCTGCTTTGTTGGCACCTCTAAGGCCAGTCAAAACCATTCCACTTCCAGTAGGGAAGACAAGGATGTCTATTATTTTAAACATATAATTGATTCTAATTCATCATTTATCGCTCAGTGACAGATTTCTATATAGTTTATTATTTCTGTAGCAGCACAGGTCCTAAGGGGCCGTCTCCTATTGTTCCACTTTTCCTGGTGCGGCCTCTGCCGAGGCAGCTCCCCTTATCTGTCTGATTAAGTTAGGGAGCCTGGTATCTCTGGGTCCCCAGGTAACTGTCAGCATTGCACATCCTCCGACTGCAGGATTAAAGGAGCCTTTTACCCCTCTCCTCCTTGACCTGTCTGTCACAGTTAGTCTTCTTGTCTGCTTATTAATTTGGGACTCTAGGTCCCCAGGACCTGGGAGATAGCCATCACTCCTGTGCCCTCGCCCTCACACGTATCTGCACATGAGTCACACATATCTTGCTCCCAAGGCTCTGGAAAGGGAATGGAAGCACAGGATTAGATAGGGCAGCCTTCTGATACCACTGCTTTCTGGTTTTTCTGTGGCTGTGCTATCAGCCCCGGCCACCAAATATCTCATCAGGTGTTCCCTTCCCATGTAGATCTTTTTGTTCTGAGCTGGTGAATCAAATACACTTCCCTCTGCTAAGAACACCAGTGAGCTGATGCCCTGTCATCTGTTCCTCCTGGAAACGCTATTCTTTTCATCTGCATCTGATTGGCACATCCCAGATATGACTGGGGACACAGCTGGAGAGACAGTGCTGTATGCATGCACATGCCATCCACGCCGCAATGCTGGGGCTCATGTGCTCCCTAGGCAACAGGGAGCTGAGCAAGACCCGTGGATGGTGGTGGGAGGATGGAAGGGACACTCATCACCATCCACCATGGACTCTCAAGAGAAGACTCCTGGCTGGGGCTGCCCAGAGGAGCTGCATCACATTGCATCTTATTTTGGTTGATTCCAAGAGCCTGTGTGTTTTCCACAAATACTAATTCCTTCCTCGCAGAGTTAGCTGCTTCTTTCACTCTTGGAATCTTGACTATACCAAGCACATCTTGGAGCTGATACTTTTTCCGGGGTTCTCCTGGACACACTTTCTATCCTTAGATTCATTAAAGCCAGGTCTTCCCTTCAGGGTCCCTAACTCGTTGGTTTTAGCCCTCACAGGAGGTTCACATCCTGCTGACATTGGGACCAAGAACTTGCCTGACCCCTAGAAACATTCTTTCTCTTGCTAACCTGTCATATGCCACAAAATTGGGTTTGGCATAGTTCCGCCATCTGATTGGAATGTCCTGCGGCTGCCTGCCCATCCTTCAAGGTGCAGTTAAAATGTCCAGTCTCCTTGGTGAGCCCTGCTGAGTCCCCCAAGAAACATCCCCAGTCTGTCATTCTGTCACGGTTCCACTCATGAGGGAGCCCATGACACCATCATGTGATAATCTGCAAATGTGTCCTCACATTAGAGGGTGAGTTTGATAGTGTTTGCTGAATCTAGCTGAGTGCATTGAGCAGAGTTCACCCAGTGGCTTACATGTGTAAGTCTATGAGGCAAAGGGGCACTTTCTCCCTGTCTTCTCACTTGGGGGGAGCCTGTGTTGACTGTGTTTACTTGTTAGCATGGCTACTCTGGGCCTACTCATGCTCCAATCCCCTCCCCTGTGGGAAGTTTTTCTGTCTACTCTAAAGGTGTCTTATTTTCTTTAACTTCTTTAGGGCCTCCCATCTTTGTCAGTTTTCATAGATGTTCATAACCAAAAAGGGGAAAAAACAATCCCCAACACAATTCATGTTGTCGTTAGGCATAAAAAAGGTATTTTCCAGAGAGAACTCTTCTATGCTCTGAATGTTTGTGACCCTCCAAATTTTATATGTGGAAATCTTGACCCCCAAGGTGAAGGTGGGGGCTCTTGGGAGGTGATTAGGTCATGAGGATGGAGCCCTCATGAATGGGATAGGTGTTCTTATAAAAGGCCCAAATGAGACACCTCACCCTATCTGCCATGTGAGAATAGTGACAAAATGCCATCTATGAACCAGGAAGTAGGCCCTTGCCAGATACCCAATCTGTTGATGCCTGGGGAGTGGGTTTCCAGCCTCCGGAAATATGAGAAATAAATTTCTGTTGTAAGCTACCCAGTTTATGGTATTTTGTTATAACAACCGAAACACACTAAGACAAACCTTAACTATATACACAGAAGACCTCTGAAGTCATCTAGCCAAATTCCCTCTTTCCGCAGATGAGGAAACAAAAGGTCAGATGATAGGAACCTTGTGTGATGTCAACTAGCTGCAGGTTGCTAGCAAAGAAAGTCCTATATTTCTTTAAAATGCTGTGGGACTAGTTCCTGCTCCCAGCAGTCCTGCCCTATCTGGCAGGAGCTCTTCTCAGCTCATCATAGGGATGAGCTTTGCCTCTGGAGAAGGAATTCGTGTCTCTAAACCTACTATCATTTCTCTTTCAGATCTCACCCTCCCCAGGTGGCGAGACCCCCTCTCGCCCCAGCCCCCTCCCTAGCAATGACACTGCCGTTTCCTACAGCAAGTGTAAAGCACACACAGACTCGGTTTGGGGATAGTTAATTTCCAATTCTTTCCAGATGGGTTGGAATAATATCCCCAGGTGGTAAATACATTATTAAGAAGGCAGTTTGGTGTGAAATTGGCTATTAAAATATAGATAAAGTTTAATATATTGAGCTCCTTGTCAGAAAAATCACTTTAGAGGGAGCTTATTATTTGTTTGATATTAAAAGAGTCACAGCTCTGCTCCAAGTGACAAATGGGGTCGGGGGGGGAATGCCACCGGTAATGAACAAAAGCTTTTTAACATTTAAATTTAGGTTTTTCTTGTAGCTCTGCGTGCTGCCACGAGCGTGCCTGTGTGGTACAGCCAGAGGCGGCCATCAGAAATGTCAGGAACTCCGGCGCCAAGGAGGCTGCCAGCCAGGCTGTAAACAGCTGGAGTCTCTCCAAAAGAAAAGAGCTACGAGACAGCAAAAAGTAGAGCTTCAGGTGGTTCTGTTGGCAACGTTGTGGAAAGGCGACAGGGGTCTATCTCAGGGCAGGAAGTGGAAGTTTCTCCCACCTTCTTCCAAAGTAGCCCAACCTCTACCCAAAACGCATCCCCCTCAAAGGCAGCTTGTTTCAGGAAGCCTGCTTGCACTCAGCCCACCAGACCTGGAAACCCATCTTTCCTGTGTAGACACACCGCTGAGCCAAATCTATAAAAAATGAAGTTGACAAGAAAGGAGGATATCTTAGAACTTCATTTTTGTTTTTGTTTTTTTGTTTTGAGACACAGTCTCACTCTGTTGGCCAGGCTGGAGTGTGGTGACGTGATCTCGGCTCACTGCAACCTCTGCCTCCCAGGTTCAAACAATTCTCCTGCCTCAGCCTCTTGGCTCACTACAACTTCCGCCTCCCAGGTTCAAGCACTTCTCCTGCCTCAGCCTCCCGAGTAGCTGGGATTACAGGCACGCACCACCGCACCCAACGAGTTTTTGTATTTTTAATAGAGACGGGGTTTTTCCATGTTGGCCAGGCTGATCTCGAACTCCCGTCCTCAAGCGTTCAGCCTGCCTCGGCCTCTCAAAGTGCTGGGATTACAGGCGTGAGCCACCGCGCTCATCCTGAAAGTGTGTCAGAACTTCTAAGTATAAACCTGTAGTTACAGATGTACCATACAATACCCTTGACCAAGCCAAGTACTTAGTAGGCAGTATGCCATGTTTAACAATGCCCCTCACAAGCTCTCTACTGGAGGAAATCCTTAATGTATAATTGCAGCTGGGTTTATCCTTTCTCACACTGACAAAATCCTCCAGGAAGTGTGCAGAGATCTGAAATGGAGGAGAGAAGTAATAAGGAAGGCATAGAAACCACACTCTCTTTTCATTTAAACAGTAGGCCAATGACCACAATTAGAGAAAAAAGATGTTCCTGGGAAAAAAATAATGCTAGATTGGCTTAATATGGTTTGTCCCTTCCAAATTTCATGTTGAAAGGTAATCCCCAATGTTGGAGGTGGGGCCTGGTGGGAGGTGTCTGTCTCATGGGGGCGAGTTCTTCACGAATGATCTGGTGCCATCCTCACAGTATTAAGTGAGTCCTTCTCGTATGGTTTCCTGTGAGATCCAGTTGTTTAACACAGTATGGCAGCTCCCCTGCCTCCTTTCTTGCTCCCTCTCTCGCCATGTGATACACTGCTTCCCCTTTGCCTTCCGCCATGAGTAAAATCTCCCTGAGGCCTCACTAGAAGACAGCAGATGTAGGCACCATGCTTCCTGTACAGTCTGCAGAACCATGAGCTAATTACACCTCTTTTCTTTATGGGTTACCCAGTCTCAGTTATTCCTTAATAATGATGCAAACTGACTGACACATGGTTGGACAGGGGTCTTTAAAAAGAAACAATAATAATAACTAATTAGTATGGTGTCAACAGGGTTGGAGTCCCTATTTCAAATGTTTACTACCCACATGCCTACATGCATAGGTACACACATTTACACATGTGCACACACACACAGACACACCAATGCATGGCCCCTTCCTTCCTAAGAGTGAACCTTTATAACAAAAGAACTGGTCTCTGGTTTTTAAGCTAAACTGATAGAAGGAATCTCAGCAAATGATAAAGAAGAAGGCTATGTTTTTCATCTGGATGCTATCATTGGGTGACTTTAGCATTAGTCTTTCCCTAGCACCATGGTCACTGGTTGTGATAGAACTATAGCCATAGTCCAGGCCAAGCCTTTCTTGCTAGCCAAAGCCCAGCCAATAACTGACTGTTTTCTTACCACTTGGAAAGTGGAGGAGTTATCATGTCACATATTCAGAGGGACCAATGAAGAATAAGTGGCAAAGGCCATCTGGAGTACCAGCCTTCCTGGTGTACTTCAATCAAACATTGCCCAAAGTGGAGACCAATGAGGGAACTGGGATTAAAACCCAAAGGCCTATAGATTGCCTCAGCCTCAGATCACTCAAGTATTGACCCCTT
Organism: Homo sapiens; assembly: GCF_000001405.40. Taxonomy (NCBI): domain Eukaryota; kingdom Metazoa; phylum Chordata; class Mammalia; order Primates; family Hominidae; genus Homo; species Homo sapiens. The sequence continues at coordinate 133,001,785 of NC_000011.10, forward strand.
TCTCTCAGCGGAACTCTAGGTGCACCCATGATAATTGTGCAGCAATGGCTGAGAGGGATGTGCTTGACAAAATCCTCATGATCTGGCAAGAGTATTTATTGTGAGTGCTGTTGCTTCAGTACAGAGCAGCTATTGCCATAAGTGCCTTTGTAGCTATGAGTAATAACTGTCATCTTTTAAGTGACAAGTGGCTGGAATTGAACTTAACTTTTGACAAACAGAAAGAGAGAAAACAAACACAAGTGGTTTGAAAGTGATACAATAAATAGGTCAGATGGTTAGACTGGGATTGACTCTCTTGAGATCAAGACAGGAGTTAAAAATAAAAATAAAATAAAAACAAAAGCCCTTTGCTTTTGAAAGAAGAATTCTCGGGGCCAGGAATGGATCTAGGCACTTTCCCTTAACTTATTCCACTGAATCTTCACTCAGCCTCACAAAGTTTGTACTATGGTCCCAGTTTGATGGCTAAGGAAGGTTCAACAGGGTAAGGTCACCACTCAGCTTTTCAGAGCTGCTGAGGTGCAAGACTAGACTTTCATTCCAGGTCTGTATAGACAGAAAGCACCTTGCTCAGTCCTTGCTGATTAGACAGGTGAGAATGCCTTTTCAGTTCTGCATCCATGTATTCATAAAGATCTGTGTTTGAATCCTGTCTCACCGCTTACATCCATGTCGCCCTGAGTAAGCCTCTTAACACTTTCTACCGAGGGGGTTCTTGCTTTCTTTATCTATCAAATAAGGAGGATGATGTTAGTTCTGTGTGCCCACAGGGGTAGCATGAGGATTAATAAATACAATGATGGATATAAAAGTTCTCAGTAAGCTTTAAAATGGTACTGAAATATAAGACATAATCATAAGGCTATTCTTCACCTTTAAGTGGAATTTTTTCTATAGATAATATATGTGTGGGTGTGAATGTGTATAGGGAGAAAGAGAGGAGGGAAGGAGAAGTAGAAGGAGGAAAGAGAAGAAGGACAAAGGAAAGAGAGGGGGGGGTGGGAAGAGAAGAGAGATTGATCGTAGGTTGTGTCATCAGTTGACCAATCCTATAAGACCTTTTACTCAACTTTGCACAATGCTGGGCAGTTTGGAGACTTCTTAGCACCACTTGACCTCATTTGAACTTTAGAACAACTCCAGGAATTGTAGTTCTCTTTTTCATATCAGTGGGGGGAAAAATGCAAGTTAAAAGTCACAGTGACTTTTCTGATATACCACAAAATCTTAAGTCCAATTTCTTCATTCATCTGTAAACAGCAGCATATGCCAGATATTGAAAAGAAAAACACAGCAGAAAACTTGAAGAAGATTTGCTTCATTAAGTGAATGTTTATTTAAATTGAGAAAATGTCATCAATGGTATTGTATCAGCTTCCTGTGGCTGCTATAACAAATTTCCACAAACATGGTGGCTGAAAGCAATAGAAATTTATTAGCTCATGGTTTGGAGACCAGAAGTCTGAATTCAGCATCACTGAGCCCATATCAAGTGCCTTCCTGCTCCTTCCTAAGGCTCCAGGGAAGCCTTTCTTTGCCTCTTAGAGCTCCTGCTGGCTGCCCCACCCCCTTCACTTGTGGCCACATCTCTCCAACCTTCCAGATCAGCATCTTCAAATCTCTCTCTGCTGTCTTCATCTGTGCTGTAAAATACCTCTTGGCCTCCCTTTTGTAAGGATACAAGTGACTGTATTTAGGGCCCACTCAGATAATCCAGGATGATCTCCCCATTTCAAGATCCTTCATTTAATCAATCTGTGAAGAACTTTTTGTTATAAACATTCGCAAGTTCCAGGAATTAGAAGTTGGATATTGGCTGGAGAGTACTTTTCAGATGACCACAATATTCTATTGTTTTGTGGAACATACTAAAAAAACAAACAAAATACCCAGCATTCTATTGCTTCCGGTAATGAATTAAAGTCCCTACTTCTTGAATATCTGACTTCCTGGAGGCCATGGAATAGGCTGAATTCTGAGCAGTGGATTACCCAGAGTGTTCTTTGTGCTGGGCCCAACACACAATTTCTCCAAACAGCGGATAAATGAATAATGCAGATCCTTGCCATCCACCGTGTGCCCTCGACCCCTTTTGACAGTTGTCAGGATCCCCGCCAATCCCGGTGGGGCTTCTGGTCACACAGGCTGGCAGCACCCGGCACACTGTCCCGTGGGCAGCAGATCCCTCGAGAAGTCCCTGCACCCCGAGGAAGTGGCACACGTCTCTCACCGCTCTGGAGTCAGGCGGAAATGCCAGCTGGGAAGGAGGAAGCGAAGAGGCAAAGAGCAGGGGCTGGCAGCTGTGTTCTAGCTTGGAAGGAAGTTGGACACCCACACATCTCAAAAGCGGGAGCAGGCAGCCCAGAGAGTGGGTCTCACTCCTCTGCCGTCTCATCTGAGGCCTCCTCCATCTGCCTTGCCTGAGAGTCACTTTCCATTGCCAGTGCCCCTGGGGACGTAACTGCCTCCTTAGAGGCTTGCCAGAGGAAAGCAAATGTGATTTTGCTGTAGCTGTAATTTAATTTTTATTTTATTTTGTGGGTCCTTTGGATTCCTGTAGTGTTGATGTTTTATTAATGGTTCTGCTCTCTCTTCAGAGGAAGTTGGAATCGTGTCTATCATCTGGCAATTGACAGCCAAGTCCCAGCAAGGCAGCATGTGGAGGCTGAGGTGTGCTTGGTGGAGGGGACACAGAGGCCAGTCTGAAGATGCCCTCTGCAGACGACCGAGGTCGGCCTTGGCCATGCACCTCTTGGCCGTCCTGACACTGCCTGCCAATGCCCATGCAGGCACTGCTGCTCCATGCGAAGGGTCTGCTCCTCTGATCCAGTTGCTGCCCCCACTGCTAACAGCTGCTCGGGAGGCCAGCTGGCGAGGGACCATGCCCTCGCTCTCCTTCAGGGCTTGCCTTGGTGCTAGCTGACTTTAGCTGTCTACTGAGAAGGTTCACACCGGACGCGTGGATGGACGCTGGCTCAGAAGCGAGATCACACTGCCTTCCTTCCACCACACTCCGTCTAACCTGCCCCTCTCCATCTACGGGAGTCAGTTCAAACACCATCCCCAAGACAGAAATCAACGAGCTGTGGTGTCTAGGTCCACTGTATCCCTCACTAGCTTCTGTGGACTTCTCCATTGCCTGCCCCTTCCCTCCACTGCACCGAGCTAGTCTACATCATGGTCCTTCCCACCTGGACTGCTGCACTCTTACTCCTCCCATCCCTCCTTTCTCAGCATTGGTGGCAGCCGTGAGAGCCTGGGAAGCTTTCATGAATGCCACACCCTTGCTTGGACTCCTTCATGGCTTCCCATGAAGTTTAGAATGAAATCCAAACTTAGAATGAAATCCCTGCCTGCTCCTGCACCACTGACCCTCCACCCAATCTCTCTAGCCCGGGTTTTCAGCCATATCCCCACTGCCAACCACAATTCCTGGGGAGAGACGATTTTAAAAGATTGATAGTGGAAAAAGTGCATGAATGAATCAATAGCCAGAATGAATGAATGAATGGCTAGATCCATTCCCCCACATTGCTTGGAAGTAACATGACAGTAAATGTGATGTAGACACATACAGCAAATGCCGTTTCTCAGATATCTGTCTACATTAATGCTTTTTCACCCTAACACCCATGTTCTCCTTTTCTACCCCTGCTACTCCACAGCTCTTAGGTACTAGTTTTTCTCTGTAGGGAGGTAGGGCAGGTCATATTTGGTAGAGTGAGTGCAGCTTATCTCCTCTGCATTTCCATAGCTAAGACATATTTTTGAAAAATATTTTAATATATCCCTTTCCTTAGGGACTACAGATGTTTTCCTAACCTTCACACCGCCCTTTCTGATGGCTCAGCCATCCAAGAAAAAAAAACTGTTATGCATGGATACTTATCAATATATTAAATGCATCTAATCCAGATTTTTCTTATCTTTTCTGTTAATTCTTTTTAAAAAGCTTTTCTTTCTTTTTAAAAATTGAATCACATTATTTTATGAACTCCTTCAATTAGGAGATGGGCATTTCCCTGGCCCTGGGGGAAAGAGGCTGCTCTTTGCTGCCTAGGATCTATTTTTAATTTGCACTTAATTGCAGAATCCTGGAATTTCCAATCATCCTTTGGGTTAGCTGTGGCCCTCAGACTAAATTTAGGCTCATGGATGTGTGCAGCTTCCAGGACAAGTTCTAAAAGGGAAGATGTCTCTTTTCCTTGCCCTTCTCTTTTCCTTCTGAGCGGAGTGTGGCCTTCGTAGGGAGAGCCATCCTAAGGGCGACCGGGAATGGAGTGTGCTCATAACAGTGAGACCAGGGTTTCTGGCATGGGGTCATTGTGAGACAGCCAGGTGGGAGGAGATCCCTGGAGAAGCTCCAACCTACTGAGGTCGAGCCTTGGGAAGTTCGCGCCATCTGTAGTAGGGAGGAGCCTGGCCCCTCGTCTTCCTGCGTGGAACCTGGGATTCAAGCTGCCAGTGGGAAGTGTTCTAGCAGGGACTCTGGCCTGGTGAGAGAGATTCCCTGTTTCCCTTTTTCTTCCTTTTCACCCAATAAAACCCTATCTTACTACCATTGAAATGGTCTGCAATCCTGAATTTTCTTGGCCATGGGACAAAGAACCCCATCTTTAGCTGAACTGAAAAAAAGTCCTGCAACAACTGGAAGACCTTGAATAAGTGAGCTCTTTAAAGGATCAAGAAAGAAAGTTTTATCTCCTTAATCATCATAACTTGTTTTTCAGTTACCCCAATTGTAACTAATAACTCGGGAACTTTGCACAAATTTTGCTATAGGGTGCTGTTGAAAGTTGAAAGTCGCTGGCCGAACCATGCCCCACTGGCCAGAACTATGTGAAACTCACACCATCTGGAAGGTGGTCAGTGCCCTTCCCTGATCCCACATGTCTGCCACTTCCACTTTTTCTGCTAGAATTGTTCCAGCACCTTTCTGCACTGTGAGGTGTGAACACCTAGACATTGGCCTGACAACGCCTGCCCCATGCACACAGCAGGTCCTGCCTTCCACTCTAGCAGGAGCAGTGACACCAGGGTAACTGGGCATGAAGTGCTGGCCAGGAAGGTTATATCAGAATGCAGTAGGCTCATGCTATACCTGTCATGGGGCCACCTAGGCTGGTGTAGTGCTTGTGGCATAAGCAGGAGGCCTACCTAATAAATGTCTGCAAAATACCTGAACTGTTAATCCTTCTCCCTCTAAAGCAATCATATTCACTTAATTTAAAACAGGAGAGAGGAAAGGCATGAGAAAAAAATCCTTTTCTTTCCAGACTTTGAGACCAGATGTCAAACCAGTTTAAGAGGAGACATCCCCTAGAGCTTTATTTTCCCCAAACTTATCAGGCAGCCTTACAGGTACATGCCCACAGATTGTGGCCTTGGGGACTCTGTCTCACATAGCACAGTACAACCTATTTTAGGCTTTGTTGCCCCACCCTCCGTTTATTTTAGCAATTTGTGGTTATATTCAAAATAACTGAGCTATTTATGCTGTTGCAGGATACAGCTCCATCTATAAATGACCTCAGCAGAACTCTGGATTGATTTAACCTCCCTTATCTGTGTGATTAGCTCAGCCACAGAGCAGATACTTGGTGCTTATCGCCCCATTAAAGAGTCAAAGAATGCTGTTACCAGTTTTTTATCTCCAAAATGCACACAAAGCCCTGCTGATTATTCTATTAATTTGTTAATGAACCTGTCCTTAGACAGAATCTCTGTTCCTTTGGAAGGCAGGGTGGGGAACTGAGCATTCAAAGGTGTTTGAGCCTTCAGAGGTAAAACTTAAAACTCTAGAATTGCTTGTAGAAGCTGGGATGCACATGCTTATTTTTATTTTGCATTTTTATTCTCTTTCAGTCTTTTATTGAAATAATAGGCACACAGAGAGATGAAGAAATTAAGCCAGAAAAAGTTCAGTGTCTGATGGAAGCAGACCCAGGCCCACACAGAGTGGTGAAAAGACGCAGGCATAGACATTTTGAATAGTTAGCACATGTATCATATCTCCTTGTGGCGGGATCACTCAGCTTTTTGCAGTTGATACACGGATGGCAATTTTAGAACAAAAGATTGTGGGGAAAATGGTTTATGCTTTTCTTGGATATGTTGTCCTGCATTTGAGGTCCATTGTGCATTTATGTTTTATATATTCACAGACATGCAGAGAATTCCATGAGGACAGGCACATGTCTGCATATGCTTCAAGTGCATTGCAGGTGCTGTGTCAAGAGAGCTGTCTCATTGTTGAGATCTTGCTGTACGGCTACTTGCATTGGAAGCTCTTGGATTCTCCAAGGTTTTCACCTTCTACTATGGATCTTCAGTTCTCCAAGCCTCTTGGGCAGAAAGATGGCTTTAAAATAACATCAGTGACCAAGAACCCTTGGGTCATTCCATTGGCTACAGAATTAAGCTCAGACCCTACACAGTGTTGGCCACTTGTGACTTAGTAGAGCAAGAAATTGGGTGAATCATAGAGAGTTGACAATCAATTGTGGTGCATAACTACTGCCTGGTAAACAACTAAAATGAAAATGGGAAAGAGACCTGAAAGGAATATGTTCCTTCAAAATCAGAGCACAATTTCAGAGGACATCCGAGATTGTGCTCAGGAGGTCCTTTTCTGATTTTTTTCTTTTTCTGATTGTGGTAGATGCCATGATGCAGTCCCCAGATTCCCTTTGGGAGAGAAGAACGTATTTCTCCAGGTGCCAGGAATATTCGCTGTGGAAGGCTCCCAGCTGAGCCTCTCTCTGGGAACTGCCCTCAGTGGACAAAAGCTGCCTCATTCGAGGTCACTCCACTTTACAGGGACAGCCCACTTCTAGGACTAGGGCTATATGGGAGTGGAAGGATCTGTCATCCTCCCTTTGTTTGGTGGCAACTTTGAAGGCCATTGCTGCACCAGAATCTCCACAGGACTGACTGAGGCCTCTGATATGACTGCAACAATGTCCACTATTCCTTTCAGCCAATTCTGATCCACTTCCTGTTCATAGGTGTTCTTCCTGACAGTACTCCCTAATGCACTTTCTGAACAAAAGTCTCCATCTGAGAGTCAATTTTCATGGAGCCCAACCTAATATATCTGGTCATATGAGTGATCTGCACATAAACACACCTGATTAAGGAGTCACAGCAAGAAGACTGAGCAATTTTCTACATTACTGAGGAGATTAGCATGGACATGGACTGACATGGATTAATCTCTATTTGACATCTGTTTCAAGTTTTGATTACTTAAACATATTTACTCTTCCAGATTACTTAAGTCTACATGTATGGGCAGGTTTAGTGAGATTAAATGCATTCTTTAATTCTATTTAACAGAGAACACTGATTTAGATTAGGATTTATTTACTCTTTGTCCTTTCAAGAAAAATACACATTGTCTCTAACATATGTAGATATAGTCCCTGATCTCAGGGAACTTCAAGTGTTGCAAGAAAACGGACATAAATACTTGCTTGTTAAAATGCAATGGTACATATTTGGAAGAGCTGGCTAAGGTAACAAAACAACAGAATCTAGAATAAAAAAGATGTTCACAGTCTGTTCAAATATAACAACAAGTTAATATTTCCAGGAACATATTTAGGAAGTCTGGCACTTTTGTTCCTAAAATCAACTGTACTGATACAAGATTGATCGACCTAACTTAGGAGTCAAGTTCAAAGAACCTAGGCAGTTTAATTCAGTAGCCATATAGTATTCAGACCAAGTGAAACATTAGTCCACTCTATACTCTACAAGTTGGACAGTAGAAAGCAGCATTCCCCAATCTTTCTGGCACAAGGGACTGGTTTCATGGAAGACAGTTTTCCTATGAATGGGGTGGGTGCGGAGAATGAAACCGCACCACCTCAGATCATCAGGCATTAGTTAGATTCTCATAAGGAGCACAGACTAGGTCCCTCACATGCGTAATTCACAGCAGGGTTTGTGCTCCTATGAGAATCTAATGCCGCCTCTGATCTGACAGGAGATGGGGCGCAGGCGGTAATGCTCACTGCTGGCCACTCACCTTCTGCTGTGTGGCCCAGTTCCTAACAGGGCATGGACTGGTATTGGTCCACAGCCCAGAGGTTGGGGACCCCTGGGATATCTACTGTCTTCAGTTCTAGATGCCATTAGAAAGCATTCAGAGGAGAATGCCCAGAATGGTAAGAGGTCAGAAATTCAGTTATTTGAGGAACCCTTGAAAGTCTCGCCTCCCCCTAGTCCCTTTTCATATCCAGCAATACAACCAAAGAGTTTCCCACAGCTGAGCTCTTCTTGGGATGCCTTTGCATTTTGAATCCCTACTGTCCTGTCCACTCTTCAAGGAGCAGCTCAGAAGTCTCCTCCATAGTGAGCCCAACCCTCCACTTGGGAGTTGGCTTTATGGGGAGCAGTTTGCTCACATCTCTGTCACAGCTCCCGTCCTTCTTTCTGCTCTTGCTGTGGCAATCTACAAGAGGGCTGCCAGGGATCAGAGCTTTGTCATTCCAGCATCTAGCAGAATGTTTGCTATACAGAAAGTGTTTGTCATTATTAGATAAATGGATAATTTGTGAATAAATGGGTGAACAAATGAATGTGCAAATCCTAAATGCAAGAGGAGGCAGCTTGGAAGTGAGAACACTTGTAAGAGGTGGAAGAGTCTTCAGATATTTAAAGCATTATTAAAATATTCTTGTAACACAACAAAGAAATACAGTCTGGATCATAGCTTTATGGAGTGAATCTGTAATTAACTTAATAACTGTGACCAAAAGTTTTTGATTAATGAATTAGTGGTGATATGGAAGGAAGTCTTTAGTGATAACTTTAAGATTCTATCTTTAGCCTTATCCTTTTTAATATTTCTATCAATGTGTTGAATAAAGATATAAAAAGCATAATTATAAAAAAGTAGGGATGATAAGAAGCCAAGTGAAATAGTAAATAAATTGGAAGATTAAAAGCAGGATGCAAGAATATCTCGAGAAGCTAGAATTATGAGCTGGTCTTGCCAAGTTGATATTCAAGGGAGAAAAATAAAAAGCCATGCCACCAAATCCTGAAATAACTGTAAAATAGAAGATGAGGAACATGAAGCTTAACTCCAGCTTTTGTAACAATCAACAGGGAATTTATTTGTGTGTAAGTTCGTAATAAGTTCACATAATCAAACAGCTTGAAACAAAGTTAACCCAAACTTAGGAAACATAATTGGTAGTACACTATCTGGAATTTTTTTAGAAAGATGTAGGTAAACTGTTGCAAGTTGTATTCACAGCAGTACAAGCAAGCCCGGCAAGAGTTCTTAAAACCATGTTATTTAAGAAAATAAGAATCTGGCAGGGTAAACATGGAGACAAGAATATTCAACAGAGACCTTGTCTATGGCTAAATCAAGCAGAGCTGAAAAATTTGTGTCAAGCACATGGGATCAGGCCCTTTCTATGGAGTCTAAGTGGCAGCATGACTCTTGAGAGCAGTACATACAGAGGACCTGATTTCAACTTCCACAGAAGAAGAAATTCTTAGTCACAGTTATTCAGAATAGTGAGGGCCAGTGTGAGAGAAGTGAGCCCCATGATCCCTGGTTACTGCAGGTGTTGAGGCTGCAACCTTGAATAATACCCACGGGGAACCCTCTGGTGTAGATTCATGTATTGCATAGATAATTGGAGTCAATGACCTTTTAGGTTCCCGAGATTCCATGATTTTACCCAGAGTTGACATGCTATAAAACTCCAGAAGGCAGGACTATGCTCAATTTAAGGAAAAACTTTCTAAAATTAAAGTTATTTAAAAACTGAATGAACAGTGGTTTCTCTTTTTTTTTTTTCCAGGTATATTGTTTTAATAGTGATCCTTGTATTTGTTAGGAAGCTGGAGTCAATTATCTTTACAGTCCCTTCAACATCCAACATTATGGGGTAAAGCGGGAAGACAGGCAGTCAGGAGCCATTGGTTATAGTCCAAGCTCTGATAGAAGTTGGCAAGTCATTTAACCACACCTAGCCCAGTGAGCTTATCTGCAAATAGGGCTAACGTTATCTCTTCTGCAAATAGCATGCATTGAAAGGCTCTAGAAAAGTTGACTAAGTATACTAGAAGATTAATGTGTTCTTGGCATGGTTGCTAGTGCTGCCATTGTAGGTCAAAAACAGCCACAGACAGTTTGTAAACAAATAAATATAGCTATGTTCTGTTATAGTCTTATTTACAAAACAAATGGCTGACTGTGTTTGGATCATGAGCTATAGTTTGCTCACTCTTGGTCTAAAAAAATGGTTCTCTACTGGGGACAATTTTACTTAACAGGGGACATTGGGCAATGCCTGAAGATATTTTTTGTTGTCACGGCTCCGGAGGGGGCACGGTATTATTTTATTGACATTTAGGGGTTTGAGGTTAGGGATGAAGATAAACATCCCATAATACATAGGACAGCCTTCCTCAACAAAGAATCATCTGGACAGAAATGTCAATAGTGTCAAGGTCGGGAAAACCTGGCGTAGACAAGGAAAACTATTATTTGTGCTTATCCAAGGTCCTTAGCAACAAATTCAACCTCCTGTTGGCTTTTCTAGTACAAACTACAGAACTCTAGAAGATTGGGATTGGAAGCGGTTGGAAAACAAAGAGGGGGAATGTGAATCTCTCTTAATTCGAATCAACTGTAAAACAACACACCTTCCTCAAAGAAGTTTTATTTTCTTTAATAATGGTGTTGCACATGACAGAAACTCAACTCATAGTTTAGATTAGATTAAAAGCAAAAGTGAATTGAGATATTTTCTAATGCTAAAAAATAAACTCTGTCTGGGCCGGACACGGTGGCTCACACCTGTAATCCCAGCACTTTGGGAGGCCGAGGTGGGTGGATCACCTGAGGTCAGGAGTTCAAGACCAGCCTGACCAACATGGAGAAACCCCATCTCTACTAAAAATACAAAATTAGACGGGCATGGTGGCACATGCCTGTAATCCCAGCTACTCGGGAGGCTGAGGCAGGAGAATCACTTGAACCAGGGAGGTGGAGGTTGCGGCGAGATCGCACCATTGCACTCCAGCCTAGGCAACAGCAGTGAAACTCCATCTCAAAAAAAAAAAAAAAAAGAAAAAAATCAGTCTGTACTTGGACTTTCCCACAGCATCCTGGATATTTCTAGCATTCTACTCAGACTTTCAATGGCTCCCTTCCCAAAGGACTTTGCACATCTAAACTGGTCTGGCACCTCTCATGGGACTTGGCACCAGAGTTATTTAATTACCCCCTCATTCTGCAACAAGAAAACAAGGAGAAGTTATGTAACTGATTCTTGGTCACTTGATTATGTAGTGGTAGAACTCATACTAGGACCATTTTTCCGGTGGAGCCCACTTAACTTGCTGCACCATGTGGGCTCTGTTTTACAGAGAAAAAGGCAGTTCATTTTTTCCAGGTAAAACCTCTCCTGGATTTAAAAAACACAAGAACATTTTCTTTTTTTAACCTATGTCACTTTTTGGTTGGTGTACAATATTTCAAAAATGAAATGTTTAAAATAATGCAATGAATTCAAAAGACTAGTTCAAACAATGCACATATCCAATTTATGCCAGTCCTACAATAAGGCAAAATTTTATTAAATGAAACTCAGTACCGCATATCATATTTAAGTATTCTTATAAAGGTTTATTTAAACATTTTCTTTGAAGAGGAAGTATTTAAGGATGATAAAGATAATTACTCATCATAAGCATAATGGTCCACTTGACAGAAATTAAATGTAAGGATAACTTTTAATAAAAATTAAGCATTAGAAACCTCTCTTCTACCACTCTGGTTTGTAATGTATTTTTAGGAAGATGGTCAAAAGTGCCACTTATTCTACCGCCTCATAACGCCACACTCAACAGTGTATAGTCAGGCTCTTCTGTATTACGTAGGACAGTAAGTGAAGGAGAGCCCTGTATCCCACTGAATCCTCAAGGTGGGATTTATTTGTACCTGCTGCAGGTGATGAACTGGTCTAGGGCCAGTGTCAGAGAAGCACAGTGCTATAATCAATTCCAATTCTCACCTGTTAGGCTGGGTAAGAGACCAAAATTTGCCACCTCAGAATATGAAGAATTGTTGAGCTGAAGACAATTAAGAGGAAGCAGATGCACGACAGCTCTGTGCCCTGCCTCTATTTGCTTAAAAGTAGGACATAGATTTACAAAGACAAAAGGAACCCTGCTCCTCCTCCCACCACCACCGCTAGGAAGAATGAAGGTTAACCACTGAAGACAACTTTACATTCTTATCTACTGGAGATGATACCCAAGGACTCCACATGAACAAGCTTTACTAACTGGCCTTTATCTGCCAGTTATTTGCCTGCCCACAAATTGTTGCCCCTAGAGAATCAAAGTCCTTTCCCATTATCTTGTTGCTTCTCTAAAAACTAACTGTTCTTGAAGATGCTATGTAAGTTGGAATTCAAAAGCCACCTCTTGGAGAACTGCTCATTCCCTAAGTGGCTCTCGTGTGCATATGAAATGCACATGTTGTTAAGCTGCTTGTTTTTTTTTTCCTGTTAGTCTGTCTTTTGTTATAGGGATCTGTTTCAACTAAGAACCTATGGGGATTGAAGAAAAAAATTATTGTTCTCCCCTACGGTTGCAAGATATTCTGTGCCTGCTGCTTCTACATCTCAAGATGATGTTTCCACTACAGGCTCCTTCCCCATGAAGGAAGGGCAGGGCAGCGCTAAAGGTCTCACGGCTCACTCAAGTATCACTAGCCATCTGTCAGCAGAGTCCAGAGGCTGTGGCCGAGACTGTATGTCCATGCAGGAGACAGTCCTTTGCCTTCATTCGGTGATGCATTCAATGTCCTCCTACAGTGAGGTACAGGCTCTGCTCTGTCCTGGGGAGACAAGCTGCAAGCTTGCATTTGCATGAGAACAACATGTGGCCCAGCAGAAGGAGAGAGAAAGAAGTAAACAGTTTTAATCTGAACTGAACACAAATATTTCTCAGGCTAGACATTTTGAACATTGGTCATAGCCAGTTTATCTAAGTCTCAAGCCCTCTCTCTCTTCTCCAACCCACATCTACTGTCCTAGTATTGGTGCCGTATTTTCTATTAAGAGAACTCTTGCATAATTCTCCCAAATTCCCACAGACAGAAGAATAGAGGAATGAAGAAATTTATCAGTGTGTACCCTCAATGGAATAACGTCCAGCAATCGAAATGGATGAAATGCATCTACAGGCAACTCATAGGATTAAAGTTAGCAAACACAGTTACAAATACAAAAGAGTACAAACAGCATAATGTTCTCTTCTAAATTAAAGAAAAGAAACCTAAACAATATACAGGTAATAAATTTACATAGATCTGACAATACCAGATAGATAGGCAGGTTGGAAAATAGATTGATTGATAGAGTGATAGATCAATTGATCAATAGATAAGGGATAAAAGAGGGAGGACACACACTAGTAGATGTAAATCATCAGTGTTTTGGCTTCTGTGTTGGGTAGAGTGTTAGAAAGTATGCGTTGTATTATGAAGAAAGAAAGGAAAAAAAGAAGGAAGGGAGGGAGGGAGGGAGGAAGGAAGGGAGGAATGAAGGAAGGAAGGAAGGAAGGAATGAAGGAAGGAAGGAAGGAAGGAAGGAAGGAAGGAATGAAGGAAGGAAGGAAGGAAGGAATGAAGGAAGGAAGGAAGGAAGGAATGAAGGAAGGAAGGAAGGAAAGAAAGTCATTGCACATAACAGTCATGAGAATGTGACATGAACCCATAATTATACTTAATCCAATTCTGTGTGCCTGAAGGCCAAGTAGAAAAACAAATGTGACTAGTCACACTCCTGCTTACCAACACCTAGGACTCCCTATCACCAAAGCAAGATATTGCCCAATTTTTTTGGCATGCAGTGAAAAATCCTTCCACATACTGACTGTTGCCTGACTTTCCAAAATCATCTCTGGTCACCGTTCATGTATTACAAACTCCAGCTGCAACTGATCTTGGCTCCTCTTCCCCACTTGTAACAAACACCTCCAGACCACTCTGCCCTTGCTCCTGCTGTTTCCTCCTACAATATCCTCCCCATCCCTAACAAATCCTATGCCTCCTCCAAGACCCAGCCCACCCATCACTCTCTCTGAGACAGCTTTGCTGAGCTCCCTTCACCCCTAGCATACCAAGCAAGAATGAACCCTTTTCCATATCCAAGGCTCCTTGTGCCCATCCCTTTAACAAATACTTACATATTAATTGGCTGTACATCCTCAGCCTCTCTTGTTTGTGAGATCCGAAAGGACAGGGCTCTATTTTCTTCATTTGGTATTTCTGAAGTGTAGTCATTTTCTATCGTTGTATAAGAAATTACCAAAAATGTAGTGCTTAGAACAGTTTATTATCTCAAAGTGTGTAGGTCAGAAGCCCCGTGGGCTCGGCTAGGTTCTCTGTTTTGGGCCTCACGAGGTTGAAGTCAAGGGGTCAAACAGCCTGGATTCCTATTTGGGGCCCCTGCAGAAGATCTGCTTCACACTTTCTTAAGCTCGTTGATTGAATTCACTTCCTTGGAGTTGTGGGACTGAAGTCCTTGATTCCTTGATGGCTATTGACCATGGGCTGCTCATGGACATTCCTTGATATGGGCTCCCTTCGTCTTCAAAGCCAGCAAAGGCCTGTCAATTCCTCCTGCTACTTTGACTCTCTTTGATGTCCCTTTCTGTCATCAGCTGGAGAAAGTTTCTTGCTTTTAAGGGTTCCTATGATGACACTGAGCCCACTTGGATAATCCAGGATGTTCATCCTATTTCAAGGTCAACTGTGCATTAGAACATAATATAATCAGAGTGATAGCTCATTATATTCACAGGTACCTGGAGTTAGGACGGGCATCTTTAGAAGACCATTTTAGAAACTTTGCCTGCCATATTCAGTGTGTACCACAGTTAATAAAAAGGAGAGAGAGAAGGGATGTCTCCACAGCTTATTTCAGTACTTTCCACTGGTCCCACATGTGCACACAAACATCCTCACAGGCAACCACAAACATATAACATCCTGGAAATTCAGGCCCACTCTGCTCGTTTATAATGAGGCCTATGTTCTTGGTCCAAGGAGGTATTGGAAAAATGTCCTCAGAAAAGACTAGGCCCAACTTTAGGTCTAATAAGTCAGAATCTTTGAGGGTAATGCTCTGAAATATGTGTTTTTAACAAGCTGTAACTTTTCTCAGGCTGTGAACTGGATGGCTTACACAATAAACATTGATTTTTCACAGTTCTGGAGGTTGGAATTCTAAGACCAAGGTGCCTGCAGGGTTGGATTCTTGGTAAGGGCTCTCTTCTTGGCTTACAGATAGCCATCATCTTTCTGTGTCCTCACGTGGCAGAAAGAAGACACTAACTGATTTTCTGCCTCTTCTTTTATAAGCGCACTAATCCCATTTGTGAGAGCTCTGCCCTCACAACTTAATCACCTCCCAAAGGCTCTTCCTTCTAACATCATCACACCTGGACTAGGGGTTCAACATGTGATATCTGGGGGAATACAGTCTGTCCAGGTATTACTCCCTAGGTAATTCTTAGGTAATTTAATGTTTGAGAACCACCATCGAGACCCCTCTTTTCCTTTTATTTATTTATTTTTTTTTTTGAGATGAAGTCTCGCTCTGTCACCCAGGCTGGAGTGCAATAGCGCAATCTTGGCTCACCACAACCTCCGCCTCCTGGGTTCAAGCAATTCTCCTGCCTCAGCCTCCCAAGTAGCTGGGATTACAGGCATGCACCCAGCTAATTTTGTATTTTTAGTAGAGACAGGGTTTCTCCATGTGGGTCAGGCTGGTCTCGAACTCCCGATCTCAGGTGATCTGCCCTCCTCGGCCTCCCAAACTGCTGAGATTACAGGCATGAGCCACTGCGCCTGGCTTCTTCTTTAGATTATAGTTTATATCTTTGATGCTTATTTATGATACAGATGCTCATTATACTCAAATTCCAGCAGAAAGCTGAGTCCACCAGTCTCAATGCTTGCTAGCAATTGGAGGAATAGTAACATACACACTCTAGGAGTGATCAAGGAATAGCTGACCAGCAGTCGTTTTCAATGTCAGTCTTCAGTTTTGCAGAAACTGTACAACTGGTGCAAAGAAAGATCTGGCTTTCTGTGGCACGGGTTGCAGCCCCCTTGCCTCCTGAGCATTTTTTTCTGAAGACCCTTCCTTGGTAGCGCTCTGGGAGCATGGGATCAGCCCTTGATACCTGCAGCCACTGCGAGAGGGCTGTACAGGCAGGCAGGAAGGTGTCTTCTCAAGGGTGGGGATCTCTCTTGGCTGTGAGACTGTGTTCCTGCCATAGTTTTCCTTTGGGTTAAAAGTAATCTCTCTCTTATTTAAGAGTCTGATAGCTAGGGTTGTTACTTTCCTTTTGAAAAACCCATTAAGGAACAGAAAACATAATTCATCTGGAGCAAAGAAATTGGCCCCCTATTAAAATGTACATTGAATAGAGAAACTTCTGGGGCCAAAAATGGATGCAGAAGATAGAAAGTGCAGTATATATGTATGTATGTAGATACGTGTGTGTGCATATTCTTTCTCCTCTTTTGTCCTTTTTACTTCTTTTTCCCCTCCTTTTTATTCTTCCTTTCCTTCTCTCTTTTCTTTTCCCCTTTTGAAACGTGGCCAGCCAGAACAGGTACAACACCCCCAGAAACACTACTACCAGCCTCCTCTCCAAAATGCACATCAATTCAGACGTGCCCTTTTGTAGATCGGAAAATCCGACCCCCTTTTGAAGCCAGATGGCCAATGAGATGGGAGGAAAAGGGACCTGAATTGTGCTCCGCGCTGTATTTAGAGGTCAGCCAGTCCATTGTGCGGTTGCTGGTTTCACACCAGCCCTTGAGAAGCCGTTCAGTATAAAGAGCTCCGACTGGGCTTGTGCTGGAAACAGCCTCTTCCTGATCCCAGAGGGCAAGAATGTGCCGGGGCACACAGCATCACCTATGGCCCCGTGTACCCCGAGGCACACGCTGTGTCGTCCCCCCAGCAACATGCCTCAAAGGCGGCCGCAGCTGATGCGGCTTCACCAGGGTCAGCCCTTAAATGAGGACTGACAAAACCAAAGCTCTGTGTGCCGCTCCCATGAGCCACAGGGATGATACTGAGACACTGACTCTGCTCCTGCTTTTTCAGTTGTGGAGTGAGCTTGAACAGAGTCCCAAATCCCCTGTGCTCACCTACAATCCTCACATTCTCTGGGCTTTGTTCTCAAAGATGATGTTACTGTGAGTGATTATGATCTCTGCAGGCTGGTGAGACAAAAGAGACCAGAGCAGGACTGTCTTGCTTTTGTTTCCTGGACACATGACACCTGGCCTGTGGATTGTGGCTTTGGTTGCCTTTTGAAAAGCCAGGCTAAGAAGAACCCAAGTAGTGGACTCCCATTTGCAAGACAGTGACATAAAGCTGCAGACCAGACTGCAGTAGAACCACCACATGGGAGAAGTTCTTGTGTCCTTCAGGATTTGAAAAGGAACTCCAGGTACCTGAGTGATGTTTGGGTGAAACCAGAGATAAGATAGTTGAGGCCCAGCCCCAAGGTGACCTCTGAACCAGTCCCCTCCAGTGAGCAGAGAGAAGTGAGGTCAGGCGGCCCCTTCTCCATGTCTCTCCATGCGGACACCACTTGATATTTGAATCTAAAGGTTAATTAAGTGCAGCTGCCAGGCAGAAAGACCACAATCAATTATCATGTCTTCTTGTCCATTTCAGCCTATTCTTAATTATGTTCATTGGGTTTGGGGAAGAAGGTCTTTCAGCTAAGTTTTAGAAAAAAGGAGCTATTTTGTTTTGAACAGAGAGATCTCCCTTCCTAGACTACAACATCTATCTTCATCAACCCACGGTGTTCCATGGGCTTGTTTGTCACAGGAAAGGGGCACTGGGCAGAGTACCATGGAGAGCATCCCTGGGTATCCCTATGGGCACAGAGTGAAGCGCGCATATGCCAGGGCTTCCTTCTAGGAATTCCTTGACAGGAAGGGCCACTCCTGGTGCAACCACTGAAAACCCAGTGTCATTCTCCGGAATTGCCCTCCTATGAAGCCCAGGCCCACGTACCAGCTGAGGGTCCACTCAACCACACGCACACAGGCATGCTCCCCAGTGCACACATGCACATGCTGACCCTTTGTCATAATTAACTATTTAAAATTCCACTGCTGCTAATCGAAGCAGCACGGCTGTGTTCTCATTAAGGAGATCAATTCCTGTTGAATATTCACCTCCAGGGGCGGATGCGGTCGGAATGAGCTGAGGGTTTCTGTCTAGCTCGCCAGAGCTAATGAGTGGCTGCTGCCATTACAATGCAGTCACTCGCCTGTAATCAGTCAAAATAACAAGCAGTAGCTCCTTGCAGGGCTGCTGGGTATTCTACATAAATATACGTAGAAAGACAGTTTCAGCAGAAATGGTCGGCCCATCTCAATGAGGCAGGCCTGAGGTGTGGCCTCCCTGGATTGCAATGGATTGCAAGCCCGCCTCAGCTGGACTGTGCTTCCTTCTCCATCTGTCTTCCCTCCCTTTCACCCACAGACACGCTGCATGGCTGTCTGCTACAGCCCACTTCAACCCCTCTGAATATCTTTAACCCAACTTGTTTCTATTTTTTAGTCTCTACTTCAAGTGGATTATCCCAGTTCAGAAGCCTCCTGAGACATTGGCTCAGCACTGAGAGGAGCAGAGGGCCAGTGGCTTTGGAAGCAGTTTAGGTAGTGGCTCCATCTCTCCTGAGCTGTCTGTACTGCAGAGCAGGCAGCTGGGATCCTGTCTCTTCCTTTCCTTTTCTGGGAACTCAGGATTAGAGAAAAAGTGAGTAAAGAGGGGGGATTTTCAAGATGGATCAAAATAAGCTGACACAAGTCAGTTCTTGGCTGATACCTGCACACACGAGAGAGTAATGTTTCTGAGCTATGGGATAAGACCAATTTCATGTTCAAAAAAATGACTTAATGGTGTAGAAAAGCAATGATTTTCTTTTAATATTTAGTTTGGTACACGCCAATTAAAACAAATCTCAGTAAGAAACTTTTTTTTTCTATGTTTTTTGGAAAATCTTACAAGAGTGACCTTGGCAAAGAATGGATTTTAATTTTTTTCTCCTTCCCACTTGGCATACATAGACTCTCAGAGACTTTTAACTGATCAATGCATATGACAAGACAGGCCATTTAACCTAAGACACACATGCACCCTGGCTCATTCATTGATGTATTCATTTCTGTGTTTATTGTAGAGGTCTCCCACTCCTTACTTCATTCCTTCAGCCATTCAGGAGACATTTATCAAGCATTCCCATGGACCAGACACTGAATTAGGCATCAAGATGACATGGTCCTTGTGAAGCTTTGAGTCTTGTAAGAGGATACATACAGGTAAGAGAATGAACACAATGCAGTGTGGAGGTCATTGACTTCTGATGGTGAAATGTTTTTGCCCAATTTTTTAGGCGAGAGCATTTTCTTAGAAATAACTCCTAAGTCCAGACAGGAAAGAAACTTGTTTTCATGAACAGCCCACCTCAAACGTCAAGTGGACACCCCAGGAGAGAGCCCCCAGGGTACGCTTCTATTCAAGGAGATCTGTTTCATAATCCAACTTTTCTGTGATACACCCCAGTTCACAAGCCGAAGACACATTTGTTCTGTGTGGTCAGCATGGTTGTACGTAAGGCTTTCTCAACGGCAATGAGCTTTGCTGCATCAGCTGGAGACAGGATAATCAAGTGGGCAGGGAGTACACGGCTTCCTCCTGTGCTACGGGCAGGAGGGAGACACTTGCTCACTTAAAGGTATGAGCCACATGTTATTGAAGAAAAAGTGGCAATAAGGGGATGTCATTTCTAATCTTGTCCCAGCATTCCAGCTCACCCATCCTGTGATCCTTATCAGTCATTAGAGAAGGTAATTAAGCCAGTGTCTTGCTCACACCGCCAATACTGAGCTGGTCGAAAATAATCTGCACCCAGTGAGCACAGCAAATTAGCACACCCTCAATCGTTGGCATCAGGGGACATTTAAGCTCCACTTGCCTGTGACACGGCAGTGTGCTGAGCCCCGTGCTACAGAGCAAAGCAGACTGGATGCTCAGTCTTTAAGGGGCTGCTTTCTAAGCACATGCAGTGATCTGAATACACATGGATAGGTCAAACAGAAGGAAAGTAAAACCATTAAGTTAAGTCCTGAATGAGAGAAAGGGACTGACACCCTACAAGGTATTCAGCCAGTGGCTTGCTTGGGGTGGGAAGAATCTGGGTTTCTACTTCGCAGTAGGGCCTGAGGAACTCACCATGTGATCTTTGGTTATGAGTGAAGGGGCTGGCAATTTTCTGCTGATGGAGATGACACATTTTTCTGGAGATAGTGGAGTTTCAGAAGATGTCCAAATGATGAGAAAAATGACTTCACACAGTAAACACTTGAAATAACCTATGAGTCCCGATGGCACACTCTTGTGAAGGGAAACTTGATGGATGAACTCACTGTTCTTTCCCACTCATGCCTTTCTTCTGTTTTTTATTTTACTTTTTAACCAATCAACACATTAAACATGTAGATTTAGATATACAACTGCAGTTTCGTTACATGGATAGACAGTGTAGTGGTGAAATCTGGGCTTTCAGTGTGACCATCACGCAAATGGTGAGCATTTTACCCAATAGGTGTTTTTTTTTTTTCTGCTTTTATCCCTCACCTCCCTCACACCCTCCCGTCTTTTGCTGTCTCCAGTGGCTCTTATTCCACTGTCTGCACATATGTACTCATTCCAACGCATTTTTTAATATCTGTAATGTGCCACCCAACCAAGGTGGAACAGAAGTCCAGATAAATATTCATCATAGGGGGTTCAAAGATGGACCTCTGCTTTTTGGATGGGGTTTTGGTGACGCACCATGGAAAAATATCATCCGTGGAATAATAACAGGAAGCCACTAAGCCAAAGTCACACAATCGATAAGTGGCAAAGAGACCTAACCTAAACTAATCCTTCCCTTCAAAGCTTACCCATTAATTCCAGAGAGTCAGACCATCATATTTTCCTTTTGCAATTAAGAGAGGAAACAGGAGCATTGGAGAGGAAATGCTTGGAATCATGGGCTCTTGCTAGCAATACAGGGAATGCTTTTGCTGCTGAGCCTGCTCATGGGGAAAGGCAGGCGAATATTTGTACACGCATTACACCCATTGGCCTTATCTCATGCATTTTGGCATCTTCATTGTTTGGAAGGGGAGCAATGAAACACTGTTCTCAGATGAGTTAGCTCTTTAACATAAACCTGCTTGCTCTATTGCAACCCCGACCTGGTGCAACAGTTGTAGGACTCAGTGCCATAAGCAGGTGCAGAGCCCTTCAAACATTGGTGAGTGTTAGGTCAAAGGGCTTAGCCCCACTCCAATCTAGTTCCCTGTAATTATCTGCTTAAAATAGCTTTGGCTGTCCATTGACTTCCTCCTGGTGTCCCAAGCTGCAGTGCAGCCAAGCAGTACAGCTAGACAACCGCTGCGTTTTGCCTGCGGGTTGTGTGATGGATTTCTCCATACAGCATCATTACGTCCGCTAAGCACTTCACGATGCTCGGGGATGAAAGGAGTTATAAATGAAAGATATTATTATTAATAAGAATGTAGATGAACAAAGGGAAAATGTACTCACCCTCACTATCCATCACCTTACCACACTTCACCTAAAGACCATGATCTGCTGGAGCCTCAAGGAAAGCCTATTTGCAGAAATCAATAACTGGTTTTAAAAAATAGATCTAGGCTCCGCTGGAGCTGACTACTCAGGGACTTCTCATAATTCTACGCAACAGTCAATATTAGCCATCACTGCCTCAAATAAAGATTGAATTCAAATTTAGTTAAGAGTAGTTTTGTATGATAATCTACCAAGTGATTATTAAATGTATTTACAGAGGGTTTTAAAAATAGGCTGTGGGAGAAAATAAAAGAAAACAAAAAGCCTGCCTGAGTCTACTTGATGTGAGCTACGAGGCTGACTCATAGTGATGGACTCACATTAGCTTGGTTTGCCTGCTTTAATAAAATTAACACTTGGGGAAATCGAGTTTCATTCTGTGGGTGGCAGGAAGCATTTCCATTCTATGCATCATAAGGTGAAGGAAGAATAACAGTCACTGAGCAGCCAGCAGCATGGATCAGACCCTCACCCTGCACAGAGGCCCAGAGCTAATTGTTGCGCAGAAAGTGGAGTTGGGTTTTATTACGTATTTCACAGGAAGTGCTAGACAGCTCCCTCCCATGTGATCATTATGGTCCATGGAGAAACTAAGGCAAATGCCAGTTTACCTGAGCATATGTTACAGACATGCATAAAAACAGGGGACATTTCAACACTGTTTTCCTGGAGACAGCGAGTAGGAAGGAGGATTCATCAGACCAACCTCAGGCAGGTTGGTGGGGGGCTGGGGTGAGAAGCGAAGAAAAAGCTTCTAGAGCAAGCGTGTTGTGCAGTGTTGATGGAAGTTGGGAGCATGCTCTGGGAAGGAAGTGCGTTCTTTACAGGTGAAACAGCACACGTGTCCATTGAACTTAACTCATTAGGATGGAGACCTCTGGAGAGATTTAGACATGGAGGAATTGTAGGTCAAGCACACACAGGAAGAAGAGAAGCAGCTGCTCACACAGCAGAGGGGCAGGTTTCACGGGTAATGAGATGTAGAGTTTAAGAAACGCTTATTGCCTGCTGTAATATACCCTTTGCACGTAATTCATGTACAACAAAGAACTACACAGGGATTTTTGCCCTGTGAATATTTAATTGCAACTTGCAAAACATGTCAAGCAAGTCTCAGACTTTCCCTGGACAATTTTGACAGTGGTGAAGATGTTTGGTCTATGAAAGTGGTGGGGGATGGGGAGGTTCTTAACGTATGCATCTTTGCCAGCCCTCGCGCTTTTGAATATGGGTTAATAAGGGCATTTTGTGGAAGACTTGGAGTGTAAAATGACTCTCCCAGGACTCAGTTCTATCACTGCCTGGGTGACCTGGTGAGGGAAAGGACCTGCTTTCATGTCCCTTCTATGCCAGTGATTTTCCAAAATAGAGTGCATAAAGATTATCTACAGCATACAAATTTGCATATATTTGAATTCCTGAACCAATGCGCACTGCAGAGCCTATGAATCTGCATTTTAACACACTGCCCTGATAATTCTGACACAGGAAGTCCTCAAACTATGCCTTAAGAAACA
Source organism: Homo sapiens (assembly GCF_000001405.40). Lineage (NCBI taxonomy): Eukaryota > Metazoa > Chordata > Mammalia > Primates > Hominidae > Homo > Homo sapiens. The sequence goes on from NC_000011.10 coordinate 133,025,036, forward strand.
CTTCTAGGCTGATGTGCTGAGGTATCTATGGAGTATATGTATAGATAAGCCTAGAGCTAATTTTCCTTCATAGGGAGGAAAATGGGATTGATTTGGGAGTAATTAGAATGTTAGACTGCAATACAACCCAATGGTAAGCATAAATACGCAAATATGGGGTGACTTATTCTATAGTTCATAGAAATGTAAATTATTTTTATTTGTGCAAATATACACCATCTCTTCTCACCTGTGAGTTGTATCTCCACGTACTAGGACAGTCCATTTTTAATGTTGACATTTCTGTGGATGATTATGGCTGTTATTAAGTTTTCGATTATATAACTTGTTGCCTAATGGCTTGAAACCAGTACTAGCCAAGAGTATTCCCAAAATGTGTGTCTCAGGTGAAGTTTGGGTAACTGTATTGAAGAAATCCAAACTTTATAACCCTTAACTATTTGGTAATCTAGTCAGTCGGCTCTCTCAGGAACACTGGATTCTTCGGTTGAAAGCAAAGCTGAAAATTTAAAAAGAGTGGTTCGTTTGGGTATTTCTTTTCTTATTATTTTAATTTCATTCTTTTTTAATCAACATGAGGTCTCACTTGTTGGCCAGGCTAGTCTCAAGTCCTGGGCTCCAGTAATCCTCCCACCTCAGGCTCCTGAGTAGTTGAGATTATGGGCATGAGCCAAGGTGCCTGCCGATTTGATTTTTTTTTTTTTTTTTTTTTTTTTGAGATGGAGTCTCGATCTGTCGCCCAGGCTGGAGTGCAGTGGTGCGATCTTGGCTCACTGCAACCTCTGTCTCTTGGGTTCAAGTGATTCTCATGCTTTAGCCTCCTGAGTAGCTGGGACTACAGGTGTGTGCCACCAAGCCTGGCTAATTTTTTGTATTTTTGGTAGAGATGGGGTTTCACCATGTTGGCCAGCGTGGTCTCGAACTCCTGACCTCAGGTGATCCACCCACCTTGGCCACCAAAGGTGCTGGGATTACAGACATGAGCCACCACGCCCAGCCTAAATTTGATTTTTACTGTATTATTGTTTCTCTCATCATGACTTGATGAGAAGTTTGGGCATATGTGTTCAAGTTTTCTGTTGCACATAATAACTATTAGAAAACACCACCCATCTGAGTAATTTTTGTTTTAATAGCCTTAATCACGATGAAGCTTTGTAATCTGTAAAGCTTTCGAGCCAGGTTAGAGAAGTCAGTTACAGAGTTCCGCCTCTTTGCACTCAAATGCATACATGTAAAAAATGGTCAAAATGGATTTGGGGTTTGGGCTTGTTCAGCTGTCAACATTTGATAGTTTTCCTGAGACTTATCCACGCGTAATACCCTGAAGGGTGGTGGTCTGATTGACGAGTGAGCACCTTGCCTGCCTCTTCTTTAGGGAAACCTGTTTGCATCCTCTTTTCTCATCCCTGGTTCCTGTTTTGCAACCTCATCCTGAACATCCTCCACGCAGTAGGTTTTGTCCTGCTGGCAGCCTTTTTCTCTTGTTTTCCCATCTAGAAATCTCTCCTTTCCAAACACCTAAATCTGGTCTAGGTGAAACTGTGATTCTTTCTAGCTAATGTCCCACATTTTCATAGTGCTTTCTCTCATGACTTGCCTCTTGTTGTTTTGTGCATTGCCTGGATTCCTACAGCTCTTACGATAAGGAACCTGTGTTTAGCAGTAATTCATCTGCAACAGTTGCCTGCAATCAGTTTTGTCTTTCCCGCTAGTGTCTAAGTATGACAACTGTATATGATGCTTGCATATGTTGGATTTGTGCTTCATATTTAAAAAAAAATATTAGATTTCTAATGCATTCTTTTTTCCTGTGAATAGTTGATATGTCGTTTGGATACATATGTTAGAGTGTCTTGATATACATAATACTTTATGAGATACATGACTAACCTTGATACCTGTTTATTTTAACAGACTGATCATGGTGGAGAATTCTAAGAGTTGAGCCAGGCCACAGAGGGCAGATGGGAACTTAAGGTGGAGGGATCTGTAGCTGAAATGCTTGGGAGTTTCCAATCCCAGCTCCACTGCTCACTAGCTCTGTGACCTTCAGGAAGTTACATGGCCTCTCTGTGTCTCAGTTTTGTGGTGACCCACTTGTCACAGTTTGCCTGGGACTTTCACAGTTTCAACACTAAGCATCTGATGTTCCTGAAACCCTCTCAGCTTCGAGCAAACTGAGATGGTTGGTTACCACCAGGTTATTTCTCTACTAACACAGGAGACAATAGTAATAATCTGTACCACATGGGGTTACTATGAAATAATTTATGCTAAGTGCTAAGAAAGTGCTGAGCAAAATTTAGCTCTTATTGTATGAATAGGCTAAGTTCAGGTAACAAAGAAGGTACTTACCATAGACATGCTAGTTAAAGCAAAAATAAAGAAATAGTCACTTAACTAGTGTGTGTATGTCATATGTGGTCTATGTAGTGTGTGTGTGTGTGTGTGTTGTGTGTGTGTGTGTGTAGTGCGGTGTGTGTGATGTGTGTGTGCTGAATGTGTTACGTGTGTAGTGGGTATGTTACGTGTGTGGTGTGTTATGTGTGGTGTATGTGTGGTGTGCATGGTGTGTGTGTTTGGTATGTGTGGTGTGTGTGTATAATGTGATGCATGTGTGGGGCGTGTGGTGTGCATGGGATGGTGTGTGTGGGTGGTATGTGTCATGTGTATGGTGTGTATGCATATGTGATGTGACTGTGTGGTGTGATGTGTTTGACGTGTGGTGTGTATGTGTGTATGTAGTATGTGGTGTGTGTGTGTGTGGTGTCTGTGGTGGGATGTGGGGGGAGGTGGGGTGGGAGTGTAGTAGTGTGTGTGGGTTTTGTACCTCCATGCCAATAATACCCTTTCCTGTGTGAAGGACAGCTGACAGAGATGGCTACAACCTGAGTCAGACCTCAGCAAAGTATCAATGTGCTTTTCGGAATTCTACATGTAGTGAATAAATATTTTTTAAAAAGTTGCTTTCTAGTTATATGGTGGTTAGCCTCTCTTTCAGGTATAAAAGTAAGGTTTGAACACTTTTCATTAAAATCACTGGAGCTGCAAAATCTCCCACATCTTTTCTCAACCAGTAACCTTTATTTTTATTTCTTTCTTTTTATTTTCTGCCACTTGTCCCTCTGCAGACTTAGGCACCACTCATTGCAATATTTCTGGAGTCTAATTTCTCAGAATTGTTTAAAAGGCACACATGTCTTAAAAAAAAATAAAACCCAAGGAATAATTCCTACAGGTGGGATGTCAGGCACTGTGGCAGCCTGGGGAAGCATATATTTGGAAAGGGTGCATGTCCATACCATCCTCTCCTGAAGGTAGTTGTCAGGAGCTTACTCTTGCCTCATCTGCTTACAGGAAACTTTCCGAGATAATTATCCATCCAAATCCCACCACGCCACTCACTTTGACAAGTACACACATTGCTTAGAGTGAGGATCAAAAGTTTATTACATGCACAAAGGTTTCAGTTGTTTGATAAGGAGCGTGTGTGTGTGTGTGTGTGTGTGTGTGTGTACATGTGAGAGAGAGAGAGAGAGAGAGAGATTCATGAATGAATTGTACAGACTACTCAGTTCCCCCATAGTTGCTAAAACTCATTTGTCTGGCAACCATATGCAAAAGAATGAAACTGGACCCCTACCTCTCACCATATACAAAAAAAATCAACTTAAGATGGATTAAAGACTTAAAGGTAAGACTTCAAAATATAAAAATCCTAGAAGAAACCTAGGAAATACTCTTCCAGACATTGGCCTAGACAAATAATTTATGACTATGTCCTCAAAAGCAAATGCCACAAAAACAAAAATTGACAATTGGGACCTAATTAAACTAAAGTGTTTCTGCACACAGCAAAAAAAAAAAAAAGAACTATCAACAGTAAACAACCTACAGAATGGGAAAAAATATTTGCAAACTATGCACCTGACAAAGAACTAATATCCAGAATCTACAAGGAGTTCGAACAACTTAACAAGCAAAAAGCAAATAACCTCATTAAAAAATGGGCAAAGGACATGAACAGACACTTCTTTAAAAAAGATATACATGCACCAACAAGCATATGAAAAAATGTTCGACATCACTAATCATTAGAGAAATGCAAATCAGAACCAAAATGAGATGCCATCTCACACCAGTCAGAATGGCTATTGTTAAAAAGTCAAAAGAAAAAATAACAGATGTTGGCAAGGCTGCAGATGAAAAGGAATGTTTATACACAGTTGGTGGGAATGCAAATTAGTTAAGCCCCTGTGTAAAGTAGTTTGGAGATTTCTCACGGAACTAAAAATAGAACTACCATTCGACCCAGCAAGGCCACTAGTCAGCATATAGCCAAAGGAAAATAAATCGTTCAACCAAAAAGATACACACACTTGTATGTTCATCACAACATTCTTCACAATAGCAATGACATGGAATCAACCTCGGTGCCCAGCAATGGTGAATTGGATAAAGAAGATGTGCTACATATACACCATGAAATACGACACAGCCATAAAAAAGAATGAAATTATGTTCTTTGCAGCAACATGGATGCAGCTGGAGGCCATTCTCCTGAGCAAATTAATGCAGGAACAGAAAACCAAATACCACATGTTCTCACTTGTAAGTGAGAGCTAACCCTTGGGTACACATGGACAGAAAAACGGGAACAATAGACTCTAGGGTTTCAAAAAGTGTGAGGGGCAAGTGTTGAAATACTACCTATCAGGTACTACGCTGCTACTCAGGTGACAGGATCACTAAAAGCCCAAACCTCAGCATCACGCTATATATTCTTGTAACAAACCTGCACACGCACCTAATGAATCTAAAATTTAAAAAAAAATTAAGTAAAACTCATTCATTATCTATAGCAATCTAAGTAGGGAATAATTATCTTCATCTTACAGAGGAGGGAGGGGAAGCACAAACAGGTGAAGTAACTTGGTCAAGGTCACCATCATCTTAAGAGATGGTAATTAGTGTTTGAGCTGCTGGCCCACTGACCCCAGAGAGCTGCTCCCTGTCACATCCCCTCAACACAAGGAGTGGATCTGGGGAGAAATGCCCTCTTCTGGCCACACTACATTCCCAGAAACTGTTCCCTAGTGGGTATTCCTGCAGTAAGTGAACTTTCTCATTACAGAAACACTGCAAAACCAAGTCTCCTAACCAAACTGTCAACTCTTAATGATGTCTTAAACATGACCCAGAAGGCAAAGCTGAATCCCGAAACTTGAGGCTAACACAATTATACGCAAAGGCTTACAATGTGGGTAACAATGTATGCCTCACGTCTCCTGCCACATGCTCACAAACCCCCAAGTACGATAATGGTAGATGGGAAATAATGTAGAACTTAACCCTGAAAGGTCTGTGCTCATGCTCTGTCCCTGCCACTCCTTGTCTCTCTCCTGAACCACATATTCAAAGTCTTTGAGCCTTGTTTTCCTAATCTGTACATAAGGACAGAACACTGTGTCCCATCCGTCTAACAGAATCATCATGAGCCTTCAAGGAACGAATCCACATCAAGACCACAAGAATGAAGTGCAAGATATTATTAATATTCACAACAGACACAAAATAAGACAGCATATAAAATGCAGCCCCCTGCTTCATCAACTTTACCTAGAATTAATATGCTAGCTAGAATATTCATTAAATATTTAATTAATAAAACTGCTCATTTTAGATTTTAAAAGGCTATTTGGAGATGATTTCAATGCTCTGGTTCTCCTAAAAAGCCATCCAGGAAAGTCTGAACTCCTGCCATTTTTTTCCTTAATGAATTTCACCCTACCAAGAAGGGGAATCCAAGCATTCCATCGTCCTTTGCACTGTGCTCAGAGTTTGGACTTTTTTTTTTCCAAAGAAGGCATTATAACAATATATATTTAAAAGTCTCACTAAAGCTTATACTAGGGAAAATTGGGGAAATGTGTTTTTACTGTTTCTTCGTGTTCCCTTCCCCCTACAAATAGCTTGAGTAGGATATAATTTCCAGAGAAAAAAGGTATCACAACCTAGCTCTGTAAGCACGGGCTTTGTTAAAACATGATGGTTTACTCAGCACTTATCACTAAGTCTGGCATTTAGTGTGTGCGCAAAAAGTACCTCTTCAAGAGATGAATGGATAGATGGATAAATGGGTGCATAGGTGAATGAATGGATGGGTGGGTGGATGGACAGATGGATGCATTGATGGGTGGATAGATGGGTGGATGGGTAGACAGGTTAAATAAGTGGATGAATGTGTGCATGGGTGGATGGATAGATGGATGGGTGGTTGGTGAATGGATGGATTGATGGGTGTATGAATGGGTGGATAGATGAATGAGTAGGTGGATGGATGGATGGATGGTTGGTTGGATGGGTAGGTGAATGGATGGATGGATGGTTGGTTGGATGGGTAGGTGAATGGATGGATGGATGGTTGGTTGGATGGGTAGGTGAATGGATGGATGGATGGTTGGTTGGATGGGTAGGTGAATGGATGGATGGATGGTTGGATGGATGGATGGATGGTTGGTGGATGGATGGGTAGATGGGTGAATGGATGGGTGGTGGATGGAGGGATAGATGGTGTATGAATGGGTGGATGGATGGGTGGATGGGAAGTTGCCAGGGTGTGAGCATGGTAATAAAAAAAGTGGCTATAGGTTTCACTTCTCTGAGAGTTGCTGAGGGATACAGAGAAGTTCTGGAATTATTGGGACTAATATAGAACAGTATGACAGAAAAAAAATTTTCTCCCTTTCCTCCTTACATCACAGGACAGTCAGAAACATTAGAACCAAGCTTTCAAATGAGCACTTCAAGACCTCTCAACAAGAATAAAAATACAAGTTTCTATTTGGTACCAAAAGGTTAACATTTATTGAGTGCCTCTTCTATGCCAAACACAGTGCTTTGTTTTTTTCTGTACATTAACTCATTTAATCTTCAACCTTATGAAGAAAAGACTGATTGCCATTTATCTGGAGCTAAATGAGATTACACTCTCTGTTCAAAATCAGATGGTGAAAGGTGGCTAGAGTGGATATCCAGTAGTTTAATTTTTCCAACATCCCTTTTTCCAATCTCCTCTGTAAACAGAGGCTTCCTCTCATCCTTCCACATTCACTGGGATCTGGTGGGGCTAGCCCTTCTCTAGACAGAACAGAGGTCATGTGACCTTGACCTGGTTAAATATCTTCAGTCAAAAGGATTTAAAGTTGAGCAAATGACTCAAATCTGGCCAATCAGACAACTCCCTCACTTGTCCCCTTACATAATGCCCCAGCCCAGTACATCTACCAGCACAGAACGGTGAGGTCCAAACCACTGTACCTGTATTGGAACACTGACTTTATTGGTGGGCTCAGTCTTCATCCAGAATGTGTAGTCTATCCCAGCTCAGCATGCTCATTCCCTTTGCAAATCACCAGGGGGAAAAAAAGGCACATGCTTGTATTGGTTTTGGTTGTAAAAGTTTGGGAACATCATTTGGACATTGATGCCTCAAATGTACGATAGAATCTGGGTAACAAGTCTAGAACTCACAGCAGTAAATGGCAAAAGAGTTCATTTAAATATCTTTTTCCAACAATAATCCCACATACATGCACAAAGTAGGTACAGAACTCCACTCTGGTTTTAAACCAAGATCCCAATGTAAGATACTAATGAAAGAAGCCTACCCCAGAATCTAACTGAGCAGCCCCCAGTTATCACCTGTGGCAGGATCCTCCGTGACTATTGCATTATTCCGACCTGGAATTGGTACAACTCAAAGACTCTAATACAAACATTTTTTCTACTTTCAGACAGCTGGCATTTCACAGGAAACTTCCCAAACATCTGCTGAGCAACCTACTGCTTCTCTGACTTCACCAATTCCCTTCTGAAGAGAATTTTATCTCAGCACTGCAATGAGGATAGTGAACATAAATATATATAATTACTCTACATTAATATAATTAGTCTGTCTTTCTCCCAGTCCAGAAATGGTTGTCCATATTTAGCTGTCAGTGGTTGGAATTATTTATGTCCATTTGTTCAAGGACTAAAAATAGATTCATTAAAAAAAGAATGCAGATATTACCCAGAAAAGGCTCTTTCATCTTTTAAATTCTATTTCTCCAGTCTGGGTTCCATTGCCTGCCTTCTTAGGAATTGAGTCTTGTAGGTTGAAGAGATTAGATTCACACAAGGCATTCTATTCATTTATTCCTTTTGATGAATTACCAGCAAGCTGACAAGACAAAGTACTTTGGTTGTTCCAAAGCTGACAACAAATGCCATCCCCACTGCAGCATTCTGTTCACCCCTCCTTCTGTGCAGGGGTGGGGCCATATTCAAGAAAAAGTAGGCTCATTTAGGACTATGCATTCATGACGTCTTCAATACCACCTAGCTCCTTTGACTATTTTGAAATCTCAGACACTCCAAATATTATACATATCACTCCTATCCATAGAAATCAAAATCAAAAGTAGCTATTAGAAGAAAATTGTATATAAATAGCTTCTCATTTGCAACTTCCAGGGAATAAAGCTTTTCTTATGGTTTGTGTAACTTTACTTTGTTGGTCTTTATATAATAGCTGTCACGTTGAAGCTGGTGTGCTCAGCACTGCATTATTTTTTGAATAGAGCATTTTGCTATATTAACAAATCAGTGAGGTAAGGATGAGAATGTCCATTCTATAAATGGGAACACTGAGGCTAAAGTTTAAAAATATGCAGCTAGTGGTTATAGATATCCAGTCAAGCAAACCTAGATTTGAATCCCATCTCTGCAACTTTCTAATTATGTGGTCACGGGTATCAACTCACAGCAATACTGAGGCAGATACGATATCCCCAACTTAAAGATAAGAAAACCATGGTTCAAAATTAAGTAATTTGTACAGGGCCAACTCTACATGCCAAATGCAGGATGGCCAAATCCATTTGTCTCCAAAAACAGTAATCTTAACTGACACCCTTTATTACTTCCTTGATGCAAAAAATGACTTAGTTGCGATGGAAACAAGTATAGCAATTAATTTAGGCACAGTGTGAAAGAGCTTGCTTGCCAACCATGCTTTCAGTGGTGATATTTTGAGAAAGAGGCTGAGGGGATGCTCCTATAGGGGTAAGCTGGCTCTGGGCAGCTTTGAGGGCCTAGTATACCTCTATTCTTACTAGTCCTAAGTTTGTACTTCTCTATGGGGCAGTAGATCCCAACCAGCTATCAAGCAGCTACCCAAAGGCCAGTGTCATTACTCAAACCAGAAGAGTAGCTCTGTATGTATAGGTGTGTGTGTGTGTGTGTGTGTGTGTGTGTGTGACAGACAGAGGGAGAGAGAGAGACAGAGGGAATGCATGCAAGTGCTGTATATGACACTGAAAAGCCAGTTGCCTGTTATTTGACCTTAGGCCAGTACCTGTCATAAATCCAGTGCTTATGAAATGTAAAGGTTTATTCATATGGCGTGCAGCATTTTTAAAGCATAAAATCTGGAGTTAGATTGTTCAGGGTTGAATGCCAGCTTTATCTCCTTCTAACTCTGTGACCTTGGTCAAATTGCTGACCTTTACTGTGCCTCAACGTTCTTCAATAAAGAATGCTGCTGTATGTAGAGAATGAAAATAACTACAGTACCTTCCTCCAAGGAGATCTATGATGCTTAGACGCAAGGAACATTTAGAAGTGTGACTGAGAAGTAAGTGCTTAGTAAAGTCTGTTGTTTTTTTTCCTTTTTTTTTTTTTGCTCTTATTGTTACTAAGGAACAAGTACTAAGCCTATAAGAGGAGTAGCCTCATGTGAACTTGCAGGAACCCTCCATTCTGGACCCCAGATCTTTTTTTATGCACCCCTCATCCATGCTCTAATAGCGCTGGTTCGCACGGGCACCGGCAGAGACATGTTCTCAATCCTGGCATGATGCAATGGGAGCTCTTTGCAGTGATCATCAGCCTCTCCGTCCTCTTAGGCATGGTCCCCTCTCCCCAGTCAGGTTGATATGACCTTCAACACCAGATGGATAATGCCCCAGGCGGGAGGAAAGGATGCTCTGGGAGAGTAGCCTTTAATAAGCATTATCCCTTCCTGATTTATACAGAGGGGAGGGTACTGTTGATATGCAGTCTTGCTCATAGATTACCTTCATTCTGACTGCAGCCAGCCCGACAGGGGAGGGTGTGCCGGGCGGCTTGCCACCCTATCTGTCATGTCGCCGAGGGCAGCAGCAATGCTGCCTCTTCCTAGAGAAACTTTCTACTCCATCAACCACAAAAGTAATATTGCAGGTGCATGTTCATGGATCTCTCCAACAAACTCCATCTTCAGGTTCAGTCCTTGGATCAAGGCTGCAGAGAAAGAGAAAATGGGACCTACAGGCACAGGCAGCACCTCCAAGCTCACTCTGATGAGAGGAAAATGGACATCAAGACTCCTCACATAAAAAAGGCTAGTGGTAAGGAGTCAGGAAATTGAGCCAGAACAGATCTAGACTAAAGTATTTGGCTATTCTCATATTATTTCTTCCAGTATGTGGCACAGGCTAAGTGCCACATCAGATCTCTGAGCCTGTGCCTGCTATTTCTCTTTCACGCCCTATTCTTGGGGACTGAATCGTGCCCCCCCAAAAAATGTACATGTCAAAGTCCTAACTCTTAGTACCTAAGAATGTAACTGTATTTGGAGATGGACCTTTAAAGAGGTGATTAGGTTAAGGTGTGGTCGTCAGGGTTGGCCCTAATCCTATATTACTGTTGTCCTTATAAGAAGAGGACATTTGGACACATAAATGAGTATGCCCATTCTATAAATGGGAACCTTGAGGCTGAATAAGGTTAAAAGACACCATGGGCGCAGCGGCACAGACAACACCGCAAGAAGCCATCTGCAAGCCAAAAAGAGAGGCCTCGGAGAAACCAAACCTGCTAGCATCTTCATCTTGGATTTCTAGTTCCCAAAACTATGAGAAAGTGAATATCTAATGTTTAAGCCACTCATCCTGTATTACTTTGTTAAGGCAGCCCTAGCAAACTAATACATCAACATGAAGACCAGGTTTTCTTAAAGTAGTTGAGATTTAGATAAACTAAAACTTTAAAGTCTACTTAAAATGTCAAAGTGAAATAAAAAGAAAAGTTGGTGTCCAGAAGTGGCTACTGGACAACAAATGATGGTTGCTTTAAAGGGTTGCTGCTTAAGTGCAATGGTATCGAGTTAAGAACTTCCCTAATGCCAATTCTTTCCCAGGATGGTGCGAATGTGTGTTTGTACATTTGTAAAAATAAATATGGAATAAATTCTTATTATGTGTCAGGCACTGCTCAGCTGCTAAGATTGCAAAGATCAATAAAAGATTCTCCACGGTCTAGTGAGAGAAATGTTAAATTTTATTGTTAGCATTTGTTTACATGCCCACATGCTATAATTAGATGATCTCATATTTCTTTTACATTGCTATTTCCTCCTTAACCCACATTCAATCATCAAACACTGCAATAGGTCTATTAAAGCATATCAAACACCATGCCAAGCACACTAATGTGCTTCAGGGTTCTGTACTTGGCCCTGTTGTATTATACAATGACCTGGTAAAGAATTTGGAATGCAACCTAATGTATTCTATAGAGCATATGAAGCTGAGAAAAATAGTTAATGTTCAAGAAGACAGAATCAGGATTCAAAAATATTTTGATCTCTGAGAAAAATAATCCAAGACTACAAAGTTGACATTGATTCAGGACTACATTCTGCATTCAGAAAAGAACTGGCAGCTTAAGTTTATGGTGAGGTGGGGAATGGGAGGGCAGCCTGGTTTATTGGCATGAGGACAGACCCAGATCTTCAGTTGTCCCACATCTATTCCTCCTTCTCTTTCATAATCCATTTGCTGCACTTCACTCCCTCCTGTTTCTTTGCTTGTTCCTCTGTGATGCTCTGCAGGAGCTCCAAGACCATGACCTTGGTCCTCCCTCCCCACAGTGTTCTGTTTCTCCCGGCCACCCTGGCTCAGATGACAAAGGGCTCTGCCTGACCACACTGTATGGTCCCAATCGAAAACATACAAACCAGGCTATCCAGTCCCCTAGAAGAGGGCATTGAGGATAGTGAAAGGCTGAAAATCAAAAGCCATGGCTGAATCAATGGAAAATGAACACTATGAAAAGACAAGACTTATTTGGGTCAATAGAGCTAACTTCAAAGTTAGTCGGATCACCACTGTGAGGATGAGGACTTATATCATTCTGGGAAGTAATCTCAATACGTAAGAGTTATAAGAAACCAAAGATTAGATTCAATTTAAGAAAAAAAGTACTCAAAACTTTCTTTATCTTGCATGGTACTGAGCTCTCTGTTACTGGAAGCGTTCAAGTTGAGGCTGCAGGACCATCTGCAGAGTCTTTCAAAGTGGATTATTGCATTGGGTAGGAGGTGGGTCAGAATGACCTCTAATGTTCTAAATTTAAGATTGTCTTCTTGTAACCTAGCTGCAGTATATTTTACTCGGAGCTAGACTGGAGTGTAAAGTGCAAGCTCCTATATATGAGATCATTTTGCCACCTTTTTAGAGAGCGAGTGAAATTTATACTTAGCTCAAATGTCAGTTTTAGGTATCCACAGCTGCTGGGTAGGAAATTCAGATCCTACTGAAGAAAATGAAGGGAACCCAGCTGTCTTTGACTCATCACCCTCTTGCGTTGGCAAGGTCACTGTTACCTTGCAATTAGCACTTACCTTCAAAGAAGAGCAAGCTCATCATCTGTGCCATGCTGGATAAAACTCTCCATAGGCAGAAAAAGGGCCAAGACTTTAAATGGTTAGAATTTGTGTGAATTAAGATAACCTTTGATCTTAATGGGTGACCCTAACTGAGCGTCTCTCACACTCTTGCCCCTTCTGGCTGTTTGGAGCCAAGTCCTTGAGATTAGGGTCCCCTTGGACTCAGTGTGCTGGTCTCCTAAGCATCAAATGAATGCATGCTACTAGGAGGAGGATGTGCAATCACTCTACTTGTTAAACTGCAAGTTTTAGCAGAAGGATTTTAGAGACCTTTCCACTCTTGGCCCATATCTCTACAAGTAGGGTGGTGGCCACCTCTCTTTCTGCCTGCAAGGCTGGATGCCTGGGAACCGAGTGCATGGGGAGAGCTCTGGGTGCAGACTTAGGAGCCCTGGGCGCTGGCCCTGTCTGTCCCTTCCCACACCCAGCCATGCCATGTGGGCCATGCCTTTGGTCCCAATCAGCTCCTGTCTTAGTGTCTCTCTGGGGCTGCTTATAGCTCGGGTGGGACACTCATCTCCTAGCTTTTCCTCACCCTTCCTTTCACAGTCCTGTAGAACATCTTTAGGCTTTGGTTTCTTTATCTATAAAATGTGGGAAAAGTAATAAATTCCCTGCCTCAAGGTTGTTGGTTAGCCAACATGGGCTATGACTATCAGGAGACCATGGTAATTAATATTGATTGACAATTATAAAAAGATTCATTATTTTAATTTTTTTCCTAAATAATGGCAACTAAAATTGAGTTATTATATAATGCCAGGCTCTAGCCCAGAGATATTAGAGAATGCATAACTTAACTCTTTTATAGGGATCATTATTATCCCCCATTACAGATGATAAAACTGCTGCACAGAGAGGTTAAGTACATATCCCAAGGTCACACAGCTAGCAAGTGGCAGGGCTGAGTTACGATCCCACAACTCTCTGCTGTCTAAGGTGAGTTCAGGCCAAGATTTTAAAAAACAAAAATTGGTTGTAATAGGGTTGATCCCCCTCTTATTCTTCTGACTCACTGTTGCCTCTATGTTGCCAAAAAAAAAAAAACCCTGCTGCCATTTTTGGTTGAAACAACTCCTCCCCCAAGTCTCTGTGATCTTGGCAAGGGTGCCAGACTGAGAGCTACAAAGCGTCCTGCAGTCTCATACTGCTTCTCATCTGTGACAGTTTCAGAAATCAGCGGGACCCACACCTGTCTCTTTTCTTTCAAAGCAGTTAGCAGTAAAGTGGCAAATGCCCCCATTCCCACTTCCTATGCTGGCTGGGGCTTGTTTTCTCATCCATGTGTTTTAAGATTTCACAACTCCAAGGCCTTTTCAGCGCCTTCAGAGTGCATTCCACAGGCGGAGGGTTGGCAGGGGAGTGCCAGGGAGAGGGAAAAATCATAGGCTTTATCCTTGCCACAGCTTAGCCTTAAGATCTATGCCCCTGAAAAGGTAAGGCAACATCTGTATGCTGCAGCAGGAGCCAACCTCCTGCCCTCACGTTTCCTTCTGTCTCAGGACCCCTGTGCTCAAGACAACCTCAGCAGGTCTCAGGAGGGGCACAGGGAACCAAGGACTAGTTTTTACATTTATTGCATTTCCCCCAAGTCCTTGCCTCCTCATGCCTTCCAAAGCCCTCCAGCCCTGATCAGAGGCGCTTGGGTTGGGTGAACTCTGAACAGTGAAGGGTGCTATGTGCACTCCCTGTCCCCTCACCCACACTCATTTGAAGAGTGGAGTGTATACCCATTGGATGGTGGTCATAGTGCACCCATGAACAGGGGGTGGATGGTGCTTGCATTCCCAGTGTCTGGGTGGGCATTACAAGAAGCTCCCCAGATGCCAGGACCAGGGAGGTACGGCTCATGAATCCCAGTGGCCTCAGCCAAAACGTCCTTCTTGGCAGTCATGGGTGGGTGTATCTGTGTGTGAATTTCCAATCATCAGGCAGACGTCGTGGACCGAAAGCAAGGCTCCTCATTCATGTGAAAGATTGGGGGAGGACAACTTTGGGAGGCCAAGGCGGGCACATCACGAGGTCAGGAGTTTGAGACCAGCCTGGCCAACTTACTGAAACCCCATCTCTACTAAAAATACAAAATATTAGCTGGGTATGGTGGTGGGCACCTGTAATCCCAGCTACTCGGGAGGCTGAGGCAGGAGAATTACTTGAACCCGGGAGGCGGAGGTTGCAGTGAGCCAAGATCACACCACTGCACTACAGCCTGAGTGACAGCACGAGACTCCATCTCAAAAAAAAAAAGATGGGGGATGGCAGACCCTCTATTTCCCTCTATTTCCTCACCTCCTCAGCAACCAAGCAGAACACGTCCAGAATTAATGACATCCTCACGTCAACTACTTAATCTTGAATGCTGGATAAAAGGTGTTGAATTTTATGGCATTTTTAAACCACACTATTTGACCCCCTTAAATAAAAATATTTTCACCTCTGGAATGCCTTCATCACCTCCTCCTCCCACTGCACGACTGAGCTATTCCAGTTCTTCTCAAGCTCACTCCTAACATTCACCCCACCTACCCCACAACCTGTAGCCTCCACTCATCTCCCTAAAACTCTGCTCTCTTCCTCAAACACCTTCAGTCATTTCCTGTTGCTTTTAGTTAAAGGAATCCAAAGTGTCAAACTCTTTTCCTGTGAGTCAAAGCCTTTCCCCATCTGGCCCCTCCAGTCCTTCCAAATGGAATGTCCATGACTTCCCTATAGGGATGTTTTCTTTTAATTCCTGCATGCATGTGTCAGGAGGAGTGTTGGATGTCTGAAAACGGCTTTACTGAGGACTTGGCTTGGAAGGAATTTGGAAAGAGGGGCAGGATCCACCTTGTGTAGAAGTGGCAGGACATCGTCCAGGCCTGTGCCCATCAGGAATGAGTACCTGCTACAGGAGAGGGGCCTCTTGCTTGCTTGGGCGGGGCAGTGAGTCATTCAGAGCTGCACGTATGTGACTGCGTCTCTCTGTGGGAGCTCAGTAAGTGCTCTCGCATTAATATGGAAGTCAATACCACCAGGATGGGAGAAGGAGAAAGGGTGAAGTACAGGGAAGCACATCAAACACTCGGAGAAGTGGTTTGTGCAGTTTAAAAGCAACGATACCTGTAGATTTCATAATACAAAGAGCTGAATGTAAAACCACACAGAACATCTTCTTACCTGCTAGAGATCAGCAGGGAAGGAATCAGGAAGCTTTATGGGGGCTCGGACTATAAAAGGCTGAGAAATACTGCAAGTTAGCTGGAAAAAACTTTATGATAGGATTAACTATTTTGGAGAGTTTGAGTTCAAATCTCAGATTGTTACTTAATCCCCAAGCATTTTTTAGCTCTGACCTTGGAAAAGTTACTTAGACTTTCACCATTTGGGATTCTTACTCATGGGAACATGTTTGGTTTTAATCTGTGTGATGAGAAAAACAACAGCCACCACTTCTTAGGGCTGCTGAGGATAAAATTAGATAACGCTTGTAAAGCACTTGGCTACAGCTTTGGCCCACAGTAAGTGTTCAATGTATCAGTAAATCTTCGGTGATGGCATCATGTTATTAATATTGATTGAATCAACTTTCAAACAGCAGTGACACCTTATGGCTGGGAGCTGCCTCTCAATGCATTTGCCTCTCTTTCCGCTGTAGTTGCTGCTGCCACCTCTCCCACCCTCTGCAGTCTCTCTGCACTTGTCAATTGCCTGGAAGCACTTTCATCTAGAAGTAGATGAGGAATAACTTCCAGGAAAGGAGAAAGGCATCCTGCACTGTATCTTCGAGTATCCTAGCCTGGCCTCTTCTGGCAACTGCGTCGCATATACCCTTTGCTCTTAACTCTAAGATGACTTTTTCGTGTTTTTCAAAGGAAACATCCTATACCCTGTTGTTGCCTTGATCCAAAGAATCTTCTATCAGCACGATGGGACTGCATCCCTGGGAATACAGCTTTATGAATTAAGAAATGGAAAAGGATGGGAGAATGTACTTAAAAAGACAAAACCTCCCTGAAGTCACAGCATTTCTGACATCACTCTATATAGGTCTTCTTCGGGCCCCTCCAGTCCCAAAGAACAGCAACCTTTCTGGTCCCTCCGGGTGCTTAGAGCCCTCAAGAAGGCAACACTGTTTGTATTCCACAGAAGGGGCTGCGAGTCGCCTCCAAATCCCAGGACCTGGCTCCAGGGATCAATATCCAGTCCTGTTGGCAAACGACCTTTCCATCCCCCTCATCGAATGCATCACTCAGCATGCCGTGCAGAGCTGGGGGGTGGGGGGAGCCTGCTTATTCCCTCTCTGGACACTGACTAATCACCACCATTAGGCCCACAGTCACATGTGACACGGAAACGCAATGAGGCCCCGGCTCCTATTTAATGAAGGCAGGCTCCTGGCACTGCACAGCTGCAGCGTTCAAGGAATGCCGAGGGCCTCGCCCACGTGGCCAGCCCTTACCCTCCACACTCAGTAACCCTTCCCAGAATTAATTAGAAAGGGTCCTGGGAGCCTAATGGATAGTATGGCCTCGTGTGTACGGAGTGAAGAAAAAGCAAATAAACACGCTGCCCTCATGCATGGAGCACTGGACGATGAATAAACCCTTTGACAGATGCATTCTCAGTCTTTGGACAGTTCTGCCGGCTAGGCGCATCATGACCACCACCTTACAGGTGGGCAGGCAGAGAGGCAGAGCGGGACGCAAACGGTGCAGTAGGGAATGTAAGTGCTGGTGTTGTATCCACAGAAATCCACTGCTCAACTCTCCCAATAGGCTAGTTGGGGGGACTCTAATCCCAAACACAGTTCCCACACTGGCTTCCTGAAGCTCAGAGTAACACTGTTAGTGAGCGGTCTAGGTTAACTATTACCCTGTTCCTTTTGGATTTTGCCCAAGGCTAGCTCTGCAGTTACGTTCTTCCAGGGAACCACAGGGGTAGACGCTGGCTGGTTTCCAAACGTTATCGGAGGGTGCCTTTAACGGCCAAAGTTAACACTGGAACCCTCAGCTACTCGCTGAAGCAAGAAGCCTCAGTATAACCAAGTCATATTTCTGTCATGGGCAAAATTTAATGTTGAAGACACCCGAGACGCCTCCTCTATTTTTGGCATCAACCTGCTACTGTAATTTAATTATCAAGGGAGAAAATTAGGGGACGAGATTAGCAGAGAAAAGGGTCTCTCACGTACAGTTCCACACTGAAAAGATTTCCTGCAAAACACTTGCAGACACCCAGCAAGTCTCAGAGGCGACACTTTCCCCATTTCTTCAGCCATCTCTGTCGACTCACCCAGCACAAACACACTTGGACCCCTGGGCAGCCAGGTCGGCTCAAGCAAACCACACATGGATTCCCTTCCATCTTCCACCTCATCAACTCTCCTCTTGTTGGAGAATCTTTATTACCAGGGTGGATGCAAGAGGCAGAGAGAGCCCAGCTGGGATTGTGGGTCCAGGTGCAGTTTTCTCTTCTGGCTGTTCAAAAAAATCCTATTTTGACTTGAAACTGGCCTAAATTTCCTCTGGAATTGATCGTGAGAGGGCACATATGAAACCCCACCAAGCCATTCTTAAGGAGCCATTCTTCTCATTACCTCCGCCTTTGAGGATGCCAGGCTGACCAAGGGCTCCACTCATCAGCCCCTCTGCTCCTCAGCTCTGAAATTAACCAGCCTTCCCTTTCTGCCTTCTTCATGAACCACCTGCTGTTCTCCAAAGTGTTAGGTGGCAGCTGCGCACACCCAGGGAAATAGATTTCCAGCCTCACTGTGATATTGCTTTAGGAGGGCCTGTGCCACAGTCTGCAGCCTTGGTGTGTACGGGATTAGACAACACGCATCCTGACAAACAGAATCAGCCCTTTCCCATGCAGAGCCTTCCTCCTCATGCATTTTTTGTCCATCCACTGATGCTCCCAATTGTGAGTGATTGCGTGCGGTTACTTTTATGTGCATGATGAAAAGTGCAGGAAAAAAAGGGGGACAGAAACATAACGAGATAAAGCCAGACAAATCGTTCATAGCAGATAGATCTCAAATAATTGCAAGCCAGAAACACTTTCAACAAAAGGAGTATATCCAAGAGGGAATTCATCTGTTGACACCTTTATTCATTTGTGCATACATTCACTTAAAATAAATACTTATTGGTGATCTTCCAGGTACCAGGCACTATGCTGAATCGAGGGGGGCACAGCAGACAATAACTGTTCTCACTAGGCTTACCATCTTGTGGCAGATGCTGACATATGGCCAGATCCTTAGTGTCCTCTGTGTTGAATGCTATGATCTTTGCTATCCTATGGAGAGGATCAGGAAAGCCTTCCACAAGGGAGCCAGGTCTAAGATGAAGTCAGAAAGATCAGTAGGAGTAAGCCATGTGAGAAGGGTGTGTGCATGTGCTTGCATGTGTGCACATGTGGGTGTGGATGGGTGTGCATGGGTGCATATCCACGTGCATCCTTCTGCTGAAGGTGGGAGCTAGAGAAAGGGGTAAAAGATAGTAAATGTAGAGATTCGAGGCAAAGGATTTCTGTAGGAATACAATAAGAAAGGAGATAAGCAATGGCCAGATCACGCAATGCTTTGTAAGCTATGACTCTTGAGCATGGGGAACAGAGAACAGGGGAGTAGGTAAGCTCACTAAGGAGAGAGGCTAAATTGTGAAAAAGGAAGGGGAAATCGGCTAGCCCAGTTTAAGGGACTGAGTCACACCAGTCTTTAAAAGCTCATCAAGGGAAGAACCCAAAAAAGAGGCCGAGGGCGAGCAGCCAGAGGTTAAGAAGAAGCCGTATTTATTGAATGTTTACTCTCAGCCAAGCACCTTGTATGTGTTACTTCCTTTAATCCATACCGAATTCTAGGAAGTAGGCACTATGTTAATTCATACATTATAAATGAGGAAACTGAGGCACAGAGCGGTGAAGTAGCTTGCCCAGGTCACAGAGCTAGTGATTAGCAGAGCCAGGCTTTGAATCCCGGTAGAATGATGGGAGCCTGTGCTCTTGGAAGTCCGTTCCGTACAGGGGAGCATACAGAACGAGACTCTACAGTTCAAAAGAACTGCAGTGAACAGTCACAGATTCATGAAACCCTGGTCAAAGACGGGCCCCAGAAACCACTCTCTCATTTCCAAATGAGGACACTAAAGACCAGCCCTGAATCTCAGAAGATGATCTGGAACCTCTCCTCTCTCAAGTGCTTTCCCATCTTTGGTTATAAGCAAAAGAATAAACACATTTTTCAGAATCCACAAAAGTCATCTTTGAGGAAAAAGTTGGCTACTGTCCTAGAGCTGGTTCAAATCCCCAGTCGAAGAAGCCCAGGAAGCCAGCCAAGAGACCCAATCCCTGCCCCTCACACATACCCCCGGCTCTGCTCCAAAGCTGGGGTTCCCGAAGCAATTCCTCCAGCAACCTTGGGGTGCATTCTTTCACACCTCTGGCAGGATGGATTCTGATTCATGTCACATCGTTATTTCATGTCTGCATTTTGTCCCCTCCTGAGATGGTTGGCCCTTCAAGCCAGGGAACCACGTTCTCAGGGCCTCCTCTATGGTCTTCGCTAGCTCTATTGCAGTAGGTACTTCATACAAGTTTGCGGAGTAAACAAGGGACCCACGCACCCCGGAGGGACAGTCACAGATGATTTCCTCTCATTCCTTCCAAAGCACAAGGTATCTGGCTTCTGGACAGAGCTCTGAAAAGGAGTGGCAGCTGCTCAGTGATGTAGCACCGTCATTGGAGAGGGAGAAACAAAAATTCAGTCTCTCTAAAATAGATGATAAAGGGTCAGGGTTTCACTCTTGGCCAAGGTGGGACACCGCCTCCCCGCTGGAAAGCTCTGCCCTGTGAGCTGGTCTCTGCCATCTTCTTCCCTCTCCCAATCAGGAGCATCACCTGTCATCGGGCTTCACGTTTACTGAACAGTGTGCAACCAGTGATATCTTCGTCTTCTAGCATGTTAGAGACATTTACTCAGGACTTCTCTAAATTAGCTGAGAGATGTGTGCAAGACTGCCTACTGGTAGACAGCTTCATAATGGTTAGACAGCCTGCCAAGGGAAGGCTTCTTCTCAAAGTAACTTGCAAATTAGGGCACTGTGATGGCTCAATAGTCACCTGCTTCCAATGGCTGCCTGTAGCCAAGCAAGAGGTGAGCCAAGTCGTTGACAGTCAGTAGGAGTTACTGCTTAGCATGTGAAGCTACAAGATGCTCACCGGCAAGGGGCTTGTGGAAAGGAAAGACAGCCCTGTTCTCTGCCCTCATGAGTTGCGACTGAAAGCTGAGGTTTCTGCCTTTGCCTCGCTCTGGAGACACCAGCCCGAGATTCGACCTGGGGAAGTGTGTGAGAACCTGTACACCCTTTAGTTCTTGACTTGCTGTGTGTTTTCAAGTGACTTACCTAGATTCTCTGGGAAAGCTGAGGAGGAGAACACCATACCTACTTTGTACTTGGTCAATGCCTTTGAAAATTTTCCCGCATTTTAAATGTTAAAGTTCTTTGGAAGGAGGCAGTGTGTTTACAGAGACAAGCAAGAAGCAGTAGCTCATATTTGACAGTGTGAAAATGACTAACAATCAAATTTGCTGAGTAGCCAGTCCGCTAAAGAACATCGTATCCTGACGCCCTTTCTGCCCGACACACAGACCTCTGCCCTCTCCATTCTTACAGTCTGTTCTTGCAGGAATGAGCCACGGCCTCCCTCCCCTTGTCCTCTGCTGATAGACTTCAATGCCAGGAGCTTTTCATCTAACATCAGACAGCATCATAGGCATCATATAAAAAGGAAGCTGGGAGAACACAACACAACGCCAGGCATTTACCAGCTAACACTTTGCCCACATTCCTCCCTGCATAGCCCCTGGCATGTGGGGTTCTGTAGAGTACAGGATTAGGGGTGCCCATACTGTGGTTCACTTGTCCTACCCCCTTGCATTCTTTCCTCTGCCTATGTTGTGGGCTGTAGCATTTTAATGCCACAAAAGGAAATTTACAGATTTTTTAAAAAATCTACTTAACAGCAGTCTCCTCTTGGAGATGTAAATATTCATAAACATATCAACTCTTCCAGACCCATCACAAATAGAACTGCCAGTGACACCCCTGCTGCCTTAGGCATTGTTCTAATAAGTTAGGAGCCGGGGAGTGGAAGGGGATATTTTTAACTTTACAATTTTTTTTTTTTTCAAAAGCCATTTTAAAGTGCCCTGCTGGGAATGGAGCTGGAAAGAAGCTGTTTTCTGGAAACAGAGAAGGCTTCAAACAGAGCTGTGGGTCAGACCTGAAACGGTGATTGAGACAAGGTGATCATATCTTGCATTTCCATCACACAGACCTCATGGAGGAAACTCAGGAGAACAAAATCTGAACATGGCTTCACGTGGCCCCGTGTGGAAATATGTGTCACCTTCTCCACAGATGGGGCTGCCTCAGCCTAAGCAGCACATGCCACTTTTAGGGGAAACCCCAGAGGGTTGGCAGGACAAGATAGAGCCATGAGTGTTCCTCTGAGTTCATTCAGACAGTCACTGGGGGCATTTCTTCATCGTGATGCAGCTATTCATACTATGGCTTCTCAGCTGGTGTAGCCGCGATTGCATTATCTGGGCATAAGTCTTTGATAAATATGTTTCCTTGATTCGGTTGTTATTTATTATTCAATAATTGTCCTATTAAACTTAAATTAATGGGGTATTTGGGATCCATTCCTGAATGCTTCTTCCACTTGTTTCTGTCAGGGAATTCTGCCGGCTCTTTAATAACACCCAGCTGTGGATGGCACTGCGGCCCACGTGCTCCAGCTGAGGTCTCCCGCAGCTGTACACAGACAGCCTGGCGACTGCTGGCCGTGGGTCACTGTCCATCCATCACTCCGGCTACACTTCTCCACCCCTCCTCCGTCTCTCTGCCACTTCCATCCCCAGCCCACTCCTCAGGGAGCAGCTTGAAAGATTACAGCTCAGAAGCAGACAGGGTGGGAAAAGGAGAAAGGATTTGAGAGAAAATAGTTTCATGAGAAGACAGATAACAGAGTTGTTGAGGCTGTGTTAATTAAAAAGCAGCAATTTGTCTGAGTTCTGAATGTGAAGAATCCCCTGGGAGATGTTAGCCAGGCTTCCTCTGAGAGCCAGACGCCCTCCATTTCTATCTGGCACATGCTATGGCCAGGGCACTGCGAGAGGGTTTCTGCCCTATTTGTCCTTGTCCAGAAACTGAGGATTCCTGGAGGCCCAAGGCCACAGTGCCCACTGCCTTCCTGCCCCACCCTGCCCAGACACTCTCATCGGGCTTGAGGAATCGGGTAAGACGCATGCATGGCTTCCCCAGATGGAATGTCCTGCTGATTCCCTATGGGATGCTAACTCCCCTACTAATACTTACAAAAAACTTGTCCTAGGCCAGGCAATTTCATAGGAGCTTTGCATAATTAATGCATGTTAATTTTTACAACAATCCCATGAGGGATGTACTCTTATTATCTCCATCTTATCAGAGAAGAAACTGAGACACAGGCGTGCATTAACTCAATCGACAAATAGTAACGTTGAGTTTCAAATACAAGCAGACGGACTAGAGAGCAGTTCTGATTAACCACTGTGCTGCATTGGCCATCACAAGGACTATTGACTGCATTAGGAGAGACGCCTAAAACCCCGTATGAGAATGCAGCCAACTCATCATACCACTTAGCGCCAGAAACTACACGCTCTAAATAGACAGAGAGCACCTACTGGATAAAGAGCTGTTCTCAGTGTATTGCAGGTTAATTAATCTTGTGACTTTGTGTTGCCTTGAGAAGAGATGAAAGTCTCTCTTTGTCTGTGCCACTTACTTACTTAGAAACAAAACAATAAAACATTTTTTTCTATGGGTTCATGGTTCTTACTGACAAGATACCCCAGAAGAAAGAACTATACAGTACTAGATAGAGCTGATACAGAGAGATGCTTTGCTGTTATGCCCCAGAGAGACACTGTCTTTCAAGATTGAGGTCTGGAACTCTGTCTTCTCCTGAATTACTCTAAGCTATGGCTCTTTGAAGGTATTTAGGACATGTTTCCCAGAATGCCACTGTACATAATGTGCATTTTGACCATAAAGTGCCAAGCAAGCTAGTATCATTAATAAATTCAGTCAGTTTGAAAGTCTAGTCAATATTACTTTACAAAAGCTCAATAACAGATAAATGTTTTCCATTGATTCAAGACTAGCAGCTTCATTAAGCATTACTATTTATACAAAAATATTTACCAAAAACCTGCTATGTGGCAGACTTCACTCTTAGCACTATGGATACAGCAGGAAATGGCACAAATATCCCTGCCCCTGTGGGGTTTACAATCTAGCTGTTTTCCTTCAAATATGGAACTTCCTGTGAGTGTAACATTGGATTCTATGTGATTTTCAGATTTCCAAGACTATTAATTACATAAAAAGGAACTTACGCATCAGCAAGGGAAGCCCACAGCCATAATCTGAACATAACCTACTCAGGTCAGTTCCTATTGCTTTAGAAGACTCAGTGGCAACTGGAATTGTCACCAGGGAGGAGAATGATCTGTCTACTGAGCAAGCTGTCTCTTATCGCGGGCAGCCTGGGGTAGTGGAGTGAGCCCTGGACTTGGAATTGGAAGATCTGACACACCTGACCTCCCACTCACTAATCACGTGACCTTTCAGTAAGCAACTTGACTTCTATGGCCCTTAGTGTCTTCGTCTGTAAAATGAGGAAGAATAATACCCATCACATCTATTTGAATGTTAAAAAATCCAAAGCAAAGCAAAACAAAAGAGAAGTTGATCGCAGATGAGGAAATGCTTGGAATTCATGAAATTGCATGTAAATGTGAAGTGCTAATATCAATGACATGAGGTGTACATAGAGTGTGATAAATATGGGCAGTCTTATAATCTGATTTGTAACCCGTCACCGTGCAGGACAGAGTCCTCCTGGAAGCTGGTTTCACTCCCGTGCTGTGCTCTCCACCTGTGAGGGCTTCTTTATGTGTCAGCTCAGCTAGGCTGAACGGCAGCCCCCAGAATCCACATTCTAGTGTATTTCCAGTTAGCTGGGCTGCCGGGGAGACCCCCTCAGGAGGGTGGGAGGGCAGTAGCTGCCTCTCTAGCATGCATGCCTCTTCTCTCAGTTATTCAGCCAAACGCTGATCTAGGTGCTCCTGTACAAGGATTTTGTAGCTAAGGTGGAAATCCCTCACCAGTTGACTTTAAATTAATCCAAAGGGAGATTGTCTTCTGTGGGCATGACTTAACAAGTTGAGAGTCTGTAAATGAGCTTAGCCCTTCCCTGAGGGAGAGATTCTAAACAGCCCCTGGGCCAGCACAGCTCTCCTTCTTCCAATCCTTCCTTCCTGGCTGCCACTTTTAGACACTCAGCTTTAGCTCCTGCCCATTCTAGTTTGTTCATGGTCTTCCTCTCCTGACTGTCCACCCTAAGAACTTTGGTCTTGTGTAGCCATCATCTGCAATGGGGTAAACCATTCCTTGCAGTAACTTTATTCATATACACATACACCTTCTCTGATTGTGCTACTCTGCTTGAACCCTGGCAGAGACACATCCTACCTTGCTTGTCCAGGTAATGAGCTTGCCTGTAATGAGCAAATTATTTCTACCCATGGGTGTTCTTATGGTTAAAGAAAAGTTGACCTCAGTTTCCAAGTCCCTTTGGAAGACACAAGCATCTGGCACATTACATGCTGGGGGAGTGGTCTGATGAAATGAGCCAATTTATAATGTAAAAATCAATAAGGAATAATGAGGTGGAGCCCAGGGAGGACTTGCTTTGGAGTCCTAATTTCCATGTCCTACCACTCAGAACCATGCCATGGGCTCACCATTTCCTGGATGTAGGCCTCCCTTCTTAGGATTTAGTTTCACATTGCAGTGTAAAACTAAATGGTCTACCAGTTTCTTCTTCTTCTTCCTTTTTTTTTTTTTTCAGTGCATTTTGTCCTGAACAATCAAGATAGATGGCCAGCTCAGGTAAGTTTGTGCAACAATCCCAGAGAAAGAAGCTCTAAATCAATCTATTGGGGAAATATTAATGCTCTCATTAGGAGGCTTAATTATTCACATCAGCCTCTGCTTCTTTTCGTGACAGTAATTCCATTTCTGACTTCAGAGCAATTGCTCTTCTCAAACTTGCGAGACACCCAACAGGTGCTCTCTGTCCCCAGAATGTTAAAATATTTTGCATACAGCCAGAAGAGATCCATCTCAGACCAGCCTTGCCTCCTCCTGTCCCTCCTCCATGTGTGTACATACACACACACACACACACACACACACACCTCTCAAAGCTTATGCCCTCTGAATATTCAGACCAAAGCTCATAACTTCTCCCATGCACACTCAGACTTACATTCCCATCTTTTTCCCATTCGGACTAATAACAATGGAAACAAACCCACACATATTGATTTCTCTGTGCCAAGCACTGTTTAAAATGCTTTAAATATATCAACGGGTGTCTAGCGTCTGTGAAGTAGTACTATTTTATTACCCGTATTTTACCAACAGGGGAACTGAGACACAGATGATCTGCATCTTGCCTGAAGTCTCCCAACCGAAAAAAGGAAGAGTGAAGCAGTTAGAGTCTGCACCCAGACATTCCAGGGCTGCAGCCCCTGAGCTTCATCATTAAAGCACCCCTTCCTGTTCAGGGTACTCACTACACTATGCTTCTCTTCTGCATGCCTTCCAGGAGGTTTTGCTGGGTTTTTGTTTGTTTGTTTGTTTGTTTTTTAGCCCTCTACCATTCTCACTTGCCTGCCCCACTCCTCGGTTCACACATCTCCCCAGCAGCACATGGCTATCTCTTGATGACCATTGGGAAAGAAGGCATCATGTCGACATAGGACAAGACTGGCATTCTGTATTTTTTCTTGTAAGCCTCTCCCCACAACCATAACACAAAGCTCAAATGTCTTCTAGGCAGCCCAAGCCCTTCAGCATCCTCCCACTGACACCGCACAGAAGACAACATTTCAAATCCTGTACAAGGATTCTGTGGTGTTCCTCTCTCCACCGCCCAAGCCTGCATTTTCCAGATGGACAGCTCTGCTGCAGGCACTTCAGTATCAGAAGCAAATATACCCCAAACAGCTTTTTGTCATGCACTTGTCTTTCCCTAGAGCTCTGCCTCACCTTACAGAGTCAGCGGGGAGGAGATAAACCCCCAGGGGTTCAACAAAGCAAAGCTTCTTTAGAATTTGTGGGGATTTCAATTCTGGCTAAACCACCAGGTTCATACCCTCAGGGGACATCACAAAGAGATTTGAAGATTTTATACTAAGGCAGTTTTTTTCCCCCTTTGATTAAAATACACCAAAAACACTGTTCTGATGAGTAGGACATTAATTGAATACCCTATTTCCAAATAAACTAAGGGTTTTGGAGAGTTGGAGAATTATAGTTAGGACGAATAATGATGAGTTTCAAATACATGAAGAGCTCTCCAGCTAAAATTAAAATAACCAGCAACTAAATCAAGTGAAACAGACCAGCATTATAGAATAATCATTTGAGGTCACTCCATTATTCAATAAACATATTTTTTAACCTGAGTCTATGGTGTGCCTGTCACTGTGCTAGAAACTATACTTGATGAACAGGACTAAAGAGGTCACTGCCCTCATAGAGCTTAGATTTGGGCAGAATGCTGGGAAGCATATCTTGACACTGTCTGCAGGAGACTTCATGTCCACGTGCTTCATACTTTAGGGGACATCTGCCCTTCACCGCCAGCCCAGTGTCCCTTATTTTGTCCATGGCACCTGGATGTTGCCTTTAGAGAGCAACCTCTATGTCCAGATCAGTTCTGCTGGCTCTGGAGCCAGGCATGTGGGCCAGTCCCTTTGAGAACACTGTGTGTCCTTGGGGATAGTGATTGTTTCCCAGATGAGCAGGTGGCCAAAGTCAAGCAATGAGAGCCACCCAGCCACATGAGACTTTGACTCCTGGATTTTCCAAATGGTTGGAAGTGAGCCATGATCTGCTAGACGCCAGCACATGGGGAACCTGCCAAGACTGAGGGCAACAGAGTGGAAAGCAGAGGCCTGAGCCCAGGGATGGAGAGGATCCTAATTACACCATTTGAGCCCCTGAATCCAGTTATTCTGAAGTCAGTTCTTCTTAGAGACTTTTGAGATATCTGAATTAAACCTCCCTCACTTTTTCACTCCCTTGAGTCATTTTGAGGTGGTATTCTATTCATTGCAACCACAACAGGTCTTGACTAACAACAGTTAAGAATTTCATTCATTTTCAGCTGGCCTTTGAACAGGAACATCTCCATCTGCTGTGTTTATGACACATCTTGGTTGGACTCCCAGTTCATCATTCACCAGATTTGGGACCCTGATCCTTAGTTCTTTCACCTCTACACTGGTGATAATGTCAGAGCCTTCTTTCTAGGTTTGCTGAAAAATGCCTTGAGCTCATGATGGAGACTGCTTGGCACAGTGCCTGGCACATGGTAAGCCCTCAACGCATGGCGTGCATTGTGATTATGATGATCACGGTCATTATCATAATCATCATCATAAACATCCCAAACCCTCTCTTGGCTCCATGCCCTTCCCTCTTGTAACTGCCTTGTTTCTCTGCTCTCTTTAACAACAAAGCTCTTCGTAAAAGATCACATATGCTCTCTGATTTGCACTTTTTACTTTCTGTCCCCTGGTTTCCATCCACTCCAGTCAGGCTCTGTTCCCATTTTGCGATTGAAATTTCTGTTGTCAAGATCACCTAGGAATTCCCCCATGCAAAAAACAATGATGAAATTTCCTCTTATTCTATTCAGTGCCTTTTAGCACAGATGACTCCTTCTTCCTCTTGAAGCACTTTTCTCAACTGGCTTCTGGGAAAGCACGCTCCAGGCTTTTCTTCGACCTAACCTCCATCGTCTGTCTCAGTCTTGGCTGGTTGTTCCTCCTCATCCAGATCAGCTCTCCCTCCCTGCCTCATCTCACTGAGTTCGTGCCCAGGAAAACCACTCATTCCTAATGGCTTTGGGATACACACCTCTATTCCCAATCCCTCTTCTCAAGTCCTTCAATCTAACCATCCACATGGCAACTTCACTTGGATGTCCAACAGCGCCCTTAAATATGCATAATGAGCAAAACTGACTTTTCCTTTTCACCACCACTCTCTTCCCCTGAAATCTGCTCCCTTTCATGGGGTCTCAATCTTGGTAAACACCATTGCCATTCTTACTTTCTCAGGCTAAAACCCTAGATGTCATCTTTGATTCTTCTCTTTTCCTGGTCACCCTTCAGCAGGCACTGTAGGCTCTGGCTTCAGGTTTATTCCAAATATGAGTCTATATCATTTTCCCCACCTTTCCCACCTGAGTCCAGGCATAGGACCACTGCAGCAGGCTCTGACTGGCCCTGCTCTCATCATGTTGGCCCTCTTATACATTGACAGATCAGCTCATACTTCTGTCACCTCAAAACCTCTGGTGGCTTTCTATTATACCTGTCATCAAACCCAAACTTCTTAAAAAGTCAGATGGCATTTATGTCATATGTGGCACCTGCACCCTTTTCTAACAGTCACTTGCAGACTCTATCTCCTTGTCTGTCCCTTGTCACTGTACCCCAGCCACACTCAGTGTGCACCAGGAGTCTCCAGAAGTGCCACACTGGAACCAGGCTCAGAGCTTTTGTTGCTGCTGTTACTTTTGCCTGGAACACTGCTCTCCCAGGGCTGCTCCTCACAGAGGCTTCTCATTATTAACTTCATCTATTTGTTGTCTGCCTTTACTGGTTGGGCACATCATCACAGGGGCATAGACGAAACACTTACAGGAATTTAAAATCAACAGGCAAAGATGATTTCGATTTAACCATCAGAAATGGGGACACTTCTCAGTCTGCTCTCTCCTCATAAAGCCTTAGAGAGTCCAACTGCCTCTTCTCAGCCTAGTGTGGAGACCTGAAGTTGAGAAACATACTTCCAAGTGGCGAGATCCTGTGAAGGAGCTGCCTTTACTATACAATGCTGCCTCCATGATACTTCCAAGTGGTGAGACCCCATGAAGGAGCCACCTCTACTGTACAATGCTGCCTCCATGATACTTCCAAGTGGTGAGACTCCATGAGGGAGCCGCCTCTACCATATAATGCTGCCTCCATGATACTTCCAAGTGGTGAGACCCCACGAGGGAGCACCTCTATCGTACAATGCTGCCTCCATGATACTTCCAAGTAGTGAGACTCCATGAGGGAGCCACCTCTACTGTACAATGCTGCCTCCATGATACTTCCAAGTGGTGAGACTCCATGAGGGAGCCGCCTCTACCGTACAATGCTGCCTCCATGATACTTCCAAGTGGTGAGACCCCATGAGGGAGCCGCCTCTACCATATAATGCTGCCTCCATGATACTTCCAAGTGGTGAGACTCCATGAGGGAGCCACCTCTACCATATAATGCTGCCTCCATGATACTTCCAAGTGGTGAGACCCCATGAGGGAGCCACCTCTATCATACAATGCAGCCTCCATGATACTTCCAAGTAGTGAGACTCCATGAGGGAGCCACCTCTACTGTACAATGCTGCCTCCATGATACTTCCAAGTGGTGAGACCCCATGAGGGAGACGCCTCTACCGTATAATGCTGCCTCTATGATACTTCCAAGTGGTGAGACTTCATGAGGGAGCCGCCTCTACCGTACAATGCTGCCTCCATGATACTTCCAAGTGGTGAGACCCCATGAGGGAGACGCCTCTACCGTATAATGCTGCCTCTATGATACTTCCAAGTAGTGAGACTCCATGAGGGAGCCGCCTCTACCGTACAATGCTGCCTCCATGATACTTCCAAGTGGTGAGACTCCATGAGGGAGCCGCCTCTACCATACAATGCTGCCTCCATGATACTTCCAAGTGGTGAGACCCCATGAGGGAGCCACCTCTATCGTACAATGCTGCCTCCATGATACTTCCAAGTAGTGAGACTCCATGAGGGAGCCACCTCTACTGTACAATGCTGCCTCCATGATACTTCCAAGTGGTGAGACTCCATGAGGGAGCCGCCTCTACCGTATAATGCTGCCTCCATGGTACTTCCAAGTGGTGAGACCCCGTGAGGGAGACGCCTCTACTGTACAATGCTGCCTCCATGATACTTCCAAGTGGTGAGACCCCATGAGGGAGCCACCTCTACCATACAATGCTGCCTCCATGATAATTCCAAGTGGTGAGACTCCATGAGGGAGCCGCCTCTACCGTATAATGCTGCCTCCATGGTAAAAGAGAGAATATTTAAATATTTGGTGTTCAAATGACTCAAAAGGCCCAGTTATCATGGATTGGGAGGAAGGGAAGCAAAACAAACTGGGAGATGGAGGGGGACAGAGAATGATTTATAAATGATTGTTATTCTATATGTGATATCTAATAAAAAGTCATCCGTGGTCATTCCTAAACATCTGATGTAAAATTGATTGTAATTTCATAAACTACTGTGTGGCCCTAAAAGGAAAAATGAGTGACTGAGAGGCTCAGTGAACATGAATACAGAATGATTAGCTTCATAAACATCTGAATCCATACCTGCTTAGAGTCTCTGGGGAATTGGAAATCAATCAGGTAAGCCAGATCAATGCTAAATCTCTCCCCAGATTCAGTAAATCTCTAATCGTGGAGAGAATGTCTCTTTTTATGAAAACCAAAATAAACCAGGACACATTTAAATCTACTGTAAAATTAACTAGTTATTTCAGAATTCCCCAAAATTAAAAGTCTGGGGAAGAAAGTCTATTTTTACAGATGAAGCAACATTCCTCCAAACTCAGTTTAACTGAACTTTATCCTACATCTATGATGTTATTACCTGATTAATTCAGCCTGATTCTAATCACATTTAATCTCTGCCAAGCCCTCAAGCATGTGCAGTACTCAGATGGTTTTCTATTAATTTTTAATCACTATGTATGGTTCCGTAAGTGTAAAATCTCATTCATGGACATTGTTTTCTTTGTGAAACAGATTCTCAACTCCTCGAGGGGAGAGACATTAGGTGGCTTACTTATTTATTTAATTTATTTATTTTGAGACGGAATTTTGCTCTTGTTGCCCAGGCTGGAGTGCAATGATGCAATCTTGGCTCACCACAACCTCCGCCTTCCGGGTTCAAGTGATTCTCCTGCCTCAGCCTCCCGAGTAGCTGGGATTACAGGCATGCACCACCACACCTGGCTAATTTTGTATTTTTTAGTAGAGACGGGGTTTCTCCATGTTGGTCAGGCTGGTCTCGAACTCCCGACCTCAGGTTATCCACCCGCCTTGGCCTCCAAAGTGCTGGGATTACAGGCGTGAGCTGCTGTGCCTGGCTAGGTCGCTTACTCTTTTATCCTTTGTCTTTAATTTTATTTGACCAGGGTTCTGTTCCTTAGATGTAGGTAGGTAGGATCACATGTGAAATACTTGGCTCCAGAGTCTAAGGGAATACCTCTTACATAACCTCTGTTGCCAGGAGGGCCAATGTAGATCATAGATTGGCATGGGGTTTGATTCAGAATTGTCCAAGGCCAAAGGCTGCTGGATTTGGTGCCCACTCCCTTAATCAGGTCAGCTGGCGGCTCTTCGACTGATTGCCCAGTTCCAGTCTCTGCCCTTCCTGTCCTGCTCTGTGCCTTGGAGACTCTGCTGTCTGCAGATACCACCACCCCAGCTTCCCTTGCCTTCTGCTTCTGGGTGGGTGTGGCCAGTAGAATTCTCCAGTAGGACATGGGAGGTGGAGGACAGAGTTTGAGGTCCTATCACCCAGCTCCTGTCAGGCAGCTCCACTTGCAAAGCTATAGCCTGCCCCTGTCCCTAGCAACTGGTCTGCTATTTGCCCTTTTTTCAAAGGACAGAAATGACTCCCACTGTTGCTAGTCACCATCACATGCGTCCTGTGAACTCTGCCCACACCTCTGTCATCGTCCCTTCATTGCACATCCTTCTGTTCAATCCATTGGGTTTTCTGCATGACCCTCTCAAGTCCTTAGTACTCTCAGGGGCACAATGAGGGGCACCAGACAAAAATGTGTGAACTCCTGCAGTGCCAGAGACAAAGTTCCAGGTGTTTGCAATATAAAAAATTAATTAAACACCCTATCTTTTCTAACCCTGTACATCTGTTTTCTTTAGAACACATCATAATATACTTTATTTTTACTAGTGCGTTATCTGCCTTCCGCACTAGACTAGGAATACCTCCAGGGCTAGAGCTATGTCTGTTTTACTCAATGTATTTCCAGCTCCTGGCCAGTACCTGGCACAGAGCTTGTTTACATTTGTAAAGCTCTTGGAGAATTTTAAACTGAGTGGTAAAGCCAGGCAAATAATTAACTATAATATAATGTGACAAATGTTTGAAAGTAGCATTATTAAAGTTATCAAACCATAGAGGAGGAGGAAGGGTTTGATTCTTCCTTGGTTGCGTAAAGACTTCAGGAAAGAAATCACCGAGAGGTGACACATGACGTGGAATTTAAAGGATGAGTGAAGTTCCCCAGAAAGAAAGTAGCAAAAGGAGAGCAATTCCAGGTACAAACAGCATCAGAGATGCAGGAGAGCATGGTGTGTTTGCATGTTTGCAGACTGGGGCGGGGGCACGCGGGGTGCATCCTGATACACACAGAGACATGGGGATTCCAGCAAGAGCTCAGATAAATGGGGCGGGCAGGTGTCACATCGAGCATGCCACCCACTCCTCAACCAGTTAGGGACTCTCTCCCTGTGTCCACTTCTGTTTTATGATGCACCTCCTAGAGCCTAGAGTATCAGAAAGCAGCTAGTCCCGCTCCCATCAGGGCAGCTCTGGAGGGACCAGGCATCTCGGAGCACGCTGGCTAAATCAGGTAGTGAGCGCGGCTCCCCACGCCTGGGTTTTCGCTTCTCCTCTGTGCTTCTCGGCACCTCCCAGTAGAGGCCAGTAGTCTCATTTACACTTTTTGCCCAGCTTAACATCAACTGCTGAGAGTCTATACATAACCTAAGTATTTTAAGGATAAAAATAATCTGGCAAGATGACTTTACAGTCAATAGATAGAAGTAACTTGCTCTTCAGGAGAAAAATGAAGCCTGAAGTGTGAAGATGCCCACAGGGAGGGTTCCAAGCTTGCCTCACTGACCTAGGCTGCCGCCACTGGGCTGGTAACTAAACCAGAAAATGAGAATTCCAGGGAAACTTTGCTCTAAGCTTCAGGCTTATGGTAACTTTGCAAGGACCTTTATCTTTTGTCATTGAAACAAATCAAATTTTCCTCCAGGACTACCTTGTGGATTTCCAGCAGGCTGACTCCATGGTCCGAACATTGATTTTGTGTGTTATCATTCAGAGATCAAGGCAGTAATAGCACAGACCAGTACTAGGGACCTATCTAGAATTGTATTGCCACCTTGACATTTCTTATCTTACAGATAAAGCTCAAGGAAGACATCTAAAGGGTTTCTGGTCCCAGAGCCTTTGTACTCAAAGGATCTGCGGATTCTTTCATCTGGTGGTTCTTAGAGTGTGATCCACAAATCTCTAAGACTGCCCAAGACCTTTTAGGGAGGTCAGAACTATTGTCAGGATAACATTAGGACATTATTTGCCTTCTTCACTGTGTTGATATTTGCACTGATGGTGCAAAAGCAGTGGTGGGTAAGATGGCAGGAGCCTCAGGCATGGACAACCCCAGCACACAAAGCCCATTGCATGAGTAGTCACTGCACTCTTCACCTCCGC
This sequence comes from Homo sapiens, assembly GCF_000001405.40. Classification (NCBI taxonomy): domain Eukaryota; kingdom Metazoa; phylum Chordata; class Mammalia; order Primates; family Hominidae; genus Homo; species Homo sapiens. The sequence goes on from NC_000011.10 coordinate 133,059,528, forward strand.
ACGCTTGCAGGGAAACCCAAACGCCAGTTTCACTTAAGAATGCCCTCATTAAACAAAGAAACACTTGATTTTATTACATTTCAAATCTTGAGTACACATTTTTAAAACTTTGCCTGGTGAGATGGAAGGGTCACCCAGAACACTTCTGCTGCACAACCAAGTAGTATGATTGTCTCAAGAAAACATTCTTTTGTTTGAGTTGCAAGCTGAGCTAGCCACTGTTTTCATGGAGCACAATATGTGCTTGAAAGAAGGATGGACGATGTGTTATTATTAGACTTGGGTACTTGGCAGCCATTTTCTCAAAAGGGAATGAAATTAGTCAGTTGTTTCATGGAAACCAACTCACAGTATCCACTGCCAGTGTTCAAATGTGAGCTTTCAGGTAAAGAATAGAATTTTGGAAAACTTTAATCAGCTACTATTATCTTTACAGCTGTTGATACTCCATCTTTTCTAGTGAGATCTGTGGTGATGTTCAGGCAAAAGACAGGATTTCAAATTCTAGATTTGCCACAAACTTTCCATCAGATATTTTAAGGCCGTTCCTTTCTCTGGATCTCATGCTACTAAACTTCAAAAAATGGAATTAGAATAAAGGATTTTTTAGGTCACTTCCAAATCTTATTCTCCTCTCCCTCTCCCTCTCCCTCTCCCTCTCCTTCTCCCTCTCCCTCTCCCTCCCCCTCCACCTCCTTCTCCCCATCCCCTCAGGATTCACAGCTTCTAAGCTTCTAATTCAGGAAGAGTATTTACTACTGGTGTAAAGAGAGAGAACACAGAAGCTGTTAGAAGGGAATGATTCCTTCTGTCCTTCATTTTCACTGAGCACTGTACCAGCAGAACCTCTAAAATATAAGCATCTGACACAATAGCCGCATGCTGTTACATATAGTCACATGTAGAAGACAGTTCTCCACCCTTAAAACACACCTCAGTGCCTGCGTGCAGGTCTAGGCTCAGACCTGTCTGTCCCACGCTCAGGACAAAGTCACCCCTAAGGTCAGAGAGAGACAGTAGGTGCAGGCAGGGTGTGGAGGGGAGGGGCAGCCACCAGGCCTTGGCTCCCCAGGTCCCTGCTCCTACTGTGGCTGCATGACAGGACCTGCCAGGTGAGAAAACAGGCCTCTTATTGGGAAGGCAGGTGCCTCATTCAAGATTCTACGTTTTCCTGAAGGGTGCTGAGAAAGCCTTAGAGCAACTTAGAAGTCAAGCCCACCTGGAGGGCTGGGAACGCTGCACACAGCAGCCCCTGGCTAAACACTGCTGACTGGGCAGCTGGCTGCATGCAGAGATGACAGGCTCACCAAACCCTACGTGGGCATCAGCCAGTGGGCCCATTGCCTCCAGGGCTGCAGAGACTGCTTTTCCAAGTTTGCCCCCCTCAACAAGATCACTTTTGCCTCCACTTAACTTTTGCTATAGTTGAATTTCCTTAAAGTGTGTCTAAGAGGGATGCGAGCTAAAGAAAGAAAAAGGATAATAGTTTTTGTTTGATTTTATTTTCATGTTTATTTTTAGTGTTGGGGAGTGTCCCTATGTTGCTCAGGCTGGTCTTGAACTCCTGGGTTTAAGCAGTCCTCCTGCCTGAGCCTCCCAAACTGCTAGGATTACAAGAGTGTATCACCACACCCAAGAAGAATGACAGTTTTGTTTGAAGCTGATCATTTTGGTTGACTGCAAGAAGATAATCCTTTGTGTTAATTTCTTCTCTGTTTAAAACTGTCTACGTCTCCAAAAAGCTGGGGAACTATTGGCAGACTCCAAAGGATTCTACCTCTTCCTCTTCCTTTCCTTTACAGTCTGCAAAGCCTGCAGTCACAAAGAACTAATTCTGCAGTGGATGTGTTTTGCTTCCTCACATCTGGATATGGGGAGAAGGGAAGTGGGAAGTGGGGATGGGGCTGCAGGCATGGGAAGAGCCCTGGAGATGGAAAGGAAATATCCTTGTGGGACTAAATTGCATTCACCATAATAAACTATCACCTTGAAATGAGTGTTCCAATTGAGTTTTGATGTAAACACTAATATTTTCTTCACTCTGCTATTCTCTTCTGAGCTCTCATGTATATTTCACCACGTGTCCTACCTAGTCTTACACTCATACATCAAAGGATTGAGGGCAAGGAACCTGATTTTGAAAACATTATTCTTTTAAAGATTTATCCTCTCATCTTGACCACCTCCTTAGCTGGAAGGGAGAAGTTCTCCATAATTTATTTTAATGTGCTATGCAAAAGGGATCTTCTCATCTCTTCTTTCAAAAACTTTTCCGCAAGTCAGATTAGACAGGGCCCTCAGTTCCATTTCGTTTGTTTTCCATCCAAGCACACTTAAGTGCATGCATAAATGGGACACTAAACAGAAATTGAGGTGGGGGTGGGGGCTGAAAAGTTTGAGAATTTCATGGAAACTTTTGAGGAAGCCCATTGGATGGGGGCATAGGGTCTTGTTTAGCTACAAAAGGTGACACCAACTTTGGTTTTAGAATAAATTTCCTAGCACTGGGTGTAAAGACACCTTTCCTAGTGAAACTGTTAGCCTGGCCTAAGCTCTGTGTCATTCCAAGGGTATATGTTGTGCTAATCTCCATTATGCTCAAAGCTGCAAGTTTCCAGAGTCCACAGTGTCAGGGAGGAAAGCACAGGAGCAGCTTGCATCAGACTCCACCCGTAACACCAGACTCTACCGCAAATGTGATTCTAAATTTCTCACCCCAGATACCTGTCCTTGCCTCTGCCAGACTGGACAGACCCGAGTGAAAGGAAGTCCATGAATCCCCGCTGCACTTCCTTATCTTAAATCTCTCAGGTCCTTTTACCACCTGCATGTAGGCAAAATCGGTGTCTTCTCGAGCCTTTTCTGTTCAATTCTGACTGGCGTTACCACTATTGACAAATACTGCTGAGTAGTTTTCCAAACATTTTTAATTTGCAAATGATATCATTTAATAGAACCGAGGCTCAAGAGTCCTCCTTGCTCATAAAACATTAGTTTCCAGCTTAATGTCAAGGATTTTGGTAAAGGTCTTGGTTCAGAACGTTGCACCCTGCTTAGGTTCCAACCCTTCATCCCTCCTTTCCCTACAGATGAGATCTTCTGAGCCCTGCTTGTAGATTTAATGCGTCACCGCACCCAAGACTGCCTGAGCGGCATCCTTGGAGACCCCACTGCCCACTCTTGCTGCCAGTTCAGCTTCCATCTCCTGTTCCAGCTGGGGTTTAGGGCTGCCTCAGCAACCCTGTCATTGATCCCAATCCTGATCACTGGACCCAAGCATCGTTCCCGCCCCTGAGCCTCTGCCTTGCCAAGCTGTACTCCACAGCAGCCTCCCTAGGAATGGCTTTCTGCCTTGCTCCAGCACTGCTGCATGCAGCCAGCCGGCAGCTGCAGCGCTGGGGACTGATCTGAGGTACCTCTGCAAGACACCACTGTCTGTAAAGACAGCCGCATCCTCCTTGTGCCTGTCCAGTGCCTCCCATGGCCGGGGGCCAGCATGGGGCTTTGGGGTCATGGAGTTTTCCCGTTGTATTCCAGTCATTGTCTCAGCACGTGCTGTGAGTTCTACCGGTCAGTCCAGAGACCAGCCTTCGCAGTGTAAGTTTAGTTCCTATTCTGTCCCTTCCTATCTCTTTCTAGGGGCTCCAGTCTATAAGAGTTACCCAGAGTGGTACAGGCTCCGAGTGAGAACAGACACATGTCATACAACGGCGGAGAGAAGCAACCAGAGGGCTGGTCCCCTGGGCCACGGCTAGCCCTCAGGGATGCCTTTTCCAGCCTCCTGTCTCCTTCTTAAACCCAACAGACTAGACAGCCTCCCATGGGGTCAGAAAGGAGGAAAGCCACGTTGTGCTCTTAGAAAAGGTCCCAGGGAGCCACATTTCGTGGGCTCTGCAGTGGTGTGCCTGCACTTCAGACTGTGAAGCGGCTGCCTTCGAACCTATTTTTATAGGATGTGAATGATGACTTTGGGTCCTATTAATCTGCCGCAAGGTTTTATTCAGTCTCATGGTCAGAAAAGGTCATTTACAGAGCTGTTGGTTTTTTTTTTCGGAGGGAGTTTTGCTCTTGTCACCCAGGCTGGAGTGCAATGGCTTGATCTTGGCTCACTACAACCTCCGCCTCCCAGATTCAGGCCATTCTCCTGCCTCAGCCTCCTGAGTAGCTGGGATTACAGGTGCCCGCCACCATGTCCTGGTAATTTTTGTATTTTTAGTAGAGACGAAGTTTCACCATGTTAGCCAGGCTGGTCTTGAACTCCTGACCTCAGGTGATCCACCCACCTTGGCCTCCCAAAGTGCTGGGATTACAGGGGTGAGCCACTGAGCCCAGCCCCGGTTGGTGATTATTAATACCAGCTAGATCTTCAAAGCCATTCCTGAATTGAGAACGATTTCATGGGTGTTTTTGTGAAACGGGCTAGCTGTCAGCCGGGATTGATCACTTGACTGTGTCAGTTGCAGACAGGGCTGGAAGATATGGCTTTAATTTTCTTTCTTTCTTTCTTTCTTTAACCACAAAACAAAACACAAAACTGTTTCCTCAAGCCCCTTGTATTGGGGCCTATTGCAGGTGAAGGGGGCTGACCAAAGGAAGGAGGTGGCGCTGATCCAGAGGAGGCTGAGTGAGGGGTGGAGCGGAGCCCAGCCGAGGGAGGGAAGGAGAGGAACGCCGGCCCACTAGCCGACCCCAGCGCAACCCAGCGCGGTTCCCAGACGCTGCCGGGTAACTGATGCCGCCGGCACAGCTTCTGTTCTCACTTGTGGAGCTTTGTCTCCCCTCGCTGGGCAGCCCCTGGTACCGCAACCCGCCTGGCCGCCTTCCCGGCTGAGGCCCCCGGGCAGAGCTCCTCCGCAGGGAGCATTCCCGTGGACAAACACCCCTTTCCCTGGTAGCTGTGGCAACAGTTGATCTGTGGCAGCGGACCAGGAGGAGGGTCAAATGGGAGAAGGGACGGCCAGCTGGTCCTACCAGAGACTGTCGCTGGCGTCCTCAGGGGCCGCTGCAGGGCCACCTTGTGTGCTTGCCCTTTCCCCACGGTAGACTGCCCCGGGAGGGGGACTGTGCTGCCTGAATTCTTGTCCGGGTGGGACTGGCCTCGGTGAAGGATCCGGGAATGGGACTTCCGGGCCGGGCCGGAGGGGAAGTGTCAGGAAGAGCTCAGGCTTTAGCGAGCCTGGAGGGAAGGGAAGGCTGAGGTCTCCTCTGCCTCCGCAGCCACACGGCCCGGCGCGGGGCGGGCCGGCAGTAAACCTAAGAAGGCTTTATTCATTTCCTGGAAACGTTTCCTGGAAGCCTGGCATGTGCTAACGATACAACATTGAACAATACAAAGGTCCCTGACACGGAGCTTACGTTGCGTCCACCAGGTAGACAGGACACATACAAGATATGAAGCATAGTACATGTTTAATCTGGATGAGAAGAGGAGAAAAATAAAACAAGGAGGGAGAGGCGACCTGTCAGGGGCCAGGGTGGGGTGAGTGGAAGAAACGGTGTCCCTGACAAGGTGCCTGGTGGCCTCACCCGGAGGAAAGCACGGTGCAGAGGAAACGGTTCAGTCTGGTGCTTGAAGCCCCAGGACCCCCGAGAGAGCCGGACCTGGACGAGCATGAAGTCCCGCAGGAGGAAGGCGGCCCAGAGCCTTGGAAAATCCATCTGTGCTGAGCCTGGGCTGGGCTGCTTCACTGGGGCCTCCGGGGGCAGGATCAGCCCTGGAAAGGGCACTTTTAAACCACGTGTGCAGATGCCCACCAAGGGAACAAGGTCAGAAGGAGCCATGGCTCCAGAAGGGGTGCCGATGACGTGGCCCCCGGGGTTGGAGATGCACACCCCGCCACTGCCTGTGCTCCAGGGCAGAGGCACCTGCCCCCTAGCCAGACTTGCTTCGGAGATGGGTCGTCTCCAAGGCGCTGCCTGGAGACAAATGTGCCCCAGAGCCCAGCAAGGGCTGTAAACAAGCCGTTGTTACACGATATTGCCCGTGTGTAGGAAGGGCATCGCTTCTTTCCCTCAGTACAGTGGACACACCTGGCTCTAGCGGGCACACGCGGCCAACCTCAAGGCAGTGCTCTCTGGTTTGCCACAGTCTCACATTTGTCTGCCCAGACACGTAACTGGGACCTCAAGGGCCTTCTGTCAGCCTTGCCCTGGGATATCTCCTCCGTGTGGACAGGGTGCTTCACTTGGACTCACTGGATGGGACTTGAACACCTGCAGAGTTAAAGCTGAAACACTACCTGGGTCATTTTGGCCAGAGTGTGCACAGACCCGCAAGCACCCGAGGCTCCTGCTGCTGCGCACGCTTCCTGCCAACGTTCCCTTGCCCGAAGCTCCCTCCTCTCCCGGCTCCACCCATCACACTACTGAATCCCGATACAACACGTGCTGCTCCATCCTGCCTGTCCACACCTCTTTCCTGTGACTCTCCTCCCTCCCGGGAGTGCGCACGTCTTCATTCGTCCATCCCCTCCTGACATGAGAAATGCCATCCTCTGTGGGCCTGAGAACCTTGGTGCCCGCAACATCTGATCTCCTTAGAGTGCTAGAACAGAGCCGCCTGCCCAGGACCCTCAGGCCAGCAGCACCCTGCCCGCCTCTGCCTGCCAAGGAGGGACCATGGCCTGGGTGGTTAAGGGAGTGGGACCCTGGCTTGCCTCATGTCCACTCCTGCCAATGGCCACTCCCCTTTCAGAGGAAACCAACTCTACAACCAGTTAACAGACTAGGAATTTAAACCACAGCCACTTCCCCAATTGCAGAAACATTACTTCACCTCTCAGAGTAATGGACCAGCAATGCTGAAGACGCCTTTAAAAAAATGCCAGTCTCACTGCGCCCTCTCCTCCAACCTCCCCTTTCATAGAAGAGGTTGCCAAAGTCTAGGGAGAGTACTAGGACTTGAAGGAGGTTCCTTGTTAGTTCAAGGAACCAAACTCTGGTCCTGACTTGGGTCCTGCAATATTTTTATTATGCCAGGCGAAATCCAATTCCCAGTTCTGACTACGGTATCCAGCAACAACTAAGTCATTCTATGTCCTGGTGCAAGTCATTGGAAGACCCTGAGGCTCAAATCATCTGTCATATGAGGCTGCCACCTCGTGTTCTGTCTCCCATGTCCCTGCGAAGTTGTTGTTTGTTGTTTGTTTTTGTTTTGTTTTGTTTTTTGAGATGGAGACTCACTCTGTTGCCCAGGCTGGAGTGCAGTGATGTGATCTCGGCTTACTGTGACATCCGCCTCCTGGGTTCAAACCATTCTCCTGCCTCAGCCTCTCAAGTAACTGGGATTACAGGCATGCGCCACCATACCCACCAGATTTTTTTGTATTTTTAGTGGAGATAGGGTTTCACAATGTTGGCCATGCTGGTCTCGAACTCCTGACCTCAGATGATTCACCCGCCTCAGCCTCCCAAGGTGTTGGGATTACAGATGTGAGCCACCACACCAGGCCGGTGAAGTTGTGTTGAGATAATACCTGTGAAAGTTATCTAGAGGTAAAACCACTATAAAAATAAAATAGAAAAGTAACAATAAGCCATGAAAACTGGTGCGAAGGAATCCCTGAGTTCTGACTCTTTCCCTGTTGCTCCCTTATGGCATAACGTGCTTAAGTTTGCAGAGCACTTCCATACTCAGCCACACATTCTCACAACAATCTTTTGAAGATGTGTGATTAGTGCCATTTTCCAGATGAAGAAACTGAGGCTCTAGGAGATGAAGTCACTGTCATTTGCTCGGAGATCTGCAGTGAGTAAAGGGTGTGGCTTGGATTTGAATAGGGTCTTCCAAATCCAGACTCCAGGCTCCTCCCACTGCCAATCACTCTTCAATATGAAAGCAGCCACTGGCACTACTCAGCGTGCTAGAACAGAGAATATTCGCTCTGTGGGACTCCTCTGGGGGTTGAAATGAGGAACTTCTGAATCAGGGAGCTCATGCTCAACCCTGGCTGAATCCTTGAGAGGACTCAGGGCAAGCAGAACATCAACTCCTCCTTCAAGGGGAACAAACCATAGGCTGAAGGGAACTTTAGAGCTGCACTAGCCTGGCTTTCTTATTTTACCAAGGCATAAGCACATCCAATGGGAGAAGATGTCTTCACTCAGTGGCATAAAACACTTCCTGATGCCCAAAGTCCACCTGGGCAAAGTGGCCAGGTGGATGAAGTTAGTGTCTTGAAGCTTCTTGTTGCCTCTTTCACTGGCCCTTCCTATGCCATCGCCTCTCCCCCCAGGATCAGGGATGTCATCCCTCAACCCTGACATGGCTCATGCCCAGGTCTGCCTACTCCCACAGTAAAATGCTGTCCAACCTCCCTTTCAAAATTACCTCCGCTGGGGAAAATGCTTATCATATATTTGTGCAAAGTTTTAGCAAGGCAGCCCCATGGTATCTAGGGAGGTCTGAAGGATGGTTATCTTTGGGGGCGCAGTTATGGATCATTGCTATTTTCTTCTCTATACTTGAAGTATTTTCATGTTTTATTTTAAATTTTAACAATAATAATGCATTTATTTATATGCTTCTTTTTAGGCCTCTTCTCAGCACACTGTTCCAACCAAAATTGATCTAATAAACGTATTTATTTTAAAGCAGCAAAGATTGATACTGACAGATGGTATTTTTATTCCAGGCTCAGTATCACAGCCTAGCTTATTTCCTTAAGCCAAAACTCTGCCCTTCTGAAGTAGAATCCCAGGCATTCTGGTTTATTGGGAATAGAGCTTAGAATTGGGGCACAGTGGGTGTGGCCATGGGGAGATGAAGAAGCCCTTAAACTCTGCTTTTTTTCCTTAATAGATCAGAAGAACATCCTCATTCACTAGAATTTCATTTACATATGGGAGATTTCTGCCAGCAGAGGTCTATGCCCAAATGGTAAAGGGGAAGGCCTGCTCTCAGCCTGTCTTGTGAGCAGTGCGGACGCTGCCCTTCTTCCAGTACATTCTTCATCAAAATTCATGTGCTCTGTTCTCTCATCGCTCCCCTGTTTAGGTTCTGGTATGCACAAAACACATGCTCGAGAATTAGCTGGCACAAACAGTTGATATGTTGCTTCATGTAATGTGAATTTACATGTTCACAGGAGGGCCTGTCAGGGTAACTGGGTTCAAAGGAGTTATACTAATGAGGAAAACTCTAGGTCCTTGACACATAAATGCTGGAGATATTTTTCAGCAGACGGATATTTTGGCATTCCCTGAATATGTGTATGCATAAGTTAGCACATCTGCTTGACATCTTATTTGGTTGGGTTAGCCCCAGTTCTTCACAGATTCATTTTTTCCATACTAGTGTCAGACAAAATGGTTAAGGGTCAAGGTGCCCTAGGAGAAACCTACACATACCAAAGAGGTAGGTGGCGTCGGTCGAAAATCCTAAAGCAAGTGACTAGCTTAAACTTAGTTCACAGTGAGAGATGCAAAGAGGCAAACAGAATCAGGAGAGAGTTACTTACATTATCAGAGAACATCATAATTTGGAGCTAGATGGATCAGATCTAACATCTTAAATTGTAGAAGAAACTCAACCTCAGATTTACTGAGACATTAGTGAAGAAGCAACGGTGTAGTAAAAAGAACGCTTGAATTTTACTTGCTATGTGGAATAAGTGGATTAACCTTGAGTAAGTTATTTAAACTTGCAGAGCCTCAGTCTTCCCATCTCCAAAATGGGGATAATAATATAGACCTAAACTGAACTATTTATAAGTGAAAATGAAACCATGAAACCATGCAAGAAAATTCTTAACATTATGCCTGATACATGGTAGGCACTTATTTATATTTATTTATTTAAGTGACAGAATGCAAACTAGAAACAAAATTACTCATGTTTTAGTGCTGTTTTCGAAGGTTCATCTCAGAATTGCTTGGAAGAACTTTTCCAATCCAAGTGCCAAGCTCTCCTATTCACAGAAGAGTTGCAGTTACACACAAGACCATAGCTGGGGTGCAGGGGCGAGTGGCAATTTGTGTGTGTTCGAACCTGAATGAAGACACCCCTGAATGATGTGTAAGACACTATCAAACGTGTGTGTGCGACTACACAAATGTGAATGCAAATGGGGCTTGAAGCTACATGTGTGCCCTAAAACATGTATAGGAGTGTGTGAGAGCATGTGTGTGTGCACAAGTTTCCAAAGTGGACAAATGGCATTGTCTCAACAGCACTCCCGTTTCCTGGGCGTGTTTCTGCAAGCCTGGGTGGTATCACAAACACAAAGGCAGAGGTGACAAAGACCATTAACTCTTAGAAACGCCATATAATAATTATCATGATAGAATTGCTTTTTCATTGCCGAGCCTAATTTGAGGCCAGCTCAGAGGAGGAGGGGGACACATGAACGATTCTGGCACCATCCAAGCTGATGCTGTGGCTCTAGGTGGGAGAAGAAAAAACTCTAGGATCTCCTGATGAGCAAAAGCCAATCCCCAGCTCCCTGCTAAATTCCACTTCTAACAAGTAGTGGGGGCTGTCTAGTTGGTGTCCTTAGTACATATTAACAATAAATAAAGCTTCAATAAATATGCAAAGCAAAAACTAATTTAAATTGGCATTTGTGTCGGGTGGGGCAAGAGAGTCCGTTCCACCATAAAGTGATTTAGGATATATTACCTCGGGCATCTGCATTACAAATTTACCTCTCATTACAGCTATGTTAACGGGAAAAGGCAGCTTCTCAACAACATGCAAGGCAGAGTTTATTAGCATAAATTTGCATAATAATTAGCTCTGCAGCAAGCAAAGGCTGTCGTGTCTTTCAAACAGGCAACTTCCAATGTCAATTTTCTGTGCTTCACTGCTTGTCCCTGTTCTGTCTAAAGCTCCCGGAACCCCCTTGGCCCTTCTGCTAGTTGGTAAATTCTCCCACCCTGGTCCATTTAGGCTCAAGATTTCATAATCTCTACCCAGCATCGCCTGGGAGAAAGTGAATGCTGACTTCCACCCAGGGATGTGATGGCCAGAGGCGGGCCCACAATTCTATTGCCTATGGACGAAGGGGACTGGCTACAAGCCCTCACTCCCTACTTTCAGAGCCTATGAAGAGAGGTAACGCAACGGTGTGGCTAATTCCAAAGAAGGTGCAACTGAAACTATTTAGATGATTTTTGGAATGCATAAATCCAAGTTGTTTATTAGCAGTTTTCTTCATAATTATGTTGTGTCTAAGCTAATATTATAATTAGTTCCCATTGCCTGGGTTCATACTGGCTGGGTGGTCTGGGCAGGCAGCTGAAATGAATGAAAATTGTACCAGGGATAAAGACAAAGGAGCAGGGGCTGGGGGTCAAGCGATGTTGGTTCCTCGGACTCTGTCAGGACCACACCTGGGCAGGAGAGTTCATACCCTGAGCTCAAATATGTTTCTGCAAACTTAGTGGCAGCCTTCAGTCTTCTGAGACACAGGACACATCCTTCTCCAGCAAGCCAGGCAAGGCCTTTCCCAGCCACTGAGATGACTCTGGATGTTCACCTACAGAGGGAGCTTGGGAGAGAGAATGTGATCTCCCTGCAGGGTACGTTCTTAGAGGCTCCAATGAGAGGATGTTCTTAAATATAACCAGATATGTCTCATCTATTAAAATAAAATATACTAGGTTGGGGTGAGGCAGGTACTGGCTAAGACAGGCAGCTCATCAAAGATGATGGCTTTGCCCTATCCAAGCTCAGTGAGATAGATGTGGACAGGCGAAGCCTCTGCTGTGCTTCAAGGAAACCAGCATAGAAATGACATCCGTGTCTGTGTGTGTATGTGTGTGTGTGTTTCTTACTAGCTCAGCAAAAGGGTTTTGCAACATTTGGGTGTGTGGTGGGGGTGATTGTGTAAAACATATAGATGAGACCCTTTCTCACAAGTGGAATGATGTAAAAAGTACAATATATTGAGTGGTTTTTTATGTTTGAGACATAGTTGTATATTTAGATGTATAAATGAGTCTTGAAGATTTTTCTGATTCCAAAGTGCAAATTTTGTCAAAGGAATAGCAGGGGCTTAAGGAAAAATCACTGGCCCAGGAGTCAGACACATGGCTCTGTGCTAGCACTGCCTGTCGAATGATGTGGGCAAGTCACTCCCAGAAACCCAATTTTCCCAAATGTAAATGTAGATCATACTGAGAGGTTAGAAGTGGAACAAGTACTTTCTTGTCTGGCCTATTGTTCATTTTTAAAAGTGATGGAGAGAGTTTTAGGCCCTTTTATAGTTTAGCTAAATATTTGGTGTCTTCTCCAAAAACAAACAAACAAACAAAACTGCAGCTACAAACATTCATTCCAAATTTTGAGTACTGAGCACTCATGGGCCTCCTGTGTTTTATTCCTAAAATCCTGCAAATCCAAGAGCAAATCTTCCTGATATCGCCCAATCCTCCTATTGTATAAATGTGAACTGGGCTCAGAAAGGATAAAATGCTTGCCCAGAGTCACGGAGTTAGCGGTAGTGAAGTCAGGACTGCGTGTGCAGGACGGCCCCGTACCACCAATTGCTCCTAAGTGATTCCCAAAGGATCATCGTGCACTTGTTTACCGTACTCAGACTCGGGCCACATGAAGTTATGCGATGGGAAGTTAAAAACCACCTGCTGGAGGGTGGGATGGGGAGAGACCGCTAATGAGTACTGGTTTCTTTAATGGCCATGAAAATATTCTAGAATTAAATAGGGGCGATGGGTGCATAACCTTGGGAATATACTAAAAACTACTAAATTGCATGTTTCAAAATGATGAATTTTATGGCATGTGAATTATATCTCAATTTAAAAATAAACCTACTGTGACAATCACTCAAAATGCTATTAAAGAACTTTGCATTTGAGAAAATAAGTGAGACTAAACATTTAAAATAACTCAAAAGGCAACGACAGCATAATTCCCCTGTAAGTTGTAGGAGGAGTAAAAGCAGTTAGAAAGAGAAAATAGAAAATCTAGATATGGTTAACTAAAACAAATGAATGAATCTCTGACTCATACATGTGGGATAACACCCAAAGGGAAATACATCTTCAGACCTGCCTTACTCGCCTCTAGGGACGGCTTGATGACCAGATGTGGACTAAGTCTATCAAGTATGAAACGTCTTTTGGCACTTTTCCATAATCACCAGTTAGAGAAGGAGAGTGCGCTACGTATTGGAGAGGAGTTCGGTTGACTATGAGTGCAGTGCTGGTCTAGGGAGGGGACAGACAGTGAGTGCTGAGTAACCAGGGACAGGTGTCCTGGTGGGCTTGGATTTGTGCACCACTGCACATCTCTCCATCAAACACAAGGGGACTGTAAGTACTCAAGAGTGAGCGACAGAGATTTAGTAGAGGCATTGACTAAGTCTTGTGACACTGGTTTTACTGGGACAGCACATCTCAGCCAGGAGAACATTGCCTGAGACAAGGGTTGGTGTGAAGACAGATTATTTTGGAAGCAACTCTGGGTGACTGGTGTGAGAGAAAGGGACGGTGAAACCTGGAAGGAGGAAGCCAGCACAGAGAGAGCTCTTGAGTGAGTCACCATAGCGAAGCTGAGGTTCAAGTGAGGCTCAGTCCTGAACAGCCTTCTGAGGAACCAGGTACGATACACCTCAGAATTACCTGCCTGAGGGACGGAGGGGGAAGAACACACCCTCCATTTCTGCTTCCCCCATTAGTCATGGGTTCTTAACGATCTCAGACTCTGGTTAACACCTGAGCGCTCCCAAGTTTCCTTCAGGCACCAGTCAAGCCCTGGGGCAGAAAAGCAAGGTGCAGCCCAGGTGAGGGGCTCTCGGTTTGCACCTGCGAGGAGCTCACCATGGCAGCATTGGCTGGAATGAAAGGAGGACAGAACTGGTGTGAGTAAGGGCACAGCAGGTGCTGGGAATGGTGGATTTCCATGGACCAGCGGGACTGAAGAGGAGCAGTGCCAAAGGGCTCTCCTAGCAGGACTCCAACCACGGAAACCCAGGACAGGGAGCTGAGGGCAGTTCTCAGCACCATTCTAATGAGCTGCCCCAAAGCTGAAGTCAGAACTTGTCCTGCCATTGGCAATGCCAGCCATAGAAACTAGACTGCAGGCTCCTTGGGGGTAAGAGTTACATCAGCTCCATTTACCCCTGAGTTCTCCACGTGCAGACCTGTGCCTGCCACATGACAGGCTCTCAGTAAATAGGTAGCAAATGCGAAGTCACCGTGTTGCCAGGAATATGAAATATCTGCTGGTCTTGACATCCTAACCTTCAACAATGCTTTTGCCAAGTGATTATGAACAAATGCAATGAATAGTTACTATTTATTGACCCAGATACACGGCTATGTACTTTATATATGTTAGCTCACTGAAAACTCACAAGACCCCTTAAAAGAAGAGCAATAAATTATCATACTTGTTTGTGAATAAAGAAAAAGGCTTAGAATACTGGCCCAAGGTCACAGAAGTGGTAAATAGCACACCCTGGGATGGAAACCAGTTTGACTTATTCCAGAACGTATATTCTTCAATATTAATCCATCTTCCATTCCACGCCATCCATTCTCTACATGAATGCCTCCAGTAATGGGAATCTCATTCATTATTTGCCGAGATAGCTCGTTCAATCTTTACAGAGCCCTTGGGGCCATACAGAATAAGTCAATCCACATTTCTTTCTTTCAATATGTAAATCTACTTGAAACATCTATATCTTTCTAGAGCTCATTTCAAATGATAATCTTTTATTTTTCTAAAACCACCATGTAAAAGGGCTACTTTTCTTCCCTGACATCTGGATTCAGATATTATATCTGAGGTTTGTGTATCATATATGAGCTGGACCAGAAGACTTCTAAAGTCCTTCCCAAGTAAGAAATTTTGTTCCTCTTGCTCTAGTAAAGCAGTGGTCCCTCTCCTTACTTTGGCTGCCAGGAGCCTAAGAGTTTTAGTACCTCTATGTAAGCATACTCTGGTATTAGTTGATTACAATTTGTTGCTGTGTGTTCCAGCTCCCTTTAGAGGGAGAAGAAAGTATAAACTCTTAGCCCATGGTGGGAGCCTATGCAGACTTTCCAGGCCAGACTTCAGAGGTCCTTGAGGTTGGCTTCCAGGAGGATGGTAGCCATGGCCTGGGGAGAGTAAAGGATGCCCACCAGCTAGTCGGGGCTCTTGCCCCCAGGATCCTATGTGAAGCTTTGGTTCACAGGTCGTGAGCAGCAGGATATTCTGCTTGTTAATATAATTTTTTATCTACTCTTGCAAAAATATGATGAGAACATTAAATCCAGCCCTCTCCATAATCATGCGTCATTATCTAATCCCTTTGTTACACAGACGGCTAAGCTTTAAAATGCTGCTATAGGTGGAAACAGAGCTATCAGAAGCCACATCTCTCAGCCCCATTTCAAAAGTTGCCCGTAATGAGAAGCAAAGTTAAATAACCATGCACAGAATGACGCCCACCCCTGTCTGTCCACCATCATACTTTCTCGCAGGCATCCTCAGCTCACCAGGAAGTGGCACCTAGGGCAAGTACTGGGGGACAGGAGGGCAGAGAGCAGAAAGAAGGAAAGTGTGCGTGCAGTGGACGTCAGCCTCTCACGCGTCCCCACCCTGCCCTGTCAGCGTAGCTGCATTTTGTCACAGACTGAGTAGTAGACAAGGCTCACCTCCTCCCCATACCCCCTTTCTTAAAGTAGCTGCAAGAGTGCAAAATATTGACACTGACAGATATCAGAGGTGGCTGTAGGATCAATATTTCTATGGCATTGTCAGGAATGGTTTGGCAACCTGCTATGTGCTCACCAGCCTTTCATTCATTATGAGGCCAAACGGGAGCCATGTTTCTCCAAAGACAAAACCAGGACAGAGCGTGCTGGGTCTCAGAGGCTTCTCCTCAATGAGGCCTTTCCCTGGGACAAGGTGCTGCAGCAGGAGAATCTCTGCATTCTTCTGACAGCTTTCTAGAGAAAGGAGGCCACTTCCCAAGGGCTCTGGGGGATGAGCGGTGGGGACGCTGCCGGGAAGCAGTTCGACACTGACTGATGCTTTGCTGCAGGGGCTCTGCTCTGAAGCCGGACACTGCCAGGTGCACACAGGGACAGTTATACTGGCAGTGATGCCTCTCACGCCTGGCCCCCCAAGAAAAGTCTTGGCCAGGAAAAAGCACGATCCATCTACTCTGGGGAGAGATCTGACAATTTAATCAGGAGGAAGAAATTCTTCCGAGCCAGCCCAGGACACCTGATTCTCCCACTTCCCCCATCTCTGAGGCACTCTTTAACTTGGGGAGCTGCACACAGAGAGCAGGAGACCCAGGCCTAGGGGACCTTGGTCCTGCCAAAGCCTGGGCTCTTGGATTCCTAAGTCGGTGTGGAAACAAGAAGGAATCTGCAGCAATCAAACCTCCACCCAAATTCCAGTCAGCCTGTATTTTTTTCCTTTTTATTCAGTTATTTGAATGATAAACCTAATACCTGTTATTTGGGATGACTTAAAGGATATAAAATATCTAATGTAAAATCCATAGTCTCTCCCTCTCCCATGTACATTGGTATTACTAATTTTTAGAATTTTAGAAAGACGCTGTATGTTCTTCCATAATTTACTCTTGGTTTGTTATTTTTTATATAAACATATATAAAAATCTGTACACTTTTTTGTTTTTTTCATACAATAGGGTGGTGGGATATGTATTATTTTGTACTTCATTTACTTAATATTTTGTAGACACGCTTTCAAGGCAATGCATGCATACCTTTGGAAAACAAATTGGCTACTTCTGTCTAATTCTATATTAACTTTTCTAAATAGTTTGTCCCCCTTCCCTATTCCAAACATTTTTCTAGCTGAATTCCTCAGGTTTTGAGAGGCAGGTGATGTCTGGGATGAATTGTTGGCATTCCTCCACTGTAAGCCTCCATTCTGCACTGGTTCACTCAGACCACCCACTTCCACCTGCAAAGAAAAATGTCCCTGCATATGGGGTTCCATTTAAGATGTGAGGAAAGTAAGGCTTCAAGAGGAGATGTTATACAAGACTGTAGAATTCTAGGCCAGAATTGGCTGTGAACGTCATGCAAACGCAAGCGGCGGTCCAGACTTGATTCTCCCCTTTGGCTGGCTTCCTCCACTGTAACACAGAAAGACTCCTCAGAGCACTGTCACAAGTCTCAAATGAGACACCCCACCCCCCGCATAGAATCATGTGTGAATGCAAGCCATCATCAGCCTCATCATTGTCATCATCATCATCATCATCATGAAGATGCGGAAGCTCAGAGAAGCTAAGTGACTCTCCAGCTGGTCAGCAGGCTGGTGATGGAGCAGCGTGAAACATGCACCTCCTGACCCCACTAGGAATCTTCTGTATTCCAAA
Source organism: Homo sapiens (assembly GCF_000001405.40). Taxonomy (NCBI): domain Eukaryota; kingdom Metazoa; phylum Chordata; class Mammalia; order Primates; family Hominidae; genus Homo; species Homo sapiens. The sequence continues at coordinate 133,076,846 of NC_000011.10, forward strand.
AGACTCATCTCAACTGGTTCTTCTCTGCCAAGCAGGTGAAGGCCCAGACAAAAAGATTGCAGTTGATTGATTTCTAGTAGAGCTAGTGTGGGTGACCACTTTGTGATCGGTTAGTGATGGTTGGCGGTGGGGCAGGAGGTAGCACCCAGTCTTATTTTGCTGCCCCCCATCTAGACTACCTACTGCAGGTGGCCGAGGCCTTGTCCTTGAGGGAATTCTGCAACAGAGAGTATCACTCTTTCTGGGTTGCGGTTCTCTAGAGTGATGCTAGGGAAATCAGATGAGGTGGACTTCTGAGCTTTGCTTATGGCTCTGTGAGCTCATTTAGAACTCAACCCTGCCTGGATATCAGGAGGGCTGGGTTTGGCCAAGGGAATCTGGAGAGGTCTGTGCCCCATCAAGCTGAGGAACAAGTACTGAGATTGCCCCGTGACTTGGAGCTCATCACACGGAGTCAGGTTCAAGCTTTCCAGCCCTGCCCTCATTTTCCCCGTGGGCTCGGCGTGATACCTTTCTGAGTAGGAAGTGGAAAGCAATCTGAAATCAAGAGTAAAATAAAGCAAGATCCCTACCTAATGACGCTTGTAAAACTGGATTCTATACAATTTTAAGACTGTAATGTGAAAAGTGAAATTATAAAATCAATAAAGGGAAATGTCAGAGCTTGTCTTTGTGAACTAGAACTCGGTAAGAATTTTTTTAATTACTATAAATAACTTCAAAAGCAAAAAGCACAAGGAAAAATGATGACTGAGGATGACAGAATTAAGAATTTCTATTAAATGAAGGAAGCACAAGAAATATGTTAACAGTCAACTCATTGGGAGAAGACATTTGCAATGCATAAAAACACCAAGGGATGAATACTTTGTTTCTACAAAGAAAATCTTCAAATCAATAAGAAAAAGAAAAGACTCCTATTGGAATATAGGCAAAAGATGCAAACAGACAATTTAAACATACAATGCAAATGCCCATCTACCGGCCACAGAAAAAAAATACTCAGATAAATACAGACTGAAAGAATCAGAATGTGGAATACAAGCACTTCACACATAATTTGCTGGGAAAAACTGGAAAGCTGGATAATGGCAAGAGTTGGAGGGGATACAGAAAATATGAGAAACCTTATGGAAGCCGCGATTCTAGGGAGGAATCTGGTAACTCTTAGACTGAGTAAATTACATTGCTATGACCTAGCAATTTCACTTCTGAGTCCATCTCAGCCCCCAGGTATTATCGGCGTACTGAAGTGGGAATCTGCAAAGATGTCTGCTGCAGTGTTGTGTAGAGAAGGGGACCGGACAGACATACTTGAGGTGCACACCAAGCAGGGGTGTGGACGCACCGAGCACGCCACGGTGGCTGTGCGCAATGAACTCAAGATGCGTGCAGCCGCCCGGACGATCTGATAAACATGGGGCTGAGTGAAAACACGGGAACAAGGAGACACCCAACACAGTATCACCTACATTGCTCCATTAAAACAGCTGAACATCTACACGCTTTCCACACTGGACACACAAACACGGCAACACGACAGACACACTGCATGTGTGCAGGGACTACAGCAGAGACTGAGGATAAAAGAAAATGAGCAATGGAGTGAGCAGGTCCTTGTGTAAACCGGTGACAAAGAAAGGAATATGTTTCAGTCATTAGCCTGTGCCGGAGTGAAAAGGAAATAATAATATAAAAGGCAACACGCTTTTGAAGTTTAGAGACCTGGCTTCTACCCCTGCTCAATGACTCCTGCTGTCTAGGCCCTTGACCCTCATCCCTCCAGTGAGGAGGGCGCAGACAACCCTGGAAATCACCTCTGGTCTAAGGTTCTGGGATGCACCACGGGCAGCTCCCTGAGCGCCACAATGCTCGCTTTTACAGAGCGGCACTGGCTCCGATCAGGCACAAGAGGGCGCTCCGTGCCCGTGTATTTTAAGAATCTTGGCTGTCACTCCAAACTTAAGACGTAAACCCAGAAATCTCTCCACCGCCCCCAACTACCACCTTCATACACTCCTTATGCTATGCTATTCTTTTACTGCTTGAGAAATACAAAGCACCCACCTACTAGGGGTTATAAACGACAGATTTTAGAGACTTCCGAGGCCACGTGAATCTTTTTTACTGGAATCCTTACATTCCCCAGATGTGCCACGTTAGTTCTCCCTCTTGTTGATCCAAGCTCATCCCCACCCCAATATTCCTTCCTCCCACCCAGTTCCTGCCGTGTCTCACCCAGTTTTCCACATACACGCCCGCCTGAATTGATCTCCGGGCCCCTGGCTCTCTCTGGATGAAGACATTTGCCGTTGGCAAGCATGTTTGATATGAAATTGCTTGTACTTTTGATACGCATTTTAAGCTAGTGTAAGTAACGAGAGGCGTATTTCAACTGAACAGAAGGCAAGAATGGATCCATGGAGCACACAGCCTCACAGCAGGGTTATCCCATCTGAATAATCTCCCCTTTCCGGAGGTGCTCAAGGCCAGGCATTGACCATGCAGGAATGTCACAGGGGGACCCACATTTTTGATGGGCAGCTGGAGTAGATGGTGCTTCAGATGATTTATAAGCATTCATTTGATTTTCATATATGTGGATTCAACTTATGATCTCAGATCTGATTTCCTTTCAGATAAATCAAAAATCTCTATATGAAAAGAGGCTAAAAAATGGCTAAAACAAATCTGCCCGAGTACTCTACACTTGTTCTGGGGTGACAAAAAAATGACTGTGACACCCTGCAAAGTGCACAGCCAGGCGTGGCCACCCACTGTAAGAACCTCGGGAGGTTCCCATTTCATCTCTTGCACCAGCTCACCGTGTGACCTCACAAATTCACAATTTCACAATTTGTGAATTGTGAATTCACAAATTCACCACCCCCTCCACTTCCGCCTGCCTGTTGTAAGGTGAGAGGAAGGACCTATATGTTCCCCAAGGTCCTGTCCACCTCCCGCATCCCCCAACCTTCTCCATCCTGCTGCAGGCTCTGCCTTTTGCTCCATAATGATGCCAGAGACATGCTGAGGTGCCCGTCCAAGGGGATGGAAGATAGGCATCACTCTCCCTTTTCACAAAGCAGCTCATTGGGAATGCCTTTTGAACTTCAACCATGTTAGAAAAACAGTTTTACAGAATTAATTCAACATAAGGAGGAGCATTTTAGCAGAAGTGTGTAGAGAGTTGGGAACAGAGCAATGACCAGAGAAGAAAACTCCTTATGGTCTATGAATAGGGTCCCCACTCACCCTACCCATCCACAACAGAGCCAGAACTACTGGCCAATCCACAAGAGCTACAGCAACCCAGCCAGATGCAGATGGCCGGATGTATAGACCTGACCTGGAATCAACCTGCGGGACTGTAGGATGGTAACTCTCAGACTCCAGTGTGTCCCCTCATCACCCATGCGGTCTTGTGAGAATGTGGGTTCAGCTTTGGTAGGTCTGGGATGATGCCTGGAACTTTTGATTTTCAACAAGCTCTCATGACACTACTGCGGCCGGTGTGTGGCCCACACGGTGAGTAGGAAGGCCCTAAGAGGGAAGATGAAGTAGAATGCCAACGATTCCATACTTGCAGCGGCACCGTGAGAAAACATTCCCACTTTGGTAATCAAATGTTTTTTTTTTTTTTTTTTTTCCTAAAATAGGCTTTAGTCTCATCTGTGGAATGTTTTAGGTATAATGCTGCCTGAGACAAGACGGTTAGTTGAGAGGACACCCCCAGGTCTGGGGTGCCATATTCACACATTTCATTAAACAAGTTCCTCCCTGCCCTCAAATCAGCAAAACACCCAAACCCACTGTGCCCGTTTATTTTCACTCATTCTATTGAGGAGCCATTTAGCACCTTGAAGCTGGAGAGAGAATCAGTATAAAAGCTCTTGTCGCTATGAAGGAGCTCAATGGTTTTTATTGCTTCCATCCTTTAAACACCTTGCAGGCATCTGTTTGTTCACCTCTTCATTCATTCATGATTTACTCACCTAGGCCTTCTGCATGCTGAAGCCTGTTCTGGAGGCTGAGATATCGGTGCAGAACACGACTGTTCATGGGTCTCGGAGTCTAGTGGGGACACAGGTGAGTGGAAGAGTGGGGGTGAAGCGTGCATGGTGGGGAAAGGGGCTTACCGCCAGGCCTTATTAGCTTTTGGTGAGAGGACCAGTTTCAACATTATATCCACAAACATAAATTGGAAGTGTTAGAATTGGAAGGACCCGAAGCCGAGATAATCAATGTAGCTATTCCTTGTAGGACACTCCTGCAGCATCCCAGTGTGCTCCTGACTTCAGGGTGACAGGCGCATCTGATGTCCCTGGTGGAGAGGGGAGGTATACCCATCCCTTATATTTACAGGACTTGGTGCTTCCATCTGGAGGGTTAGGGCTCTTTGAACAGTTAATTCTCCGTTTCCTTTGGGATGTCAGCCCCGTTGGTACCACCTAGCAGACATCTCTGAGGATGCGGCATCCTGCTGATCATTTAAGTGAACGCCTCCTCCACTAGATCACAGATTCCGCAACTTAGGAACTGAGGCTGATGATTCTCTGCTTTCCCAATTCGTAACCCAGTGTGTGCTACAAAGCACAAGCTCAACGAATATGTAAGGAATTCGCAAGTGGCTGAGCGAATGAATGAAGCGCTCTTACACAGGACTGTATTTGGTGTTCACAGCTCGTCTTTTGTTTTCCACATCCTGAGCTGGAGTAGATTGACTTCTCTTCTTGAGATGACAGACGGAGGCTTCTATCACATTCTCCCTTTGGATAAGCCCAATAGTGTATTAAATGCACTCCTGCTCTAGGGGGATCCTGCTACTGGACCTAAGCACCTCCTCTTAACCCCAGGGGGAGGCTTTGTGGGGTACATCAATGGTACTCATCACCCAATCCAGAATCTCCTTCTAGAAGGAGAAACTGAGGCCACAGTAAACATCCAGCCCCCGCCGTTCGAATGGCAGGTGAAGCGCTGGCAGCGCCCCTCCCCGCCCCTCTCCGCATACAGCCCCCACCCTTCTCAGCAGCCTTCAGCCGCCAGCGTGTGCTGTGAGGCCCTTTCTCTTCCAGGCATCTGTCCCTTGCATCCCAACGGGAGCGCGGTCCCCTGGGAGGCGTCCCTCAGCAGCCCCGGGAAGTTCTGTCCCTGCTCCCGAGTGTGCCCAGAGTCCTGCCGTTTCCTTCTAGCGCGCGTTCTTTACTGGCGCCATTCCTGCTGCTAAGAGCCCTGAGACGGCCGGGGGTGACCCGGGCCCAGAGCAGCTCCCGGCTCAGGGACCCCTCCCCAGGCCAAGGGCAGGACAAGCCCGGGCCTGGGCCTCCGCCTCGGCTCCCCTCCAGCCTCTAGAGGAGCCCCGCGTCCGCACGACCCGGGGTCCTGGGCCACTCCGGGAGCCCCTGGAAGCCACCAGCTCCCGCGCTGGAGTCTTGGGGCCTTGGGTAGGCGAGCCGGGCTCCACCCGGCTGGGGCAAAGGGAAGGCCGGGTCTGCCCAAGGCAGAGGACCCGCTGCGCCGTCCCCTCCCCACCCTCCCCTCTTCCCCTCCCCCGCACCCCTCCTCTCCTCCCTATCCTCCCCCCTCCCCATCCTTTCTCTTCCCCTCCTCCCCATCCTCCCCATCCTCCCCTCCCCACGCTCCCCTCTTCCCTTCCCCACCTGCCACCCTCCCCTCCTCCCCTCCTCATCCTCTCCTCCCCCTCGCCCATCCCCCTTCCCCTCCTCTCCTCCTCATCCTCTCCTCCCCCTCGCCCATCCCCCTTTCCCCTCTTACTACCCCCGCCCCACCCCGTTCTGCGCCGAGTGGCACAGCCCTCGGCACGGCACGGCCCTGTCAGCTACGAAGCCGGGCGAGGGGCTCAAGGCCCCTCTGGAGACCGCTTCTCCCCCGCGGCCCGTCCCGCCGCTGCGGACCCCATGCGCGGCCTCCCCGCCCCGGCGCCTGGGCCTCCTCGCGGCCCGGGCGGGGCCCACCAACCCGGAGAGGTCGCCAGCCTGCAGGGTGCCGGGGGCCCCTCCGAGCCGACCTCGTCCCAGGCAGACGCGCTGCCCGGAGACCGCCGCAAGGGGGCGCCAGGGGCCGGGGCGGACGTCGCGCCAGTGCCTCGCCGGGACCGCACCTCGTCCGCGCGGCCGCCAGAGGGCGCCCGTCAGCGCCGGAGCCCGCGGCGGACGCCCCAGCCGAGCCCAGCCACTGCCTGGTGGAGCCACAGGGCACCCGCCCGGAAACACCGCCTGCGCCCCGACGGCACCCGTGTGCGCACCACACTCACATCACACACACCACGCACACACACGCACACACACACACGCACACACCCCGCCGAGCGGGCCGCACAGTCACTGGGGCGCCGCTCGCTTTGCTGCCTTTCCCGCGGGTGCACTGAGCGGCGGGAGCGGGAGCCGCGGGCTTTGCCTGAGCCGGGCGCGCGCTGTGGTCTCACTCCCAGACCCGACCCCTCTGAGCTGCCCCTCTCCGAGGCCCCGCGACCGCATGCGTGTGTGCTCCCACTGCCCCAGCCTGAGTCCCGGATACTGGTGCCCCTGTCTCGGGTCGCTGGCTGCGGAGAGGGCTGGCCTGAGGGAGCCAACCCCACCCCACCCCAGCCTGGGAAGGGCCAGAGAGGGGCCAGGCAGGGCCCCGGAAGGCTCGGCCCATGCATCCAGCGTGCCTGCTCCCAGGAATTGCACCTGGATTGTTCCAGCCATTGAGTGGATAAATCCACATCTCAAAGCTGGATTCAGTTGCATGTTCGCCACTTGCAATGGAAAGAGACCTGGCACTCCATTCATACTGGAACAGTTATCTTGGGTTTGGAGTATTCTGCAGGATATTCCTTTGGAACACGGCCTCGCCACTGGGGAGAGACCACATCTCCAATAACGGGAGGCCCATGTGGAATGCCAGATGCCCTCCAGACCAGCCCAGGATCCCACATGGGCTGTGAGCGCGAGGACAGGAAGGATTCGCTGCACGGAAGGTTGCGGAATGACGGGATGATGAACTTGGTAGATGTCCCAATCCTAAATGTTCTCTCTTTGAATTCTTACTGTGTGAAAAATTCATTTGGCAATTAATCATATACAGCCTTGTGACATCTTTTCTGTTATTGTCTGGAATTGTTATTTCAATCCTTTGTTACTAATTGACTTTTTGCATGCTCCCGCCTCGTCTCCCTAACTAGATGGCAAATTCTTTGAGAGCAGAGACCTCTCTTGACATTTTTTTTTTAACTGGCAAGCGGAGACTGTATTGTGCATTGTACCTACCCACAGAAAAGATCTGTAGGGCAGGCCTTATTGGTTTCATTTTATAAATTAGGAAAGTAACTAATGGTAATAGCTCCTCCAGGAACAAACAACTAGTAAGTGGCAGAACCAGCATTCATACCTTGGCAGTTCTCCAAAGCCCACCCCCCAGACACCTGCACAGGGCCTTGCACACCCTGCGCACTCCATAAACATCATTTGGTTCTTATCATTCTCAACCATCAATGTTTTAAGAAGGCTAATTAACATCCGATGAAGGTCAATTTTCAAATTCAAGTTTCGTTGTTTAGTTTCCCAGAAAGAGGTGTTAAGCTTCAGCTGAGAGATTCAGCTTCCACAAAGAAAACTTCATACCAGGGAGGCAAATATTGACGCAGGCATCTCTTGAGGGTGTCTAAGTTTGAAAACAAAGCACTTCCTCCTTTAAAATGAAATTGAAGGATATTCGGCTTGGCTTGGAAGCCAATCTGGGGTCAGGCAGCACATCACTGGGAGGCGTATTGGGGCGCTCCAGGCAGTCGGACAGATAGGGCCTGGCCTGATCAGAGAGGTCTGGCCCCAAGCCCAGCTCTCTTGCTCAGCCTCATGGGGTCTCCATGTCCTTCTGCACTGCGAGTATGAGATCACCTGTTATATCTGTGGTTTTTATAATGTAACTCCCATCATTTCTATTTAAAACCTTGCCATTTTTTTTTACTTAGAACTCAAACTCAAATTCAAGCATGAGTGAGCATCTACCATACAATATAGATTTATTATAAGAACCATGATATAAAAATACTGACATCAAAAGCCTCCACCATATTGTTCATCTGTTCAAAGTCCGACTCTGCTTTCATTACCTACCAAATAAAGATTAAACCATGTATTATGTCACTCAAGGACTGAAATATCTCATTCCTACTTACTTTTCTAAGTTTATCTCCTTCACTTTCCGTTTATGTAAAATCCAGCTAAATGGACTCCTTTATTTAATGTTGAAGTTCATCCTTCCATTTAGATCCCACTTCCTTCATGCCTTTGCCTGGAAAAATATATTTATGTCTTCACTGATTCATACAACCCAGTGCATTTCATGAGTAGCTGCCTACTATGTGCCAGACATGGGGCTCCACAGTAGAACTACAGATCTGCCTGGGATTGACAGAGTTCACACCCTGTGTTCAAACGCTTCTCTTTCATGAAGTTTCCCCTCATTACCTTCCATACACAATACCTCCTTTCTGTCTCTGCCACAGCCATGTTACACACAGCTCTGTGTTTTAATTAGCTGTGTGCATGCCATTCCCCACACCAGACACTAAGCTCTTTGAGATCAATGGTGGTGTTTTCTTTATCTTTAAAGAGGATCCCTTTGGTACCCAGCACATAGAGCAAAAACTATTTGTTGAATTGATTTGAAAGAGCTTTCAATGCATTTGGCAAGACAAACCTTACCTAGCAATTAACTAAGAAGGCAGTGGTGTAGCCTGATGAATGTAATTTATATTCTCATACAATAAAGTACCAAGGCATATGTTATTGATGAGAAAGGAGTGCTATGTAACAGAATGTTACATGAATTAAAGATCTTACAGACCAAAAGAAGGTAAAAGTACATGTGCACCTCAAAGACAAGTCGGAATTTTGACGAAGGTCTAAATAGGCATTCTAGGTTGGAAAGAACTAGAAGAGAAGAGAGACTTCTTGGGTTCTAGTGTATATCTGATCTGAGAATGAATTATAAAAGTAGAAGGCAATCTAGGAGATCATGCGTATGTTAAATCTGCAGTAGCCAAGTCATCTCTGGAAGCTAGTTGAATTGTTTAATTAACCTGTCGGTTCATCTAATATCTAACTCGGCTCCTTCCTGCTGCAGTTGAAATCCTTCTTTGCTTTATTCCATCCTCAGAGAAAATAGAGGACAGTTAATGATCCCTCTCTGTGCATTTCAGAAGATGGTGTAAAACAGTGCTAGAGAAAGCCTTTTAATCATATATTTCAAATATGCAGATCCAAAGGTGATAATTCAAGCACAGCTTTAAGATTTTTCAAATACCTTATTCCATCTGCCTTGCTCTGATGGTTTCTATGAACACATTTTCATTTTCTAAATCTGGAATTAGTAGAATCTGCTTGAAAAGGGATATTACAGTCAAGTGATGTTCTCAATTTGAGGTGTAATTATTTTCCCCCATTTTAAAAGCCTAACATAAAATGTGATGTGATTTTTTTTTCAACTTTGCAAGGGACATCAACTTTTTTATGTCTTCAATTTTTTTCTCTGAGCTTCCTACAACTTGGAGAATAATATAAATAAGAAAGGAAATGCAGATAAGTTCAATTTCTAGTTTGCAATAAAAAGTCAATGTATTGTCTGATAAATGTCCTCCTCTTTACCCCATCTTCTTCCTGTAGATGAAAATTCTGCTTAAATAAATGAAATAGTTGGCAGATAAAGATTGAATATATTCAAGGTGTACAACGTGATGATTTGATGTAATGCATGGTGTAATGCATGGTGTAATGACTGCACAATCAAATTAAGGAACACATTCATCACCACCCGTGCTGTACCTTAGGTCCCCAGAAGCTGCTCATATTGGAACTGAAAGTTTGTACCCTTTGACCAGTATCTCCCCATCCCCCTACACTCGCAGCCACTGGTAACCACTGTTCTACTCTGCTTTTATGAATTTGACTTTTTAAGATTCTACATATAAGTAAGATCGTGCGGTACTTGTGTTTCTGTGTCTGGCTTATTTTGCTTAGCATATTCTCCAGGTTCATTCATGTTGTCTCAAGTGGCAAGATTTCCTTCCTTGTTATGAGCTTATTCTCAAATCAAAATTCTTCTGGATGCTACATTAACCCTTAGAACCTAAGTATACACTTGAGCCTGCCTGAGATGAGATTGCACTTAGAGTCAAACATCAAACATCTTAGCACTGAGAGGAGCATTTGAGATCATCGAGTTCAAACCTATAATTTAACAGACGACGAACTTAAGACCCAAAGAGGTTAAGTGACTGAATGAAGGTCACGCTGCTGGTTAGTGAGAGCTGAGGCTAGGACTGAATTGCTGCTTAGGCTCTTTCAACATTATCGTTATATTTACCAACATTTTCCAAGTTGATTTTTTTAAATAGCAGTTTTGAAGAAGATGTTAATAAGCATTTTCTTTCATTGTATAATTTTAAGTATTATTTTAGGTGTAGGGGCTACCTGCCTAGGTTTGTTAGATGGGTATACTGTGCGATGCTGAGGTTTGGAGCACAAATGACCCAGTCACCAGGTAGTGAGCCTAGAACCTAATAGGGGGTTCTTCAGCCTTTGCCCTTCCCTCCATCCCCCTTCTAGAAGTCCCCAGGGTCTACTGTTCCCATCTTTATGTCCATGTAGACTCAATGAATAAGCATTTTGAATGAAAAGAAAAATATGTGCTGGACCAAGTAAACTTATAAAACATCAATTTAACCTGCTCTGCTTCACAGAGTTTAACATATTAATTTTCTGTCGCAACCCGAGAGAGATATTTAGCCAACACGTATGACTACAGACTATTTTTAAGTTAACATTTAGGAGCATCTATTAATATATCTAACATGCCAGCGTGCCAGAGAACAGTATTTGGAAGATGCTGCTCTTGACTAGAACCCTGTAGAGGTATGATCGAGCTTGACAGCAAATGCTGATGCTTACAGGCTCTTTCCCGCACTGGCTAGCTGAGCAGTCATAGGATCACACTACCCAAACTTCAAAGCCCTCATCTGTAAAACGGGCACTCAGCTCTCTTACTAGACGGTTAGGAGATGGTATAGCAGAGTAAAATGTGTGAACTGTAATTATCAAATTGTATTTGTGACAGCTTGCCAAAGTATCCACTGTGTAGCACGATAAAATAAATATATGAGAAAAAGTGTGTAATAAGAAGGTAAGGGTGAGAAATAAAATACAACTGCATAGAAGTACATATCAAAATCCATGTGAAAAGTCTTATATTAATGTTGACAGTGGATGGCACATTTGACTTTGCATTATTAACAAAAGAGAAAGAGTACTATTACTTACTGTAGGCAGGTAGTACACAAAATAACCATGAACCTTTTACATGGGAGAACCACGGCTTTGCTAAGTACTGAGACAGAAAACTTCATGGTTTTCCATTGACTCTTAAAAGCACGGATTGCGAAGTCACGTAGTTTCACCTTTGCCTCTAACTTAGTTAATTTAGCAAATTACATCATTTCCATAAGCCACCATTAACTCTTTCATACAAGGGGCAAGATCCAAGTGACCATGAGTGCTGTGCCCATGATGTGGGATAGTGAATGCCATTCCCTTCAAAACAGCAAGCTCACACTCAGTGACAGTCCCAGTGGACACTGCCCTCGCCAATATCTTCCAATATCAAAGAGAAATTTTGTCATCTGTTTCTTTTGCCATTGGCTTCCAATGAATTGGGTTACAATACCAAAGGGGATTGCAATAAAAATCACTTGATATCAAGCTAAAACATGCGGTGGTTTCAGTTTAATTCAAATAGTGGATTAATTATATAACATGGATAAATAACTTTCTGCAACAAGACTTTAAATGAGAGTGGAACAATAGAATTATACAAGATATGCTTCTGACAAACCCCTGGAACGCAGGTCATTCATGTTACCAACCCAGAATGGTCTAAATGTTTTGGTTACCATCTGAGAGGGGGGCAGGTTTGGCAGTGCTTCTAAAACGGGGAGAATAAGTAATCATGTCCCCATATTCTAACACATTAAGCATGACTACTATAATTTCATCCCAGAAAAATTCCAAAGCAAGTGATATCAATCATCTATCAGAGCAATGAAAATATCTCCAAAAGTTCCCATAGGATGGCTAATAGTAAGTAATGTAGTTTCTAGATGAACCCGCTGATATACACTGATTGCCAAATGTATCACAATGTGATGGAGTGATTTGACCCATAATATAGAATCGTTGGATCTAAGCCAATTAAATTTTGAAGGGCAAGTGCCAAAAAGGAGCAGCTGATCTTGAGCCAGTCTTTCTGATAATAGTAAGTGAGCAGAACCAATTGCCTGTTCAGATCATAGCTACTATGTGACAAGTAGAGATATACAGATAGTATCTGGAAATATGACAAAAAAACAGGCATACATTATGCCAAAAGAAGATTCTAAGGAGAATGTGAGTAATGAATACACTTTAACAACAGCACTATCATCTTCCAGATTATTTTCTTTGAAGAGAATTTTACTTACCTAGATAAATGTTATTTTTGTAAGTAAAATTACAAGTATTTATTCTGTGTTTCTTATTAATTGTAAACCACTTTAGGGCTAAGCATTAATTGTATTAACTAATGAATTAACTTACTCGTTTGGAGATATTTGCTGAGCATCTACCAGGCAATAGCAACATACTCTGTGCTAAAGGCAAAACAAAAGGCTTCTGACAAGGTCCCCACTCTCTAAGGGCACATAATTTAGTTGTTCTGGGAGTCACACAGCTGAATTCATTAAGAAATAAGAAAGAATATGATTAAGTCCCTGATAAATGGTACAGGCAGTAACTACGTACTGAAGTACAGAAAAATGGGATACATTTGGAACTGAAACTATCAGAGAAGGATTTGTTGAGAAGGGGGGACTTCAACCAACCCCTAAAAAAAAAAACCCAGTGGCTTATGTTTGATAGAGACATTGGGGAAGGAAATTGAAGCAGAGGAATTACACTCAAAATCTGCTGTCAATGATTTAATAAACAGATGCTTATTGAGCACATGCCACGTACTTTGGCACTGTTCTAGGTGTTGGGAATAAAATGGTGAGCAAAAGTTAACAGGTTCTCTCCTAATGGAGCTTACTTCATAGTGGGAGATACACTAAATATCAAAAATGTACACAGGTAAATTCACAAGGACTGTCTCCTTGATGAAACTTTAGTCTCCTCTGAATCCTCTTCTCTACTAGGCCTTGTCGTTGGCTCGGTTTTAGCCAAGAATCCTGCTGAGCCCATTTATGGAGCATCCTCTCCGCCCTTACTACTTAGACATGCTTCTCCTCCTAGATACCTAATCACATTCTTAGTAATTCTCCATCCACTCCCTTACCTCGCCTGCCAACTCAAAATCTCTGCTTGTCTCTGTTATATTTGGGGTGCTGCTGCAACACATACCTAAAATGGGGACATGGCTTTGGAACTGGGTAATGGGCAGAGGCTGGAAGAGTTTGAGATGCATGCTAGGAAAAAACCCTAGATGGGTATGAACAGAGCATTGAGACTGATTATGATGAGGGCACAGAAGAAAAGAGCTTTACAGACAGCCTAAATCTTCTTAGACATTATCAAAGTGGTCATGAACAGAATATTGGTAGAAATATAGATGGCAAAGGCCATTCTGATGAGGTCTTAGGTGGAGACGAGAAATAATGTATTAGAAACAGGAAGAAAGGCCATCATTGTTACCAAGTGGCAAAGCACCTGGCTGAGTTGTGTTCATATCCTAGTGCTCTGTGGAAAGCAGAGTTTAAGAGTGATGAACTAGGAAATTTGGCAAAAGAAACCTCCAAGCAAATGTTCAGGGTGCTGCACAGCTTCTCCTGACAGCTTATATGAAAATATGAGAAGAAAGAAATGAAGTGAAGACAGAATTTATAATTAAAGAGAAAGCAGAACTTAAAGATTGGGAAAATTTTCAGCCTGGCTAGATTGTGAAGAACAGAAAAGTGTGTTTGAGAGAGAATACCCAGAGTATGGCCAACCTACCATTTGATAAGGATCAGTATGGTTAGAAAGAAGCTAGATGCTATTCATCAAGTCAATGAAACAATGACCCAGAGGGCATTTCAGAGATTATCAGTGATGCCATTTCCTAGAGTGCTAAGGCCTTGAGGGTAGAATAGTTTCAAAGGAGAAGCCCAGGGCACCTGTGGGACCTCAAACCTGAAGACCCAGGGATGACTAACATCTCTGTTTCTCACATTCTGCTGCAATGTTCCTTGGCTTCCCCAGCTGTGGCTCAAGTGGACCCAGGTGCAGCTTGGGCCACCACTTGATAGGGCACAAGTGGTCAGCTTTGGTGGTGTCCACATTGTGCTAATTCTGCAGGTGTGTAGAGTTCACGAGCTGTGAGGGCATGGATGCTTTTACCTAGATTTCAAAAGATGCCTCAGAGAGCCTCAGGGCCCAGGCAGAAAACTTCCACAGAGCCAGGGCCATCACAGAGCATCCTCACTAGAGCCACGTGTAGTGGAGCTGTGGGAATGAGTCTCCCCCATACCACAGAACTGTACAGCCACCAGAGTGCAACGCCAGCCTGGGAAAGTCACAGTCACGCACCTCTTCAATAATGCAAACTGAAGTGTGGGCTATCCCCAGCAAAGCCGTGGAGGTGAGGCTTCCTGAGGCCATGGGGGCCCAACCCCTGAACCAGTGTGTCCAGGAGGTGAGACATAGGGTCAAAGAAGATTACTCACAAACTTGAAGATTTAATGTCGTTTGCCCTAGAGTTTTGGATTCTCTTGGGACCTACTACCCTTTATTTCCCCCTATTTCTTCCTTTTAGAATGGGGATGACTATCTTATGACCCTCCCACCATGGTATTTCAAAAGCATATAATTTGTTTCATTTCACAGGCTGACAGCTGGAGGGAAATTTCTCACAGGATGACTTGTACCTTGAGTCTCACCTATATCTGATTTAAACGATATTTAGATGAGACTTTAGATTTTAGAATTTTGAGTTGATGCTGAAATGCATTAAGACTTTTGGGGCTATTGAGATGGAATGAATATATTTTTCATGTGAGGACATGAATTTGGAGGCGTAGGGGTGGAATTTTATAGTCTGAATATCTTCCAAAATTCGTGTGCAGAAACTTAATTTCCAATGTGATAGCTGTAAGAGGTGGGGCATTTGAAAGGTGATTAGGTCATGAGGGTGCAGCCCTCATGAATGAGATTAGCAACCTCATGAAAAAGCTTGAGGGGGTGAATTTACTTCTTACATTTCTTTAACCATGTGAAGACACAGCATCCATCCCTCTGGAGGAGGCAACGGGGCACTACATTGGAAGCAGAGAACAGCCTTCCCCAGACACCAACCTCTCGGCACCTTGTTACTGGACTTTGCAGCCTCCAGAATTGTGAGAAATAAATGTCTGTTGTTTATAAATTACCCGGTCTGTGGCATTTTGTTACAGCAGCACAGACCAAGGCAACTGATGAAAAGAGCTGGGCATCTAATACAAGGTCAACAAAGTGGAGCCCTTCCCTGAAACTTTCAGACTGAGAACCACAAAGAATGAGGGTCAATCACAGAATAAAACTCAAGAGCTGGCTGGGTGTGGTGGCTCATGCCTGTAATCCCAGTACTTTGGGAGGGAAGCTGAGGCGGGCAGATCATGAGGTCAGGAGTTTGAGACCAGCCTGGCCAATATGGTGAAACCCCTGTCTCTACTAAAAATACAAAAATTAGCTGGGCATGGTGGCGCGCACCTGTAGTCCCAGCTACTCAGGAGGCTGAGGCAGAAGAATCACTTGAACCCGGGAGGCGGAGGTTGCAGTGAGCCGAGATCACCCCACTGCACTCCAGCCTGAACAACAGAGTGAGACTGTCTCAAAACAAACAAACAAAAACAAAACTCAAGAGCTGTTAATTATCTTGTTCTTTCTCTGTGAGAAGGTTGGTACATCTTTATGAGATAAAGGAGCAAATGGTGGAAAGAGAAAGGAGAGAGACAGAGAAAGAGAGAGAGAGAGAGAGGATTTCTGGCAACAGCATTTAGTTCCTAGTGCCAGTTATCCCTGAGACCCAGCTGCACCCATTCTCATCCCATAGTTTGCCTATAAGAGATATCCAGTGTTCATCTAATAAACCCCACTATTTTCCTAGGCACTTTGAATTAGAGTCTGTAACTTGGAACACAAATCTTTGATAAATGCATAGTAACTATAATAATTATTATTATTAATTTTTGTATTTCAATAGGTTTTTGATGAACAGGGGTATTTGGTTACATGAATAAGTTCTTTAGTGGTGATTTGTGAGATTTTGGTGTACCCATCACCCAAGCAGTGTACCCTGTACCCAATGTGTAGTCTTTTCTCCCTTGCCAACCCCCCCAACCTTTCCCCTGCGTCCCCCAAATCCAATGTATCGTTCTTTTTTTTCCATTTTCATTCTTTTTTTTAAAATTTACTTTAAGTTCTGGGATACACGGATACATGTGCAGAATGTACAGGTTTGCTACATAGGTATACATGTGCCGTGGTGGTTTGCTGCACCTATCAATCCATCATCTAGGTTTTAAGCCCCGCGTACATTAGGTATTTATCCTAATGCTCTCCCTCCCCTTGCTCCCCGTAACTATAATTATCAAGCAACTGTTATGTGCCCAGCACAAACGTAGGTAATTTATGATTAGAATTCCACTTAATGCTCATAGTGATCTATGAAATTGGTATTACTCTCAGAAAATGGGGCCTAAATTCAAGCCCATATTGGTCTGTCTCAAAAGCCAGTAGCAGGTGAGTGGTAGGCATTCATTAACTGTAGCTTAGAACAATACAGGTTCACTGGAGTAGACGGTTTTTTCTCCAGGTGATGTGTCTGACTGACGTTGAATATAGACTGTGTAGGTTCTTCATGCTAAGGTTAGCAATCTGTACTTATTTTTTTTTTTAAACAAGAGCCATCAGAGTAATGCAGTGGGAAAAGAAGGCAGCACGATGCAAATGTCATCTCTGCATTCACATCAGTCAATTCAATTCACTTGAAAAACAGAATAGATAAATCTTAATTTTAATCTTTGAGGAAATATAAAATTAAGTCAAAGTCACGAATGTAAGTGGAAGGATATGTCCGGTGGATGCATTGTCTATGTGGTTTATTTTTTCTGCTGTCATCTGAGTGCTAAAAATCAGGTCCCCTCGTGTGTCTAAATATCAGCCTTATTTTAATGGCATTATTCTACTTATCTGGACCTGGGATAAAATATTTCAGTAAAAAAAAATATGCAGGTGCAGCTATAATTATGTACCTGTACTGAGTGATGCGAGAGTAGCTGTTAATTACTTTGCCTTTGAGGTTTGCAGATCAAAGTTTCTTTAAATAAAAAAATGGTATATGTTTGAGCCAAGAAGGTGAATCACAGTAAAATATTTAACACTAACTGCATTTGGCTAAAGTCGGGTTGCTTAAAGGCCAAATTTACCATACAAAGTTTAGGACTCTGAAAATTCCATACTAAAAATCTGTCATACCAGGGGCAAATGTTCAGATATTATTTTCAAGTCTACGACCCATGATGATCCCTTAAAGAGCCATAGTCAACCTTTCCAGTTGCTTTGCAAATCATTCCAGTTTGTCAGTCCTTTCAATGCCACCATCTCAATGACCTAGAGCAGGTGACAAATGGTATTACTGATGTTTTTACAAACAAAAATTTGCTCAGAAGCATTTTTTAGTTGTTTATCTTGTTAGTAGACTATATTCTGCAGCTTCTATCATGATGCAAGTGTCTGGATAAATGCCTAAATCACCAGAACTAACTATGAGTCTTTGTTTATTCAAATAGCAAGAGAGAGAAAAGCAGTCACAACTTATTAGGGAACCAATGTCTGGAATGAACTATATGCTTACACACTCAAACACCTGCATTAAAGTTCTCTTGAGATGCTAGAAATGAGTTTGCAATAACTGAGTCTTGAAGTATGTATCTAACAGATGTTTGAGTTTGGGAAGATTTCATGACAACATGAATATAAAAATAGTACTGGGATATAATATTAAAATTTTACCCCAGTGATGCAGGGCATTCAAATAGCAGGTTTGAGCAAATATTTATTCATCTGCTTGCTGGTATTTCATATACAAAGTTCAATTATGTATGCACTGGAAAGTTATCCCATCATATAGTGCATTATATTCCCAAGGGGAAATCAAGAGTGTCGAGAGATACTGGAGCTCCACACGATATGGTTGTGTCAAAGTTCAACATTGGCATATTAATCATGTAGCTGTTCTATTGGTGCCAGACAGTATCTCATTGGATCAACATACAATAAATTGTATGCTCATCTTCATCTACTAAGATGTTTTCTAGCCACATCTTCCAATAAAATAGCCCTGTTGGCCCAATTTGCTGAGACTAAGATGATTTTAATGTAAATGTTTTTTTTTTTTTTTTTTTTTTTTTTGCAGCTGCACGTGTATTTTTGTTTAGGGTGAATATGACAGAGTAAAGACCACGGGACCTAAGAAACCAAAGGGAAGGAGTGAGATAATCTCAGGTTTGAGTTATGGGAAGGAATTATGGAAAAATCATGACATTTAATCTTTAGTATCTTGC
Source organism: Homo sapiens (assembly GCF_000001405.40). NCBI lineage: Eukaryota > Metazoa > Chordata > Mammalia > Primates > Hominidae > Homo > Homo sapiens. The sequence continues at coordinate 133,095,456 of NC_000011.10, forward strand.
AAAATACCAATAATTAGCAGGCATGAAGGAAGTAAATAAATGAGAAAATGAAAGGATGGATTTAGTACCTTCAAAAAAATGCAGAAAGCTTACCTATTTTAAATCTTACCTATTTAAAGTATATCTAGTATGCTAGTGAAGGGAAAGGTTTTATTTGGAACTACTGATACAGTAGTCATGAATTCTAATAAGAAAAGCCTACACATTCATATTCAAATTTCAGAAAATCAAAGATAATGAAAAAAATTACAAAAAAAAATCAGAGGAAAAGACCACCTTATCTACAGAGGAGAAAAGATAAAAATTGCATCTGACTTCTCAGAAACCATGTAAGTACAGAGTAGAGTGAAACAAGTAAAGTGTTGAGAAAATCGAAACAAAACACCAACCAAGAATTCTGTACCCTAAGAAATTATCCTTCAATGGTGAAAGAGAAAGACTTGCTCTGACAAACAAAAATTGAGAAAATGTGTTGCCAGTAAATCTGCCTTTCAAGAAATATTAAAGGAAGTTATTTAGAAATAAACTATATGTCAGAAACTCAGATCTACATAAAGGAAGTGCACTGAAGAATGAATAAGTAAAATCAAAATGTTTAGTTTTAAAATCCTTCACCGATCTAACAGATTATGTTTTTTTCAAAGTTATAATAGCAACAAGGTATTTGTGCACAAATGTGTGTGTGTGTGTGTGTGTGTGTTTATGTGTAAGTGAAATGAATGATAGCAACAATACAATGGATGGGGAATAAATGAATTTAGGAATATTTTGTTATTATAAGGTACTTGAACTACCTTTAAGATACTTCCTACCCATGAATAGGTATATTATTATATTAAAGTTGACATAAATTAGTTGTGAATGTATAGTGTGAACTCTAGGGCAACCACTAAAAAAATGGTTTTTAAAAAGTACAATTGAAATGCTAAGAAGGTGGTAGGAGAGAAAATGAGATTATGTAAAATGCTGAATTAAAAACACAAAAGAAAGAAAAGGTGTGGAAGACAAAAAAATAGGAACAAAGAATAAGGGCAACAAATGCAAAATAGTGACACATAGAGTACATGTTAATCCAACTGTCAATAAGCACTTTAACATCAATGGTCTGAAAACATCGATTAAAACAGAGATTTTCAGAGTGGGTCAAAAACAAAACTCAACTATATATTGCCTACAGAATCCCTTCTTAAATATAAATATTATATAGATAAAAAGTAAAGAGACAGAAGAAAATATGCCATGGTAACACTATTTAGAGGTAGTAGGAGCAGATATATTAATTTCAGGAAGCAGATTTCCTGAAATCTGAAATTAGAGCAAGGTAAGTCATCAGAGATAGAGATGGGGCAATATATAATCATAAAGGAGCCAATATTCCAAGACGACACAGCAATCTTTACTGTGTGTGCACTTAACAACAGAGCAGCAAAATATACAAGACAAAAAACTGATAGAACCGCAAGGAGAAACAGATGAATCCATGATTATAGTTGGGGATTTTAATGATTGTCCCTCTTTCAGAAGTGGACAGATCCAGCAGGCAGAAAATCAGTATGGACATAGTTGGACTCAAAACTGTCATGAGTCAATTAGATATAATTGAAATCTATAGACTACTTTATCCAACAACACATGATCACACATTCTTCTCAAGCTCATGTGGAACATTTATCAAGACAGACCACATCCAGAACTGAAAACATACCTTAAGAAATGTAAAAGACAGAAATTGCGCAATGTGTGATCTCACATCAAAATGTAATTAAACTAGAAATCAATAACGGGAAGATCACTGGAAAAATCTTAAGATACTTGAAGATTAAACAATCCACTTCTAAATGACCCGTGGGTCAAAGAATAAATCTCAAGAGAAAATTTAAAGTATTTTGAAATAAACGAAAATGGAACTTATCACATGCGTGTGATGCACGTAAAGCATGCTTAGATGGAGATTTCTAGAAGAATGATCTAAAACCAACAATCTAATATTCTGACTTAGAAAACTAGAAACAAGAAGAGGAAGCTAAATCAAAAGTAAGCAGAAGAAAATAAATAGTACAATTAGAACAAACGTCAATGAAATAGAAAAGAGAAAATGAACAGAGAAAATCAATGAAACCAAAAACTGGTTCTACGAAAAGATCAATAAAACGAATAAGCCTCTAGCCAGAATAATTAAGAAAAAAAGAGAGAACAACCAACTTACTAGTATCAGAAATGAAAGAAGGGACATCACTACCAACCCATGGACATTAAAAGGATAGTAAAGAAATATGAACAACTCTGTACCAACAAATTTGATGACCTATATGAAACAGACCAATTTCTTGAAAGATATGTCTGCCAAAACTTACACAAGAAGAAATAGACAATCTGAATAGTCCCATGTTGACTGAGGAAATTAAATAAATAGTTAATAGTTTAATAAAGCAAAAGGAACCAGGCCCAGATGGTTTCACCAGTGAATTCTACTACATTTTTAAGGAAGAAATTATACCAATTCTCTACAATCTCTTTCTGATGATAGAAGTAGAGGAAATAACTCTTAATACTTCATCATTCTATGAGGCCAGCATTACCCTAATACCAAAACCATAAAAGATACTACAAGGAAAGAAAACTACAGATCAATATTTCTCATAAACACAGAAGAAAAATCCCCAACAAAACTTTAGCAAATTCAGTCCAACAATGTACAGAAAGAAATATACGCTGCTACCAAGTGGGATTTATCCCAGGTATGCAAGGCTGGTTAAACTTTTTTTTTTTTTTTTTTTGGAGATGGAGTCTCACTCTGTCACCCAGTCTGGAGTGCAGTGGCACGATCTTGGCTCACTGCAAGCTCTGCCTCCCGCGTTCATGCCATTCTCCTGCCTCAGCCTCTGGAGTAGCTGGGACTACAGGCGCCCGCCACCACACCTGGCTACTTTTTTGTATTTTTAATAGAGACAGGGTTTCACCATGTTAGCCAGGATGGTCTCGGTTTCCTGACCTCATGATCCGCTCGCCTCAGCCTCCCAAAGTGCTGGGATTACAGGTGTGAGCCACTGTGCCCATTCGGCTGGTTAAACATTCTAAAGACAATTAATGCTATTCATCACATCAACAGACTAAAGCAGAAAAATCACACAATCATATCAATAGATGCATTTTACAAAATCCAACACCCATTCATGATAAAATCTCTTAGCAAACTAGGAATAGGAAGAAAATTTTAAAACTTGATAAAGAACATCTCCAGAAAACCTACAGCTAGCACCATACTTAGTGGTGAGAAACTAGACTTCCCCACTAAAATTAAGAATAAGTCAGAGATGTTTCCTCTCACCACTGCTTTTCATCCTTGTATTGGAAATTCTAACCAACATAATAAGAAAATAAAAGAAAATATAATGCATATAGATGGGGAAGGAAGAAATAAGACTGTATTTCTTTGCAGATGACATGATCATCTATGTAGCAAATACAGAAGAATCAACAACAACAAAAAAGAGAAACCAACTTAGCAATTATAGCAAGGTTACAGGATGTAAGGTTAATATACAAAATTCAATCAATTTCCTATATACCGGCAATGAACAAATGACATTTGAAAATAAAACCACATTACCATCAATATTAGCACCCCCAAAATAAAAGAGATAAATATGATAACATATACAAGACCTATGTGAAGAAAACTACCAAATTCCATATGAAGAAAACTACAAAGATATCAAAGAAAAACTAAATAAATGAAGAGATATTTCATGTTCATAAATAGAGTCAATAGTCTCCGAAACTTTGCCAACATCTGTTAGTTTTTTATCTTTTTTTTTTTTCTTTGAGACAGAGTCTTGCTCTGTCGCCCAGGCTGGAGTGCAGTGGCACAATCTCAGCTCACCGCAAGCTCCACCTCCCAGGTTCATGCCATTCTCCTGCCTCAGCCTCCTGAGTAGCTGGGACTACAGGTGCTCACCACCACACCTGGCTAATTTTCTTTTTTTCTTTTTTTTTTTTTTTTTTGTATTTTTAGTAGAGATGGGGTTTCATGGTGTTAGTCAGGATGGTCTCGATCTCCTGGCCTTGTGATTCACCCACCTTGGGCTCCCAAAGTGCTGGGATTACAGACATGAGCCACCTCGCCTGGCCTGATTTTTTAATAACAGCCATTCTGACCTGGTGTGAGATGGTAACTCATTGTGGTTTTGATTTGCATTTCTGTAACGAGTAGAGATGCTGAGCATTTTTTCATATGCCTGTTGGATGCATGTCTGTCTTCTTTTGAGAACTGTCTGTTCATGTCCTTTGCCCATTTTTAATGGGGTTATTTGTTGTTCGCTTGTTGAATTGTTCAAGTTCCTTATAGATTCTGGATATCAGCCCTTTGTCAGAAGCACAGTTTGCAAATATTTTCTCCCATTCTGTAAGTTGTTCATTTACTTTGTTGATAGTTTCTTTCACTGTGTGAAGCTCTTTAGCTTAATTAGGTCCATCAATGGTGGACTGAATAAAGAAAATATGGTACATATATACCATGGAATACTATGCAGCCATAAATAGAAAGGAATTATGTTATTTGTAGCAACATAGCTGCAGCTGGAGGCGATTATCATAAGCAAATTAATGCAAAACCAGAAAACCAAATACCATGTGCTCTCACTTATAAGTGGGAACTAAACACTGAGTACACATGGGGACAAAGATGGGACGAGACACCTGAGTCTACTTGAGCAGGAAGGGTGGAAAGAGGGTGAGGATCAAAGTACTACCTATCAGGTACCATGCTCGCTACCTGCATGATGAAATAATTTGTACACCAAGCCCCAGCAACATGCAATTTACGCATGTAAAAAATCTGCACAAGTACCCCTTGAACCTAAAATAAAAGTTATAAAAAAGTAAAAGGCTAAGACTCAATATTATCAAGATGTCAGTTATTCCCAACTTAATGTATAGATTAAACACAATCCCAAACAAAATACCAGCAAGTTATTTTGCAAAGTTATTTTGCAAATACTGAAAAAATGACTCTAAAATTTATATGAAGAGGAAAACAAACCAGAATAGTTAACTCAATATTGAAGGAGAAAAACAAAGTTGGAGGACTGACACTACCTGACTTCAAGACTTACTACGAAGCTACAGTAATCAAGACTGTGATATTGGTATTAGAACAGACAAATAGATCAATAGAACAGAATAGAGAGCCCAGAAATAGGCACACACAAATACAGTAAACTGATCCATGACAGAAGACCAAAGGCAATACAATGGAGTAAAGATAGTCCTCAATGAATCATGCTGGAACAACTAGACATGCACATATTACAAAAATGAATGCAGACATAATCCTTATACCTTTTGCCAAAAGGAAGTGAAAATAGATCATAGGCCCAGATGTAAAATACGAAACTATAAAACGCCCAGGAGATAACAAAGGAGAAGCCTAGATGACCTTGGATACAACAATGTGTTATTTTTATTTTATTTTTATTTATTTCTTTTTGAACGGAGTCTTGCTCTGTCGCCCAGGCTGGAGTGCAGTGGCATGATCTCGGCTCACTGCAACCTCCGCCTCCTGGGTTCAAGCGATTCTCCTGCCTCAGCCTCCCGAGTAGCTGGGACTACAGGTGCCCACTGTCATGCCCCGCTAATTTTTGTATTTTTAGTAGAGACGGGGTTTCACCATATTGGCCAGGCTGGTCTTGAACTCCTGACCTTGTGATCTGCCTGCTTCAGCCTCCCAAAGTGCTAGGGTGACAAGTGTGAGCCACCACGCCCAGCCCACAACAGTGAGTTATTTAGATGTAATAGCAAAGGTACAATCCATGAAAGAAATAATTGATAAGCTAGAGTGCATTAAAATTAAAAACTTATACTCTTGACTCTATCAGGAGATTGAGAAGAAAAGCCACAAACTGGGAGAAAATATTTGTTAAAGGCATATGTGATTAAATAAAACTATTATCCAAAATATAGAAACAATTCTTAAAATCCAACAAGAAATATATAACAACCTGATTTAAAAATTGCACAGCATCATCATATGCCATTAGGAAATTGCAAATTAAAATGAAACACCATTACTTACCTACTAGAATGACAAAAATCCAAACACTGACAATATCAAATGTTGATGAGGATGTGATATGGAACAACAGAAACTCTTATTTATTGCTGGTTGGAATGCAAAATTGTATGGCTATTTTGGAAGACAGTTTGGCAATTACAAAACTAAACATACTCTTACCATATGATCTGGCCATAATGCTCCTTGCTTTTTCCACAAAATGAATTGAAAACTTATGCCCATAAAAACGCCTGCACATGGTTGTTTATGGAAACTTTGTTAATAATTGTCCAAAACTTGGGAGCAACCAAAGTGTCCTTCAGTATGTGAATGGATAAACTGTGGTACTTCCAGGCACTGGAATATTATAGAGCACCGAGAAGGAATGAGCTATCAAGCCAAGAAAAGACATAGGGGAAACTTAAATGCATATTGCCAAGTGAACGAAGCCAATCTGTAAAAACTATGTACTGTCTGATTCCAACAATATGACATTATGCAAAAGGCAAAACTTTGGAGGCAGTAAGAAAATTAGTGGTTTCCAAGTGTTAGGAGGAAGTGATGAATAGGTAGGTTTTTAGGGCAGTAAAATCATTCTGTATGGTATTATCATGGTGGATACATGTCATTATACATTTGTCAAAACCCATAGAATATACAACATCAAAAGTGGACACTAATGTAAACTATGGACTTTGAATAACAAAGATGTAGTTAAATCAATTTTATGAAATCTACCACTGTAGTGTGAGATGTTGACAATGAGGGAGACTGCAGCAGATTTGCAGCATGAACAGGGGCAGATGGTATATGGGAAATCTCTGTTGCTAACATCCTAAAATTTCTGGAAAAAAGATCTAAACAACTCCATCAGGGCTAAGAGAATTGTTCTCAGGATGAGACAAGCTCTTAAACATCTACTATTCTGGGAAATGCATTCTCAAAAACTAGGCCAAATTGGCCAGGGGCGGTGGCTCATGCCTGTAATCGCAGAACTTTGGGAGGCCGAGGTGGGTGGATCACGAGGTCAGGAGATCAAGACCATCCTAGCTAACATGGTGAAACCCTTCTCTACTAAAAAATACAAAAAAAATTCACCAGGCGTGGTGGCAGGTGCCTGTAGTCCCAGCTACTCAGGAGGCTGAGGCAGGAGAATGGAGTGAACCCGGGAGGTGGAGCTTGCAGTGAGCTGAGATCGCCCCACTGCACTCCAGCCTGGGTGATAGAGCAAGACTCCATCTCAAAAACACAAAAACAAAACAAAAACAAACAACAACAACAACAAAAAAAACTATGCCAAATTTGATTTTGACTATTCAAAATTGTATGTCTGTGTTGATGTGAAATCTGAGATCTCTCTAAATGAGATAGAATTATGACTATGGGCTATAAAGCAAGGGAGTGGAGCCCTAGGAACTGTATCAGGTTCTCAGCAGAAAGCCAGCATCTCCACTCTGGGGAAGAGAATGACCAGTGGCTCCTGGGGAGAGTATCCCTCTGAAGCTACCTTGACTGTTGTCGTCAGCTTCTCATACTTGAATCCAAAAAAGGGACACAATGAAAATCAATTTTACATCAAAAATTAATACCAAAACCACAACATTACTTTTTTTCTAATAGTGATCTGGGGATTCCTACTTTGAGACAGACATTTTTAACTTACGCATTTGCTTAGGCTTGTATTAAATCATTGTAAACCATAGTTTTAGTACTTATTCTATTTGATCAACCTTTACACGTCTACTAGTTTCCACACAGAATACTTGGGAAACTTATAGAGTCTTCTTTTTATAGGAAGAAAAACTGAGTCACCAAAATCCATGTTGTATTTTGAGATTAAATCAAAAATAAAATCTAAAATATGTCCCCATCTAAAAAAGTGCCCCCTCTATACCAGGAAACCTAAAGATCAATAGCCTGAACAATGCTTTGCATTCAACTTCCTGAGTTGCAGCAGAGTTAGTGAGGCTGGGGATCAAACAACGAGGGCCAGGCATGGAGGTGTGGATTAGAATAAAACAAAATGTGACAGGAAAAAATTACAAGGTGAAAAGCCTTTTGTTCATACAATGGAACATAATTTTGCAGTAGACATTTTTAAGCTTCTATTGTATCACACAGTGTTTCTTTGCAAGATTTCATGTGTTGTTGTGTTAAAAATGAATTTCATTTTGTCCCAATCAATGCATCTCCCCACTCACTATTACCTACAGGCCTTCCTAGCAGCCAGAGTTCTGGCCACCCTCCAGTACCAGGCTGGCATTAAAGTAAGTAAAGTTGCTGGTGTCTGTCCAAATGTTCAATCGAGGTAGTTGGGAAATGTCACCTACACCCAGATAATTTTTAAATTCCTTTCTCTCTTTTTCTTTCTCCCCATGCTCCGAAATTACCTCCAGCTTATTTGTCTGGCTAGAGGTTAATGGAACACTAATGATGTTAATGAGCCTTTCACAGTGCAAGTTTTTTCAGGAAAGAGATATAATAGCTGTTTTCCTTCCCTTTTAATCTTTTTCATCATTCAAGAGTTACAGGCTGAGACAATTAGCAACTTGTACAGCTCTGTCTCCCTGCTCAGTCACAGCCCAGTGGGGCAAAAAGCAGGAGCCCATTAGACAGCTCCACATGTCCACAGGTGAGAGCGCATGGATGGATGCAACACAGTGCTTCCTGCCAGAAGGCATAATGCTATTCAGGGAGAAAGGAGGGAAATTAACAATCTGTTGATGAAGCTTTTCCATGGCAGGCAGGCAGCAGGAGCTGTCCAGAGTACGGAAGAGTCATCATAAATTCCTCCCCATCCCTTCATTAGACCGAAAGGCATGAGTGAGAGCCACAAACCTCAAGGAGTTCAGAGTCTAGCTCACCCAAGCATCCAAATGTTTAGTTACTGAGAGTAAACTTACCCTAAATTCATAGGGACCTGGAAAAAAAGAAGAACATTTTTATAAAACAAGTTATTTAGCGATACATCCCAATTTTTTGGGCATTTCTCCATTTTGTGGTGTTTTGGCATTCTGCCTGTCTATGCTTTGAAAGTATACATCCTGGATGCATATGGCAATTAAAACATGAACTCAGAGTGCTGCTAAGATGGAAAAACATTGAAAGTAAAACATGTCCAAGATTTGAACTAATCTTGATTCTGACTCAGCTGGTGTTAGGTTTTATTTCTGGTGAAAAGGGCCTATAAATGCCTTCAGCAAATGCTTCAAGAAGAAATTCAGAGCACTCAACAGAGAGGGCTGAAGAATGTGACATTTCACTTTCCTTCAGATTGTTGATTTATTTTGTATCTAAAAGTGGATTTTAATTAAATGGATCATGGTTCACAACCAAGTTAGAGTGAAAAATATTAAGGCCCAATTCAAGATCAAAAACTGTAGGAATAATTTTCCTATAAAGGTCACTCTCAGTCAGAATTCAACCACTAATGCCAGCTAACTTGAGATGTAATATAAAGCAAAATATTAATAGGCCAAAATAATTTTGTACAAATTATGTGTTATAGATGTATAATGAATTGTTAGGCACATTAAGAATTTGATATGTATCCTTAAACTTTATGGTTTAGAGAATTGCCTGGAAAAATAATCAAAGGTTTGTTCACCTACTATGCGTGTTCAATAAACTTTACGCTTGCTGAGATGGTGGCTAAAAATAAAATATAAGGCCTAGAGCTAAAATACAGGGGTAAATGCATATCTGAAGGAATTCAGACAACAATTAATTATGTACCTGTGGTGCCGATAAAGCTCAAAGTTCAAGGCAGATAAAGTCTTATTCAGACTAAGTGTAGTTGCTGAGGGCTTCATTAACGAGGTTATGCAGTGTAAACAAGATTTTTATAATTACATCATACAAAAAAAAGATTTTCTAGGTTCAGGAAATGAAGAAAAGGTATAGGTTGATTTAATCATGAATGATAGATGCATGTGAGAACCATTGTTTAGTGCCAGTGGGCAGATGAATTGAAATGAGCAGAAATCAAAGGTAAGGGAATTGTCTTAGAGAGACTTGCCAAGGTTCAGAAGTAGGCTGAAAATGGAGATGGCAAGATGTGAAGATACATTCAGAATGAAAGTATTAAGACTATGACAAATTTGATTTGGTGGAAAAAGAAAAATGGCTCAAAAAGGATTTAGAGGTTTTTAGCCAGGGCAACTGAAATTATTGGGTTGCAAAAGAAAAAGAGGCTGGGCACGGTAGCTCATGCCTGCAATCCCAGCATTTTGGGAGGCCAAGGCAGGTGGATCATCTGAGTTCAGGAGTTTGAGAAAAGGCTGACCAACATGGTGAAACCCCATCTCTACTAAAAAATACAAAAATTAGCCAGGCATGGTGGCGGGTGCCTGTAATCCCAGCTACTCAGGAGGCTGAGGCAGGAGAATCGCTTGAACCCGGGAGGCAGAGGTTGAAGTGAGCCAAGATCGTGCCACTGCACTCCAGCCTGGGCGACAGAGCAAGACTCCATCTTAAAAATAAAAAAAAAAAGAAAAAAAGAATACTTTTGTAGAAAATCAGTATGTTCAATGGTGCCATTTTTAAAATAACATAATATTTTATCTAGATCCACTACAGATCTGGCCAAACTGAACTATTATAATGTTTTAAAATTCCTCATTCCCCGTTCTAACAGTTGCTCCAATTGCTCAATAGTGCATATATACCCTCTCACCCATTTAACAATAATTTTATCAATTTACTTCGGTCAAAAACTCATTGGAGGAAAAGAAGTTTTATGGACTGTGCAGTTGCATATCATCATCAACGTATGCTCACGCTGTCCATTTGGGCCTGCAGGTTTCTAGAAGGCAAGCATTGCACCCATTTAGCAAACTCTGATATGCTCTTTAGAGTACATGGAAATACATAACGCAGACTTTCTGCAAGAAATGATGATGGCAACTAGAAATAGTCCCAAAGAATTTATCAAATGCCTTAGATGGTGAAATCAGAGCTCAAGCTTTTATGCACATCGCATCCTTGTTTTCTAAAGAAATAACAAACTCCCCTAGCAGTGTAAGGAACTACATAATTGTGTATATGGGGCTGCAGTGCTTATAGCAATGTGCTACATCCAGATGGCAAATGGGATGATGGTAAAGCCAGGATGAGGAAGCAACTAATGATACTTCAAATAGCAAACTGCAAAGCAAATGTAAGCACAAATGACATATCCAGGACCAGACAATAGAGCACATGTCAAAGTCAGCTGCTTAGGATGGGGGAGTGGAGAAGACAAAAATAAAAAGTAAATATACACTACATAAACATAAATACAAATGCATGATACTACTTCAGAAGCACAGCGCTTATCAGATCTGCTGTCATTCCCCTCGCCTTGTACCATGCCTCTCTTGGCCTAGCCCCACTCAAGGTAAAATAGACTGCAGACTGCCCACTGCACCAGAGGCAGAGACAGGCCCTTTGTTAACTGCCATGAAGGGAAAGCTCTCCAAAGAACAGCTACTTTCAACTCAGTAGGTAATACGTTCCGGTCTTGGGTATCCCCACCTGGAATCAGGGAAAACAAGGCCAAGGACCTCTAGATGAATAATACTTGGATCAACAGGGAACTCTCTCTAGCCCCAGGCCACCTTCTCTTCTCCATCCAAGAGGAAGATTGTGCAGGACACCTATCCTGTGGTAGAACAGTGGGCCCTTCTGTAGTGTCAGTGGTGAACACGTGGCTCTATATTTAGACAAACTCTGAGGTATAGAAGTAGATTATTAACTGGAACTTATAAGGACTGAAGACTTCTGTTTGTGATTTTCATTAGAGGACATCTATCTGCATTTAAAGCTGCTGCACTCTGATAACGGGGAGGGAGAGACTCTTCAAAACTGCCTGGACAGACGCTGAGATAATGCTTTTCAAACGACAAAATGCCCTCACTGATTTACAGAGGCATTGCTGTCCTTGTCCATGCTTCTGGAGCTCCTGATACAAGCTGTAAGAAGAAACTTCTCATCATCAATGAATATTTCTGGCCCCAACCTATTTATCCAGACAACCTGTCAGCCCACCAGAGCCAGATTTTCTGTTGACACGCACACGACAGCAACACAATAGCTGGGTTTCTTTTCTTCATTGTTGCCATTCACCTTTCCCTCTTCATAGTCACAGACGCTTTGTCTGAACGATAATAAAGACCCTTCCTGACTCAGTTTCCATTTTGACGTTGTCATTCCTTTCACTGGCTCTTATTTATGACTGCCTTGAAGTGCTTTCATGAAAAGATACTATTACAGCAGAATGATGCTCTCTTGACACTGAAGATTGGAATCTACACAAATGTTCTGTAACAACTCATTTTAATGTTTGCCTACTTGTCTTAATTTATTTTTTATTTCTGATTCTCAACGTACTCGAGACAGAGGGAGGTTTGCTCCAGCTCAGGGAGCCATGCCACACATCTAGCTGAGACCACAGATGGTGTGGGTTGGGATGACTACCTCTTTTTCAGGCTTGGAGTGGCTATTGGTATGCAGCACACAACCCCGCATGCTCATCAAGATTGTTAAAGGAAAGGGCTCAGGATGCACAAAAGCAGAGCAGCCAAATTATTCTTGTTTATGGCAGGAGAGGGTTCACTTTAGATCAAGACAGAAGTAAATTAGCAAAGAAATAAGCCTTGGAAAAGATTTTCTTTTTTAAATTTTAGAAACAAGGCTGGCTTACGTTTGCTGATCAGTGTCAAGGTACACTTTCAGATGGGGCCAGAGGAGAATTGCTGCGAATTAATATGCAACTCAGTTTTCAGTCTTAGTCCTTAGAAGGGTGTTGTTGTTCTTCTAGGTGACTGTATGTTGCTAAATTATAGGATTCAAAGTGCACAGATACCTGGCTACACATTTACTTAGTGGACTGTCGTCAGACTTTTGGTCTAAACATACCTAACGCAAATTTAATTCTTCCCACTAAAATTGCAATCAACAATCCATCATACATCAAGGAGGAAATACCCCTGAAGTCTCCTGACCTGAGCTCGGTTAGAATGTCGTGCGCTAGAGCTTTCCAGCGGGGTAAATGGGAGCGTTAGGAATCTTGTAAAGAAGCCACTACATTATACACACACACACGCACAGACACACACACACACATATATGGCTATTCCATTCTGAGCCTACACTAACCATTGTCTGGCTCTTCCTCAGATCCCCTTTACTCTTCTGTTCATTGTCTGCAAGTATACCACACTTGCTGGGTTTTAAGTCACATTGAGACAAATTCCATATTTAATTAATCTTTTTGTCTCCCATTGTTACCAAAGACAGCGCTTTGCAAACTACAGGTGATAAAAAAAAATGTGAAATACATAATGAAACATATTTTACTAACCACACCAGACAGGGAAACGCATTCACGGAGTGCCCGCTGAATACGTGTTTCCATATGCAGGAAGCCTGACTCCACTGCTCAGGGCCCTTTGCAGGCCTCATGAGGACTCATCCCCAAGCTAACAGTCTTAAAACAAGACTGACTTACCTGCGTTTACCTGTTTTGCTCTCTAGGTCCACTCTTAATGTCTTTACTGGGTTTCCTGGCCGCTCTTTCTATTTTTCATGAGGTTAATTGGTTTCTCTAGCTCACAAAGTTTTCCTTCTGTGTTCTCTGGTTAGTTTTTATTACCTGCTCCCACTGTGTCTGGAGTTGGTTCCTTCCGGTGGGTTCGTGGTCTTCCTGACTTCAACAATGAAGCCACGGAACTTTGCCGTGGGTGTTACAGCTCTTAAATATGGCACGGACCCAAAGAGTGGGCAGTAGCAAGGTTTGTTTTGAAGAGCAAAAGAACAAGGACTCCACAGCATGGAAGAGGACTGAGTGGGTTACCGCTGCTGGCTGGGGGTGGTCGGCTTTTATTCCCTTACTTGTCCCCGCCCATGTTCTGTTTTTGTCCTATCAGAGTGCCCTTTTTTCAATCCTCCCTGCGATTGGCTACTTTTAGGATCCTGATGATTGGTGCATTTTACAGAGCACTGACTGGTGCGTTTTACAGAGCACTGATTGGTGCATTTTACAATCCCCTTGCTAGCTACTGAGCGCTGATGTGTGCATTTTTATAGATCACTGATAGGTGCATTTTACAATCCTCTTGTAAGAAAAGTTCTCCAAGTTCCCACTCGACCCAGGAAGTCCAGCTGGCTTCACCTTTCACCATGACCCCAAAAGAGTGCTTTTTGGGTAGTCTACCTGGTGACCTGACCTCTTTGGCATTGCCTCAGGACTTATCCATGATTTTGCCCTGTCAGGAAGCATTGTTGAACCCTGGAAGATCAGACCTAGAAAGGGAGGTGAGTCATTGCATTTGAGAGTGGGAATGTAAATTTAAATTTATCTCATCCAACCGTCTATTTTGCAGCTGAAGAGAATAAGCCATAAACCTAGAGGAGATAGAATGCATAGTACTTAATCTCAGGAAGCCTCAAGCCCAGCAATTTTGAACCAAAGACAATTTTGCTCTCCATAGGACATTTGACAATCTCTAGAGACATTTTTGTTCGACAGGACTTGGGTGAAGGATGCCGCAGAAATCTGGTGAGCAGAACCAGGAAAGCTACACATCTTGTAATGCATAGGACAACCCTGTACCTATAAAGCATATTTCAATCCAAAAAGTCCACTGTGGTAAGGTTGAACAACCCTGTTCTGGTCCATTAAGGTAACATGAAGTCAAAAGACATGGATAAAATAAAAATGGTAAATTTAGTATTTTGAGATCTGGAGTACATATTGTCCACAGAGTAACCACCTTAGAATAATAAGTGCTCTTAATAGTGGTGACTATGGCACTATGTTTAAATATTGATGAACAAATGTGGTACCAGGAGCACCTTACATTCGAGTACAGAAAATATGTGTCCTCCAGTTTTGTTCAGCCTGGTGTTCCCACAGCATGAACTTGGGAACTTGCTTGTTGTTGTGTGACTTAGGCTCTGAGCCCATAGCAGAGGTCACAGGCCCCCGTGCGTGATCCTACATTTATTCTGACCCATAAACTAGCTTGCCATGTTAGTGAAAGAAGGATAGTGTTTTGAGAAGGGCCTTGATCTTAAAGTCAAGGGGTTGGTCTCTGAACTCCAGCTCAGGTGGGGATGTTTTACGTGACTGGGAGCAAGTGCATCTTCTCATTCTGGGTTCAGTGTGTTTCATTCGTTCAGTGCTGCAGGGGCCCTAGCCTCAAACGCAGTAGCTCCAGCTCTGATAATCTATGGGATTCTTTTTCCTACCCCCAAACTTCCCTCCTAGATATAAGAGTCAGGTGGCAAACAAATTCCCTAACAGCATTTCCCTTTATAAACTGGAGCACCACTAAGGGCATGACTAAGTAGAGAAGCACAGAGGTGTGTGGAACAGGGAGGCATTTGGGGTTAGAAACCTGACTCTGAACACTCATTAACCCCATGCCATTGGGCAGTTAGTAAACCTTTCTGGTCCTTTGTTTACTCATCTGTAAGGTGGGAATGATAATAATAATACCTATCCATATGGTTTTTGATGAGAAAAACTGAGATAATAAGTGCAAAGTGATTAGAACAGCCCCCAAATAAGGAGCTGAGGTGTTTCTGGGTCAAAGTTAGCAACATTATTCTCCTCCTCTAAGCCAGTTTGTTTTCCATGGAAAATAGAATTCCGACCATTGTTTTGGGTAATATATTTAGTTCTGTGTGAATGAGAAAAAAATGCACAAATGTGCTATGACCCCAGCAGAATACTTGGTGCCATTTACAATATAATAGTAAAAGAAAATCATTTACCCACTGGCACGGTAGCTAGTTTCCCTGTCTATTCCAGTTCCATATGTCCCTTCACTGTAATTTAGACTAAAACACAAGTGTCCCTGGGCAAATATGACTCCCTTTCTTTTGCTTCTGGCTGGGGAGAGAGCTTTTCCAAGATCACACTCCCTGTGTCCCTGCCCTCCAAGAGGTCACTTGGCTCTTTCTTTTGGCATGTTGTCCCCAGTGTTAGTTAGTACGAGTCTTTCTCAGATACCAGCTCTCTCATTAGTTCTATTGGTTTCAACAGCTCCATGGACACAGTAAATGCAATATTTAACACCCAAGAGGGAAGTGTTTCACTTGGATGATTCTTTCATCATCTCTGCCCATCTGGAGCTCCCTTTAAACTCATGGAGCACCAACTGCCTAGGAAAACAATGAACTTTGGTGACTTTTCCTTTCCTAAGCAGACTGGGCTCCCAGAAAATAAAGTTGGTGCCAGGAAGGGTGTTTTGTTTTGTTGTTTGTAGGTGGGAGGAGAGTTGATCCTTCATAGATGATATTGGTTCCATCATTTCCTAGGGAATTGCACTGAGATTTGATTAGATTTCCACCTTTGATTGACACCTGTTAATAACCTGCAGGATGGGTGGAGGATGTTTATATTGTCAGCCAGAGTTATCTGTGACTATTTTTCATCAGTTTTGCCAATCAAGGGCAGCAGTGAAGGATATTATTTTTTTCTTAAAATGTTGTTATGGATCTACAGACACTGGATGGGGGAAATTGTCCTGTACATCCACCTTCACGCTGGTTCTTAGAAAATATATTGCCAGGATTGCATGCAATATTCAAATAATGCATTTATGTACTTTTATTATCCTACTTTGGATATGGTGACAGGCAGCTTTGTGACAAAGCTATTTATTCCCTATATTAATCTTGGGAGTATGGTTCCATCCAAGGATTTTTTTCGTTAATTAGACTTTATATTTCAAAATTTTTTCTAAACAAGACTCCAACCTTTTGAAGTTCAAGTTCATTGACTCTTGGCCAAAAAAAAAAAAAAAAAAAAAAAAAGGGGAAAGAAACAAAATATCTCATATCACTTGGAAAACACGGTTGAATGTAAAAGCAGAAAAATAAACGTTGATACTAAAAATCAACATTTGTTGTGATGCTGAGTATATGACAGATGAAAAATTAGTAGAAAATCAGCAACATTTAGAAATAAATAAAAAGTACAATTAGTCTTGGTTTTTCCAAAATCATGACATCTTCCAAATATTGTAGACATGGGCAAAATGAGGCATCTTTCAGATGTTTTCTTAAAATATAAGATTGGATTTGTATAAATAAAAGGTGTCAGCATCTAGTGAGCTAAAAGAAACCCTGCAATGAGGGCTATTTGCCGTGAATGCTTTGATAGGTGAATGTCCCAGGTTCACCAGTCCTGGCCTAAGGAAGAGAACAGCTTCGTCTTTCTCTCACACTGTAGTGCCATCACACCTCCCCCTGCCTTGTCCTGTCTCCAGCACTTCAAGAGAAAGTGTCTAGGAGAGCCAAGGGCGAGCAGGTTAAAGGACACCGAGAAACTCTTAATCGCACAAGCTCCAGAAGAGTGGACTGTCATGCCCCCTACCCTTTGGAGGCTTTCGCTGTGTCAGCCTCAGCCAGCAGCCCCAGAGGAAAGGTCAGATGACACATATCTTCCCCTTACTCCATGCCAGACCTGGGCAGATTCTGGTATTCACAATTCCCATCTGCAATTTATCTGCAATTACAGAATATATATGCCCCTTTCATCTAGATTTCCTGGCTAAAGTGAAAATATGCCAAATACATTTAAAAATAACTCATTTAAAGCCTGGTGACAGTGCTGGGTCTGTTCCTACTTATCATGCAAAAAAGCCATCCTTTATATTTTGCCTTTCCCCAGAGCTAAACTGTATGGGTATAAAATTTTTTCCATCTCTTTCCATCTGCCTTATTTTGGATCTGTTTTGCCATTCAGATATCTGTTTTTTCCCCACACTTTCTTGAAATTACCCTTAAAGAGCAATGGGGAAGTTTTCAAAAAGTACAATTCATTAAAAGACTCTTTTCAATCAATCACTCAGTCTTCTATTTACCTAGAGCATGATTTTAGCCCTGGGGGTTTTGAAACTTGAGAAAAAGGGAGAAGAACAAGGAAGCAGGAGAGAAAAAAATAACAGAACTACATTTGTTTTTAGAATGGTTTCAGACATGTGTATCATTATTTAATTCTTTAAATGCCACTAAGCTGAACGCTTACACAGAACCAAGACATAAACCCAGATTTTCTGACTCAAACTTGATTGCTCTTTTCATAGTAGTTCAGAAAGAAAGCAAGGAACTTTGACCAAAGCTACAGCCAAACACTAGCAATAATTAACTGGCTTTCTGTTGTCGAAGGATAAGGCAATTTTGATAATGACTAAGGGCCAAAGAGTAAACAAAGCCTAAATAAATTTTAAGATTTGTCTTAGCTTCCCACCGCAGGTAAGAAAGTATTTATGACTCTTTCCCCACAGTGTGAATAAGGCTGCTCACTTTATTAGCCAGCTGAGTGTTCTGACCTCTGTGCTTCAGGCACATATTGAATTCTTTCTTCATTAGCATAAAAGTAAATGCATCGTCTCTTCCTGAGAGAACCATTCTTAGAAAAGCAGTGCAAGCTTTTTAGACCACCTTGTTGATATTTATGAAAACTTGGCCTCATGCTTGGGAAGACGCTATGATTACGCTGTTGTCTATCTAAACAAGCTCCTCCCTGCTTCTTCAGAAACAGAGCATAAGTACAAAATAAACAGAATAATCATTCCTGATACTGGCAGTTGTGGAAGAATTTCCACATAAACCTTATAATCTTGTTGCTCACAGAAATCTTATGCGACAGTCCTGAACCAGTTCTGCCCAAAGCAACATCACTGCCTGGGCCTCCCCCTGAACTGCTCGCTCTGCTGCTGTGGAAAAGGCACCCACAGCCAGACTCCCAGCCTCCCAGCCTGCTCCTTCTATGGTCTTCCCCATCCCAGTCAGTGCCAATGTGTCATCTTCCCAGTTGTTCTGGCCAAACTTTTGGGGTCGTTCTGACGTCTCTTTTTTTTCTTTTTTTAACATCCCATTCTTTATTCATACAAAATCCTATCAGCACTACCTTCAAGACATATTCAAAATCTTATAATTACACACCACGTCTACTGCTACCATCTGGGACCAAATCAGTCTCCTAACTGTCTTCTTCCATTGCCTCTAATTGTGTGTCCTGAACCCAGGCCAGAGTGATCATTTAAAGGTGTAAGCCAGATTACCTTCAAAACTTGCAATGGTCCTCATCCTATTCTCAGTAAAATACATGGCCTAACTGCTCCCCTCCATTTTCCCCTATCCAATGCCTCTTTTTACAAGGCATAAGATCCAGAAAGATAGAAATTTGCATCTAATTCTTTTACCACTGCATCTTTAAGGATAGAATAGTACTTGGAATTGAGTGGGTGCTAAATAATTATTTGTTGGATGAATTAAGAAGTAGGAGGAGTTAAGAGTCTCAAAGCAAATGGTTGTGAGTTTCAGAGAGAGTGGTAGTTTGAGTAAAAAATGAAAGAGATACCGAGAAAGAATATTTTAGATGTTTTGTTGTACATTAAAAGGTACCCTGTCCCCATTTATGTTTTCTTAAAACTGAAGAAAACTTGAAATTTCTTTCAGTTCTATCTTTTATCTGTTGGTATTTTGTGCTTTTGACTTAACAGTCTTCAAACACTGGATCATGTAGGATTTTAGTTAAATTCTGCTTATAAATTATTTGTACCATTGAGTGGGAGGTCAAAGGACATATGAAAAGCCCACACTGACTTTTGCCATATATCTGCACCCACTTGTTTGTAACTCTTTGATCTACATTCTAGCTCTGAGCCGCTCAGCAAAGCTACCTGCATCCTGATGCTATCCACAAAGGGAATTTACCACCTTGGTCTAGGATCATGAAGCCTCATTGCCCTTCAGGTTACCAGAGGACTGGGCGGACATCCAGCCTGCCAGGCAGCAGGACCTACAGGGTGTTTGCTCAAAGCCCTTGGCAAGCCCACTGCTCATGCTTGTGCAGCCTATTACAGTAATGGAGGTGAGGCAGATGAGAGTTTCCGAGGAACCGATCTCCCCGGAGTAGATTCAGTGCCTAGAATTTCTACGGAAGCCACCTGAGAAGAAAACAGGTCTATCTGAAGTCGAATGTGATTAACAAAACAAACAAAACAACAACAACAACAAAAACACAGGCAGAGCTATATAACACTCAAAAAAGACAGAAAAAAAACCCTAATTCTTTCGTATCACTTTGGGAAATACTCCATTTCCCACTAAAAATCAGTGATGAAAACAATCCCCTAAGGTGGCTGAAAACTAAGGGAACTCCAAATTTAGCTGAATTGTCACAGTGTCTCAGGATTGCTTTGAATTATTTTTTAAGTGTAAGTTTATTTATATATAATTTAAACTTAGAGGAAAAACATGATAAAATATCTTATAGAATGTTACCCAGATTCACTAATTGGTAACATTCTGCATAACTTTATCATTTGTTTTCACATGTTTACTTCCTTATATAAGTAATTGAGAATAAATTATAAATCATTGAGAATAAATTTGAGCTATCATGCCCGTTTTTCCCCTAAAATACTTTAGTATTTGTTTCTTAAAAATAAGGACATTATTATTAATATATATATATTTTTGAGACGGGGTCTCGCTCTGTCACCCAGGCTAGAGTGCAGTGGAACGATCTCGGCTCACTGCTACCTCTGCCTCTGGGGTTCAAGCAGCTCTCTGCCTCAGCCTCCCAAGTAGCTGGAATTACATGCACCTGCCACCACGCCTGGCTAATTTTTGTATTTTTAGTAGAGACAGGGTTTCACCCTCTTGGCCAGTCTGGTCTTGAACTCCTGACATTGTGATACACCCGCCTCGGCCTCCCAAAGTGCTGAGATTACAGGTGTGAGCCACTGCACCCGGCCAAGGGCATTATTTACACAACCATAGAAAAATTCTCAAAATTAGGAAATGTTTGCATTATTATAGTACTACTATCTAATTCATAATTTCTATGCAAATCAATTTCTCAGTAGCATCCTTTATACTCTGTCATCCTGGTTCAGGAGCCAATCCAGAATCATACACTGCAATTGACTGTCAGGTATCTTTAGCTTCCTATAATCTGCAACCTTCCTCCAGCTTTCTTTCTTTTAAACCTTAAGTATTAAAGATGCAGGCCAGTCAGTTTGTAGAATGTTCCTTAATTTAGGTATGCTGGATGTTTCTTCACTATTAGATGCAGGTTATGCGTTTTTGGCAGGAATACCTAGAAGTGATCCTGTAATCTTCTCAGAGTATCTCATTAGGAGGCATGTGAAATAGGTTTGTTCCATTACTGGTGATGTTCACTTTGATTACCTGATTAAGGTAGCATCTGGGAAGTTTCTAGTATACCAAGTTACTATTCATTTTTTCTTTGTAACTTATAAGTAATTTGTGGGAAGATATTTTAAAACTATACATATATATATATGTATGTATCTTGTTCCTCCTCAGACATTCATCCAATAGTTTTAGTATTCATTGATGATTATTGCCTGAATCAATTATTTCTGTGGTGGTTGCAAAATGGTGATGTTTTGATTCCACCTTTTATTCTACATTGTTAGTTGGAATTATACTGTAGAAGATATTTTTTCCTTTTATTCCATGTAGTCATTCACTTATTCTGTTATCTATTTAATTCCATACAACTCATTAATTTTATTCTACTCAATGGATTAACATCTGCTATTTTTGTTACAGTCTGTTAAAAACCATTTAAAAAAATTTTTAATACTCAAATTATCCCAGATTTGGTTAATGGGAGTCCCTTCAAGTTGGCTCCTGTGTCATTTCAAATGTTCTGATGGTTTTGTGAGCACTTCTTTATTTTGTGGACCATGAAGATGTTCTAGGTTCATCCTGCAGACCCTAGATCCATCCATTTCAGCAAGGAGTTTGTGTTGCTACTGAATAGCTTATATACTTCTTTTCTTCCTCATTTATCTCACAGCTTGAACATTTAGGTGTTCTCATTGCCCTTGAGGAGAACCTGTGATGGACCAGAGCTTTCGGGGCCTTCTTATAACCATGGTCCTAAGGTGTTCCCATAGACTAGCACTGAGCTGTGAAGGGACCAAAGCGAATTGGGCCCCATCGCAGATGCCCAATTCTCCCTCTCTTTCTCTCACTCTCTCTTTCCCACCATATACCTATTTCTGACATAGGTAGTTTTTCGATGTTATGCTCATATGAGAAGTATTTACCTAGCTGAATTGGTCATGTGAGAGCCTGATTTTAAACCTACTGTGGGAGCACATTCGAGATAATTTCACTTGCCCTTGGGCTCAGAGTGACCAGTTTGGTAATCACTCTCAAAATAAAAAAAGTATTATCAACTGTAGGAAATGAAAATGAAAGTAATGTACAATTGCAATGGAATACTAAGCAAGAGAAAGTGCTTAGATCAGAAGCAAACTAAGCTCTAACTCTGGAATAATTACAATAATACCAATAATAACTGATTCTAAAAGTATCACTGGAAAGTTTTGCAGCACTTTATCAAATGAAGTCTTCAAATAATATTCAAAAAGATGTTTCCAGAAGGGAATGGGGGCTGTCCAAGTTCCCCCATCCTTGGGGAACTGCAAGTGGAGGAGACATCAAATAGCAGCTTTTGTTTTCAACCTGAGTCTACAGGGGTGTGAAGTTTCCCCAGCAGGTGAAACACTCTTCAGAAAGAAACATGCCGCAGTCTGAGTCTCAGCTCTCCCTGATTAGCAAACTGTGACTCAGGTGAAACTTCTGGACTGCAGGAACTACTTTTGAATATGTCTCTAAAAGTGGTAGTGCAGTGCCTGTTTCCATGTGTAGGAGGCCCTGTTCTTTCTGGGACTCTCTACTGACATAGCTGGGATATATGTCTGTCCTGGGCTTTGTTCACATCATATGAGCTGTAGGGAGGCCTCTATGAAGAAAATTCTGTCTTTTGAGAGTTCAGGGCCCAGGCTGGTGCAAGGACATGCCGGTTGTTTAACGGTGAGAGTTATAAACTGGAGTCTTTCTCTGTGTCAGGGCTGGCCTTCCTTTCATGGAGTTTACACAATGGTCCTGATTAAAGTGGACTGAAAACTGGAAAGGAGACTGAATGCCTCCATTTGGTCAAGGAGACAGGATGGAGAGAATTGCTCAGTAGCAAGACTCATGGAGACATGGAAGTCAAGGGGGCTGAGAGGTGGTGAAGAGTCCTCCTAGAGGCCGCATGTATGGCCATCTGCCTTCACAAGATGCTCTCTTCTCACATGGAGTGGATTTTTACCATATGAAAAAAAAAAAAGTCTTGTCCCCAGTTCACTCCCGCTCAGTAGCACAGAACTCCCACTCACCCTGCAAGCAGCTCTGCAGTTCTTCCTTGAGGTGGCGGAGGCAGGAAGCTGGCTGACAGCTAAGTATTCCTGGCCATGCCTCCCTCTCCCAATAAAGTGCTCTCTGGCAGCCAGGAACACAGCAAAGTGCCCTCCTGCACAGACCCACACATGGACGTGATCCAGTGGAGACCCTCCACCAAGCAAATGGCTGGTCTTGTTTTTAATTCAAGTATTAAAATAGCAGTAATTTGGCACTGATTAGCAATGTTAGTCCCGAAGGCCAAAGGAGGACTGGCTTTCTGTGTGAGGCTCTAAACAATTACTTCCTTTGGATAATCACTTTTTTAGAGGCCAACTGTGCATATAAATAGCACATCATGCCAGCGCTTGGCAAGTTTTTTATCAGCATCAACTCAGGCAACTTCTACAGCCATCGTGCCCCAGGCTCTATAAATGGCCCATCCCTCCAGCCAAGCCTGAGACAAACATACTGGCCAGGAGACTCCCAGAGAAGAGGCTGAGAGGGCTCAGGCACAGCTCCTCCTCAGATTCTCATGGTCCTTTGCTCAGGGGCCAAATTATCTATATCACTTATCTATGTATCTGTATAGATGTATCTAGTATATAATATCTATATCTTTTCAAATATACATTTGGAATTCTACTATTTCAGAAGGGCCTTCTGTCCCTGATTTGAATGAACCTGGAGCCATATCAGTTAGGAATGCCATAATTAGACAGTAGGACTAGGAATGCAACCATCTACCCACTCCTGGGTCCCTTCATCCAAAGGTTACCAAGCGCTTCTTGGTACGCAGCCCAGCCCAGGGCACTGGGAATTAGTAACATACTTGAATATAAACAAAACCCTCCGATTTCAGCAGAGGGGAGAAACCATTCACCTGACATAGTGCAAACAGCATAGGGC
The DNA here is from genome assembly GCF_000001405.40 of Homo sapiens. Lineage (NCBI taxonomy): Eukaryota > Metazoa > Chordata > Mammalia > Primates > Hominidae > Homo > Homo sapiens. The sequence goes on from NC_000011.10 coordinate 133,119,622, forward strand.
ATATCAACAAGGTATAAACAGAGTCTTGCGGGACAATTTCAAAGTGTAAAATTCAGCCTGAGGAGGGGAGGCGAGGAAAACTTCACAAAGGAGATGACTGAACTGAATCGTGAGTAATGAGAAGTTCACCAGTCAGAGAAGACAGGGGCAGAGGCTCACGTGAAGTCAGGATGGGGAAGACTGAGTTCCATGTTCACGTCGCACAGGATGCACGTGGGAGTGAAGTGGGCGGTGGAGCAGGTAGCGGGAAAGGTGAGCGGGAAAGGGCAGGTAGGGCTGCAGGGAGAGAGGGGTGATGCTGTGGGGCAGATGCAGGCTCTTCCTGCCAGTGCAGAATTGTGTGGAGTCAAAGGAAATGAAAGCTCTAGGTCCATCTTTTTATGCCTGTTCACTGCTTTGGGCCTGATCTGGAAGCCTGAAACTCAAAGACAGCAGAATCACCAGTCCTGCTTCACCACTACCCATAAAAGTTCAGGTTAAGAGCTGAGGTCTACAGTGAGCCTCTCAGCCTCTGGGTCCCCAGAGAATAGCTTCTTATCTATTGGCATATATACATGTATATGTGTGTATACATATTCTAACATATATATTTGTGTGTATACATACAAACACACATACACACACGCACACACATTTACTGAGCAAAGCAGTTTGCATCTAATGTGTATAAATATCATTTCCATTTCAAAGACGAGTCAGTTAATAAACAAATACTTACAAAGCAGCTAAAATGGGCAAGGCCATAGGAACTAGGGTTACAGCAGCAGCATTGCCCTCATGGAGTTTAAAATCCACTTGGAAACATACAAGAGCTAAGCTTTCCCGAGCACTTACCCCATGCCAGACACAGCTTCAAGCATTTTTTATGAATCAACTGATAGGATTCTCTCAACCACTCTAGACAGCAGGCATGGCTGCCTCCAGGGCACATGCTAGCTGAAGTGCAGCTATGTTGAGGCAGTCACCCAAGACCACCACCTAGGAAATCATAGTCAATAATTGAACTCAGGAGACCTGGCTTCAGTGACTGTGCTTTTAAGTAAGTGATTCTGTTCTTGAATGAATGAAATCAGTTTGGAGGGGTTAGTTTTGTGAACATCACTCAGTAATTCTGATGTGTCAAGAGTTCATGCTTTGGCCAGTCTACTATGATCACATACATCTCAGAAGTTTTCCCAGCTGGTGAGAGATGATCTGTTTTCAGGACCAGAGCTTCCAATGGCCAGGAAGATACTGAACACCATCAGTTCTGATAGTCACCCACAATTCTACTTACTTACGGTAATTCACTAAACACCCCATCATATTAATTCTTTTTTTAGACGGAATCTTGCTCTGTCGCCCAGGCTGGGGTACAGTGGTGTGATCTCAGCTCACCGCAACCTCTGCTTCCTGGGTTCAAGCGATTCTCATGCCTTAGCCTCCCAAGTAGCTGGGACTACAGGTGCGTGTCACCATGTCTGGCTAATTTTTATATTTTTACTAGAGACGGGTTTCATGTTGGCCAGGATGGTCTCAAACTCCTGACCTGAACTGATCAGCCCACCTTGGGCGCCCAAAGTGCTGAGATTACAGGCATGAGCCACTGTTCTTGGCCTCCATCATATTCATTTAGCTATGGGATTTACCTAGCAAACCATAGCATTTCAATTAATCTATAACTGCACAGAGTCACTTCCTCTGTCTGGCAGAAACTTTCTAGAAATTTCTACTCTGTCAGTCATCAAAACCTATGTTATTTACTCACCTATCTCCTTAGTGAATGCCTGCCAAGAATAGGTATTCGTTACGATAGATAAAAGATATCCTCGGAATGTCCTGATACACTTCAGACAAGTCCCAGCTGGGAAAACTGGGATGTATGTGATTATAGTAGACTGGCCAAAGCATGAGCTCTTGACACAGATTAGAAGGGGGTGATAGGAATCCTGGGCCGAGGGTCAACATGGAGGAGTTAGAGACTGCTACATCTGTTTATTACTATTCACACAATCTCATTTTTACTCCCCAGGCTGGTGAGATCTGGGGAAACAGTTTGTATCTAATTAGATTACATTCTCATAAATATTTTAATTTACACTTGATAACACTAAAGTTCATTTGTTTCATGCCTACCCATTTAAGGCTCTTGAAATCTGCCAGCATGTTTTCCAGATGAATACCATTTCATTTCTTGACAATCCTTAAGACCTTCTAAAATATTTGAGATTACAAAACGTCTTCTATTTGACAAGTGGTTTCAGAAACAATGCCCCAAGCGACTTCTAATGTTAACATTTCTGTCCCCAGGAAAGTGATCATTTATAATTACGCCTTATTTTTGGCCCTTAAAAGTTACAAAATATTCATGCCATCTTCTTATGATTATTTGAAGCATATTGATGTAGGGCCTGGTCAAATGCTTATTGAAAACCCATATTTTCAAGGCTCCCATATTCTCATATATATCCATATAACATTTGAGAAAGCAACTTAGGAATAGTGTAAAATTGTTGTTCCTGGTAATAGTAGAGATAACACTAGTCGAATATGGGTAGTTGTCCTTGTCTACTGCACTGTGTTTCTGAAAAGAGCATGCATGGTGGTAATCATATAGACATGGACGGAGCTTGGGATTCTTGAATTCTAGTTCCAGCTCAGCTGCTGCTGGTTGCCCAACCTTGGGATAGTCTTGGGGGAGCAGTGGCTAATCTTCTTGGGACTTCCTGTTTTTAATCCATAGTAAGAGTGGTAGGGTAAAGTCTTCTCCAAGAAAAATGGGGTTTGCAGTGTCATCCTGCTGGCTAGTAACAGACCTAGAATTGCTGAGTCAGATCTCTAGTTCCAAAACGTGAGCATGGAAGTTGTCAGGCACTTCTGGGCAGGAGGCCTCTGATTTCTGGTTGACGGTTCTCACATCCTCCTGGGTGCTTAGATTTCTCACATTCCAGCACATGCACATGGTCTGACAGTGGTTCTTCATGAGGAGCGGAGGTGGGGAGCATGGAGAGTGTGTGAGAGCCACCTGGGCACCTTTTTGTCAAAATATACTTCCCCTCCCTATACCTTTCCTCTTCTCTCCAGCACAACTCAGCGTTGATTTACCTAGCTAGCCACTTGTTAATTTCCAGATGATGCTGACATTCATCTCCCAAATCCACCTCAACTAGAAAATTCAACATACCTGCTGTCCCAGGTAAACTGGAATCTAGCATCTCTCTCAATAAAGGCTTAGCAAAAGTTCGCTGACACTGCTATGGCATTTGGCCCTACAGCCAGCGAGTAATTCTATTCTCCAGCTGCTTTCAGCATTATAAGGTATTCACATTCCCTTTTCATTTGGAAATCACTAGCAATGTGCTTCTAAAATACTGCAAAGATAGATATTCTAAAATTCTCTCAGAGCCTTCTGAAAGCAGAAATAATGTTTTTCCATGACTTTTTCCTACAAAGTGACTTGGAAAAAATATTTCAATCTGCAGAATCAATTCCCTCTCAGAGCAGTGCATACACTGTGACAACCCCAAGGACATGGATTTGAAGGAGAATTTTCTCCTATGACATCATGCAGTAAGAAATTCCCTCAATTCCAGACACTTTATTGATTATATGGTTTGGGATCAGCCAGCTCATTTGGGTGACAGATGATTCTTGCCCTTGTGCTACCCTTGTATTTCTCAGACTTTAAAAGATTTTGAAAAGATCATGAATATTAAACAGAGACCCTGGGTGAAGAAATTCTCATGCTAGGGACCATATTGTTGTTTATCAAAGTCTGTTTGTGTTTTATTTAGATGCGTATTTGCTGGGTAGTCTTTTTATTGTTTGCCCTGGTGGAAATGACAACCCATAAACACATTTTACAAAATCTTTGCTTTTAAGATTTAAACAAGGGATGTGCCTGAGCCAAGGGCAGCACGCCTCCGAGGGTGACAAGCTATTCTGGACGGGTTCCCCACCTCCCTCCCCTGAAGCTGTTTTATCCAGGGCCATCTGGTCAGCCCGGCATGCTTGGAGGAGCAACACAGGGGTCCAGATGGATGGGTTCTTGGAGAGTTCTTTAAAAACCCATGCACCCAACCCCTGAATAACCATATGCCAAAAGGTCACCGCCTCCTGAGTGGCATCCTTCCTGGGTCTCTCTCTGTGGTTGTTCATTCGGATTCAGCACCCTGGTGCTTTAAGGGGTTATGGGGTTTTAATTAATTCATTATTATAATTATCCTAAGTGCTGGTATCGTTGGTATCAACGTTCCATGTCATCTGAGGTTTCAGAAAATAAAACCAGAAGGAGGAAGTGGGATATACTGAGCGGTCTCTGTGCCAGACAAAAGCAGAGCCACCCCCAAGAAGTTGGCAGCATGAGTCGGGTCAAAGACTGTCAGTTTTGTCACTATCCTTCAACATGAATGCCAGCAATGACTACCACACCTTAAAGGCACAGAAAATGGTGTTATCTATGCTTTGCAGGTGGGTACCCAATGGAGAGAAGGAAATGTAAGAGAAGAGTGCAAATGAGAGGGGGGATTAGTCTACTTCTCCCATACTTAAGCCATACCCTCAGGAAATTTAGAAAAAAAAAAAGGCATTTTAAGAAAGTGAATTTATTCTCTGATTCTCTTAAGTCCAGCTTTCCCTGAAGGTGAAGGTTAAGCAGTCTGACATTTACAGTTGTCTCTCAGCCCTAGGGTTCCCCCATTTCGGGGGCTCTTTGCAAAGCTCTCAGCAAATTCATTAGGATGCAGCCAACCACAGCAGCCTGGTATCAGGACATCTCCTCTGCCCAGGGCACCCTAGACCCATCTTTATGGCTTGTCTGCTACATCACAGATTCAGTGGCCCCTCCCCAGAGAGATAAGTCAATGCAACCTCAACTGGTGACTTGCTATGAGTGGCACACACTTCACAAGGGTCCCTCAACAGTGTGAAAAATCTCATTAAAGCCTGACATTTGCTGAGCATCACCAGAGGGCAAAGGTGTCCGTTCCAATCACAGAGCCCCACTGCAGAGCCCAGCAGACAGTATGGGGGCATTGAGACTGAGCTGTTATCTTCAGGCCCCTTGTTCCTCAGCCTTCATCACGTTCTGCAACCCTGAAAGGCTCATGCACCCTTGCAGAACCCATCTGATTTGGATCCTCAAAATATTTTCCTCACCTCCGCCCTCCCATCATTTTCCTCATAGTCTCCTTGTTCAATAACTTTGCCAGTAGTTTGTTCAAAACCAGTGTAGGAACCTGAATAATCTTTCCATTCAATTTCTTTCTACTTGCAAGAGAATGGAGAGACCTAAGGAAGAGAGGTCTTCCCAGTGGACACCCAATGAGGAGTCACTTCTTTCCTGTGTGTACTTGGACATATTGGGCAGTTGTCTCTGCTTAAACCCCATATGGGTTGGGAATTCATACAAATAAGGACAAAAAGCCCCAATGGCCTAAGCTCCCCATTGTCCAGGCAACCGTTTGGAATGGCGATTGTAATCACTGGAGATATACTGATTGGCTACAATCCTGGTTCTAAGAAGCAACGTCGGGAGGTAGCTCCTTTCTCAATGCTTTGGATGTGTAGAGAGGGTATTTAAACTACCCCAGGAAGTTGAGGAGGTCACTTTATTATATAGACTTGCATCCATTTTCCCTAAGTGAAAACATCCCTTCCCTGGATTCAGTTGTGGTTAATTAATCAAAGCCATTCCCAGTGTCTATGTTTGAGCTTTACCTACCAGAACTCTTTGTAATTCAGCCTCTATCTCTTTTTCTCTTCCTCTCTACCCCACCAATGCTGCAAACATTCTAGCACTTACTGCATCAGCTACGTATTCATGTTTTACATACAGAATCACTACTTTTCACCAAAGCCTGCAAGATATTTATATCATCATTCTATAATCCCTCCCCTAATGGTTGTATGTGAACTGTGTATTAGTGTTCTCCAGAGAAATAAAACTAATAGGATATATATATATATAAAAAATATAGACACATGTATATATATAGTGTGTATATATACACTATATGTAGTATCTAGTATATAGTATATATACATGTGTCTATATATACATGTATATAGTATAGTATATGTATATAGTATATATAGTATATATATAGTGTATATATATGTATATAGTATATATAGTATATATATAGTATATATATACATGTATATATAGACACATGTATATAGTATATATACATGTATATATAGACACATGTATATAGTATATACACATGTATATATAGACACATGTATATAGTATATACACATGTATATATAGACACATGTATATAGTATATACACATGTATATATAGACACACGTATATAGTATATACACATGTATATATAGACACATGTATATAGTGTATATATATACATGTATATATAGACACACGTATATATACATGTATAGACACATATGTGTATATATACACTATATATATACTACATATACACATGTATATATATGTACCATACACACACACACACACACACACACATATATGAGAGAGAGAGAGATTATAGAAATCGGCTCACATAGAGGTTGAAAAGTGCCACGTTCTGTTGGAGAACCAGAAAAGCAGGAAAGCCAGTGGTATAAATCAGTCTGAGTCTGAAGGCCCAAGAATCAGGAGCATTAAGGTTCCAGGTCTGGAGAAGGCGATGTCTCAGCTCAAACAGAAGCACATTTTCCCTTCCTCTGTCTTTGTGTTCCACTCAGGCCCTCGATGGACTGGATGATGCCCACGCACACTGTGAGGGTGATCTGAATTCAGCCTGTCAGTTTCAGCGCTCATCTCTTCCAGAAACACCTTCCCAGACACACCCAGAAATAATGTGTCACCAGCTATCTGGCATCTTTTAGCTTCGTTGAATTGACACATAAAATTAATCATCACAAACAGCGCACAGAAAAGCACAGAGGACAATGGACAAATGCATATGTGCCCATCATCTAAATGTAATGTGTTACATTCTGTCACTTTTACTTTAGACATTATTAAAGAATGGATAAAAATCTTACAGATACACTTTAAGTCTCTTTTGACTCCTTCTGCCCAATCCCATATAAGCAGCCACTATTGATGTGTATCTTTCAAGTCCATATTTTAAAATTCTTTCTGGGAGAACAATGAAGTGATTGAGTAACTTGCCCAAGGCTACCCAGCTACACAAAGATACTGGGCCTGGAATTCCAGCTCCCTCCTGGGATTCGAAGCCATAGGGACCCACGGGCACATGCAGGAGCTTGACAAAGGGGTAGCAATGGAAAAGGTGCATGTCATCACTGAAAAAGAGAGTGCCTGGAAGAGGGGCAGGTAGGGAGAGATATGGTTCTTTTTAATTCAGCATTCTGGCAGAGAAGTGGTGGGATGGTACTTTAGATGGCATCCACATTTTCACTGCATGGCCAGCTCTATTGACACTACCTCCTTTTTCCCATCTCCAAACTTTCAAAATATAATGAGAGTATCTGTAAACCTAGGAAAGGTAACAAGAAGCTGTCCTTAGATCTGCCCCTTTCCCTCTTTTGATCCATCATCTTGTACTTCTAGGCTTAAATGGCTTTGCCATGTCCTGCAGTGGATATTCTTCTAGATCCCTGGTAATTTAAAGTACTATTATTCTAAAGTTTCAAGAGCCAACCATTTTGGGTCTCCTTTGTATATCTGTCAAATGATGATAATTATAGGTCCTCTGAGTATCTCTTAGGGTCATTTGAAGGAGAAAATGAGTCCAAAGTCATTTATCTTGGCCGGGCATGGAAGCTCATGCTGGTCATCTCCCAGCTACTCGGGAGGCTGAAGCAGGAGCATCGCTTGAGCCCAGTAGTTCAAGATCAGCCCGGCAACCTGGAAAAACCCTGTCTCTACAAAAAATACAAAAATTAGCCAGGCATGGTGATGCATGTCTGTAGTCCCAGCTACTCAGGAGGCTGAGGTGGGAGGATCACTTGAGCCCGGGAGGTGGAGGATGCAGTGGGCTGAGACTGCACCACCGCATTCCAGCCTGGGTGACAGAGAGAGGCTCTGTCTCAAAAAAAAAAAAAAGTCATTTATCTAATAAATATTTACTAATTATCTACAATGTGCACAGGCTTGTGCTACTAGGGATATAAATGTGAACAAAACAAATTGCTGTCATCACAATTTATCATCTAATTAAGAAGAAAAAAAGAAAAACACTAAAATGTATTTTTCTAAAAGGGGAATATAAGGGACTATGCAAGCATCAAGGAGGGGCACCTCATATGGACATAAGAGATAAATGATAACACAGGCTTCCAAACGGGGCTCTGAGTGACGGGTCTGGTTGGCCAGCAGAAGACGGGATGATTATGCGCTTTGTTCCGCATATGGAAGACAATGTGGTTTTTAAGATAGGCTGGTCCTGCGGTTCAGGCACCCATCAGTCCACATCACCACAGCATGACTGTTTTCCCTTGAGTTTTTTCAGGAATCCCTTATGTGATCTTCAGCTCCCCTCCTTGCTGTCCTTAGTCCTGATACTCTTTACCGCAGGTTTCCTCACCCATTGGTCTCCAGCACCTCACAGTGACTGCTGAGAGTGGAGGCATACTGAAAACTGATGGAATAAAGGAACTAATGAAGAGTGCCAAATGCATTGGCAGCCCCGTCCCCTCATGCCCAAGGGATTCCTCAAATACCCCTATGGAGGTGGAATCCAGATTCATTGCTCTTCTGACAGTTGTCCTAATGCCTGCCTTGCAGAGTCAGTCTGAAGGAGCTGGCAAATAGCTTTCTCAGCCTCCCCTTCCATTTCGAATGTAAAAAGTAGGAGGGATGAAAAAATGGAAGGGGAATAATCTCCAGAAAGGGCTTCCTTTTATTCCTTTTGGAATCCACTTTTCTGTACCACTCCCTGAGCCAAGTTCTCCACTCCACAAAATGAACTTCTCCCTCATGTGTAGGGCATGGCTCAGACTTTCAAACGGTGTAGTCCCTGCCAGTGGAGAGGACCCCTGGAGGTATCTCAGAAGAAGCGTGAGTCTCCGAAGGAGCCTCAGATGCCATAGCTTGGCGTAAGCAGCCTTCTCATGGATGGGAGCTCTTTGTCTACTGACTGTGAACTCCAGGGTGGAAAAGATACAGATTCCCAGGCCTGTCAGTGTTGCTCCTGAGAAAAGCTGCATCTTTACAACGAGCTTTTCATTGACACCAGGAGAGGGAGAGCTGTTACTGTGACCAAGAGAGTGGAGAAGAAATGCCAGTCAAAATGAAGCTCTCATGAGGACCCCAGGAAGCCCTCTCTGTAGCCCGGGCTTCTGCTTCTGGCCAAAGTGCAGTAACAGGGACCAGTTTTGCCCTCCTACCTGAAACAATAAAAAAACACACAGAATATCTACAGCAATCATCTTCGAGGCCCTGAACATCAGGTGATGAGACAGAGGTCCGCGAGAGCTGGAAAACAAAGTAAACCCACAGTTGTGACAACTCATTGCCTTAAGAGTTTACACAGGGGAAGGGGAAACAGGTGGGAACTGAAAGACTCTCTGAGTTGAAGAGATGAAGTTGAGAGTCTGGGGGAGATCAAAGCAGCTGGAGTTTCCAGAATGGAGTGCTAGAGAGGAGAGAGTTAGCTACACAGAGAGAGAGCTTCAGAGATCTACAAAGAACTCCTCCCAAGTACTCAGTTGAGTACAGATCAGACCATGCACGTAAGGGAACTACCCAAGGCAGGGGAGAGGGTTAGTAGTAGCAGCACACAGGGCCAAGAAGAGTGCTTGCTCCTAGCCACCACGCAGGAAAGCCGTGTAATGCACCGGATATTGGGTAGAGTACACCGAAAGATTTTCAGTAAGGAGGGATTAGTCCTAAGTTCTGCCTAACACATTTCAGAGGCAAAACCCAAATGGATGAAATTATTTTCTTGTAATTCAAATGTATCCCAGGACAAAGGTCAATAATACTTATAGAAAAATAGAAATATCTTGTGCACAACAAGATACAATTCCCCATGCCTGGCATTTAGTTTAAAAAGTATCAGGCATGTAAAGAAGCAAGGACTGGGTGTGGTGTCTCACACTTATAATTCCAGCATTTTGAGAGGCTGAGGTGGGAGGACTGCTTGAGGCCAGGAGTGTGAGACCAACCTGGGCAACATAGCAAGAACCCATCTCTACAACAATAATAATAATAAAAAGCTGTGTGTGTCATGGCACATGCCTGTAGCCTCAGCTACTTGGGAGGCTGAAGCAGGAAGGTAACTTGAACACAGGAGTTTGAGGCTGTTGTGAGCCATGATCACACTATTGCACTCCAGTCAGAATGACAAAGCAAGAACTTATCTCTAAAATAAAATAAATACATAAATAAAAATAAAGAAGCAGTAAAATATGATTCATATTGAAAAAATCAGTCAATTAAAAAAAGCAAGAATTGACACAAATTATGTATAGATATTAGAATTAGTAACCAAGGATACTAAAACAGTTATTATAACTGTATTCCATACGTTCAAATAGTTAAGCAGAGACATGAAAAATGAGCAAACAATCATCTAAGCCATACTTCCAGAAATAAAAAGCTACAATGTGTGAGATAAAGAAAATACTAGATAAGAATAATGACAGATTAGACAATGAAGAAGAAAATACTGAACTCAAATACACAACAATAAAAACTACTGAAAATGAAGCATAGAAGAAAATATATGATAAAAGAAAATGTGTGGAACATTAATGATCTGTGAGATAACTTCAAGAGGCCAAATATACATGTAAATTGAGTTGCTATAGGAAAGGAGAAAGGAACATAAAAAATGTTTTTAGAAATATTGGCCAAACATTTTTTTCATTTACATTAGCACCAAAATATTGAAATACTTAGATATAAATCTAACATAATATGCACAAGATCTATTTGAGAAAAACTACAAATTCTGATAAAAGAAATCAAAGACCTAAATAAATTGATATTTCGTGTTCATAGATAGAAAGACAATATTATTAAAACATTACTATGATGACTTAAGACTCTAAATTCTTTAATGGAAACACAAAGACCCCCAAATAACCAATACAATATTAAAGAAGAACAAAGTAAGAGAACTGGTACTATCCAAATTCAAGACATACAAAGCTACAGTGATCCAGACAGTGTGTTATTAGCGAAGGAACAGACAAACGGATCAATGTAACAGCACAGGGGGCTTGGAAATAGATCCACACAAACATAGTCAACTAAATTTTGACAAAGGAGCTAAAGAAATTTAATTAAGAACAGATAGGCTTTTCAACAAATAGTGCTGGAATAATTCAATATCCACATGCAAAAAAAAAATGAATCTAGACATAGACCACTGTAGGCTGAATATTAATGTCACTCCCTCACTGCCTCTGCCAAAATATCTATGTTGAAACCTAATTCCCAGTGTGATGATATTTGGAGGTGGGAATTTGGGGTGGGGAATAGGTCATGAGAGCAAAGGCCTCATGAACGGGATTAGTGTCCTTACACAAGGGACCCTAGAGAGGGCTTTTGTACCTCCCACCATGCAAGGACAGAGCAAAAGATGGCTGTCTGTGAACCAGGAAGCAGGCTTTCAGCAGACACTAAATGTGTGTTTTGATCTTGGACTTCCCATACTCCAGAACTGTAGGAAATAAATGTCTATTTCCTACAGTTGTTTATAATCTACCCAGACTATAGTATGTTTTTACAGCAGCCAAAATGATGTAAGTCACAGACCTTACGTCTTTCCCCAAAATTAAATCAAAATGGACCATAAATTTAAATGTAAAAAGCAAAACAGCACAACTTCTAGAGTATAACATAGGAGAAAATTATTTTAAAAAGTTCAACATCATATGTCATCAGAGAATGACAAGTTAAAACAACTATGATCTCCCACTACAGACCATTAAAATTTACTACAATTAAAAATAGTGACAACCCCAAATGTTGACAAGGATGTGAAGCAACAGGAACTCTCAATCATTGCTGGTGGAAATGTAAAATGATGCAGACAATTTTGAAGACAGTGTGCAGTTTCTTACAAAGTTAAACATAGGCTTACTCTATGATATAGCAATAACACCCTTAGGTATTTACCTAAATGAGTTAAATACTTATGTCCACATAAAAACCTGCCCATGAATGTTTGCATATATTTAAGACCTAAAATTTCAAGTGCTGTCTTAACATGTTTGAACCTCACAGAGCCCAGATGTCTAATTGTATGTTCTTTTTGTCTTTATATGGACAACTGGTTTTTGACAAATGTGTTAAAGCAATTCAGTGGAGAAAAAATAGTCCTTTAAACAAATGGTGCTGGAAAAATTGCATATCCATATGCAAAATAATGGACTTCAATCCATATTTTATACCATATACAAAAATTAACTTAAAATGGATTATGGACCTATATGTAAAATATAACGCTGTAAAACTTTTAGAAACTTTCATAAAACAACAAAGTGACAGTTGGACTTCATCAAAATTAAAAATTTTTTTGAAAGACATTGTATAGAAAACTAAAAGACAAATACCACTGAAAGTGTTTTCAAATCATACAGCTAATAAAGAACTTGTAGACAGAATACACAGAAACTCTCATAATTTAACGCTAAGAAATACCAGCCCAATTAAAACATTGGCAGATGATTTGAAAAACACTTCACCAAAGAAGATACACCACTGGATAATAAGCCCATGAACAGATGCCTGACATCGTGAGTTATCAGGGAAATGCAAATTAAGACTGCAATGACAAGCCACTACAACACTATTCAAACAGCTACAATTAAAAAGACTGATTATACCTGGTGCTGGTGAGGATATGGAGGACTCTGTCCTCTCATACACTGCTGGTCAGAATGTAAAATGATACAACTACTTTGGAAAATAGTGTGACAGTTTCTTGAAGAGTGAAGCACACCTATTATATGAGCCAGCCATTCCTCTTTTAGGCATGTACCCAAGATAAATGAAGGTATACGCTAATATTCATATCAACTTTATGATAGCTGCAAATTGGTAGCATCCCAAATGTTGACCAACAGCTGAATGGCCAACCAAACTGTGGTGCACCGATACAATGGAATACTAATCAGCAATGAAAAGAAAGGACATATTGATACACACATTTGGCTGAATCTCAAAATACTTACGTTGAGTGAAAAGGAGCCAGAAAAAACAAGAGTACATTCTCTATAATTCTATTTACACAAAAAATAGAAAATGCAACTCATCCACTGTGATAGAAGCGATCAGTATTTTCCTGGGATCACAAAGGGAAGCAAAAAAAAAAAAAAACTTGGGGGACAAAGTCCACAAAGATACTCAGGGCCCAAAGATATGGAGATGGGTGGTCGGTAGACTGGCCAGTGGCGTTAGGGCTGGCATGAAGTCCTGAACTTTTCAGGAAGCTCTGTGAGGGCTTAGAACCAACGTCAGAGAAACCAGAAAGCTTATTTCAGGTTGTTTGGTGTCTAATAACTCAGAAATTAAAATTCTGCCTGCAAAGTAGGTCCCACACAGCCTGAAAATTCTCTGCTTTGTTAGGACTCAGAAGGCATGGCCTCCAAATGTTGCCTAATGATAATCAGGGCTGAAGTGGAATCAGATGCAACAGTTCCTGAGATCTGACATCATCCTTAGGTGGCCTCAGGCCCCTGGGTGGCAGGGCGGCTGGAGTCTGGTTCGGAAGCAGTGTCCTGATTGTGCAATCAGAGATAATTGGTTTCTAACTCTGATCCCATTTATTCTTCCCATCTCCAGCCAGGAAAAGCTGCCTTGGCTCCTTTGTTTTTAGCCTCCACATTTTCTTACTGTCAGCTGCTAAACATTTTCGTTTCTTCCATCTTCTGGCATCTTCTCTTGCCTACCTCATGCAGCCCTTCCCTCACCTTCGGGCTGCTCATCATTTACTCTCCTCTCCTTGCCCCCTGGGCAACACAGGCAGCCCGTTCTCCCCATCCCCTTTCCAGAAGAACCCCTGATCACCCTCGGAAAACGTGTCCCTTATGCCATCCCCCAGGAAGTGTAGTAGCTCCCCTCTCTTTCCCTTGAGCAGCAACTACAGAATCCACCCTCCCTTTGATTAATAACATCCCCTGCTGCCATGCTGTTTCTTTAAAAACCAACCATCCCTGTGTCTCTTACACCAGACTGCCAGCTTCCTGGGGTTTGCCTTGCCAGCCCCTTTCCCATCCACGAGTTGCCTGTGCTCAGTGAAAATGTCACTAGGCTTTTTGCATAAGCCCAAGTAAAGCAGAACTCATTCATTCGGGGGGGAAAAAGCCTAGGTTGCAATGACTTTACACATCAATAAGACATATGTATAAAGCTGTTCAAGTTGTTAATGATTCAACATGAAACATCCAATATCACACGGGACAAAGCACCTTACTAACCATTAATGAATACGCATACACAGAATATGAGATCGCTCCTGAACTCCTTTCAGCTGCCTTTGATAATACAGGCTCCTGTATCATCCCTGCCACATAATGAAAACCTCAGCCTGAATTGTATCAATGCAAATCACAGGAGCTGCCTGCAAGCTTGTGTATTATAACTTACCTGTGGGGCCAATAAAAAGATATCCCATTATCAGCCTTGTCCACTTAACTATTAATAAGACATTCCCAGGCCTTCCATCCCATGCCCCTTTCCTGCTCACATGACCAGCACCACAAAACCTGCTTCACTTCCCCACTTGCAGACTTAACTAGGGAAAGGTGCTCCGAGTGATTTGAGCATCTACAAAATGAAATCCACATAGAATAATAGAAGGGAGTTCTTCAGTGGTGCAAGGTCTTTCCTCCCAAACACTGGAAGTCCCAGGGACTGAGGCACCTCTGTCCTGAGCCACAGTCCTTCCATTTCTTCGGAAAGGCCTTCCTCAGAGTCTTAGGTGGGTGAGTGAGCTGCATATGGCCCCTGTGCTCTTGTTTCCAGGGCAGTGGAGGCAGGAGAGAAAGGGGAACTGGGCAGTCACCCCTTGGGGGATGACTCTTGGCCCTCTCTTCCTGCTGCGTCGCCTCGGCCATGGGCTCTCCTCCTGAAATATCCTCGACTTGCTCCAGGTCTTGTCCGCTGTCTTCCTTGCTCCAAGGGAACTCTTGCGTGAACCCTGCAAAGGAGCCCAGCCCACATCAAGCGAGATGAGCCACCATCCTGCTACGACCACCAGGTGGTGCTGTTCTCCCTGCACCCAAAGTCATTCATGCCAGGAGGGCGCAGAGAGCTCCCTGCACCCCAGCTACAAGGCAGCAGGAAACACCAGTAAGGTTCCTTGGCTCAGAGCTGTTGTGCATAATTACAGCCACTTTCTTTTACTTGTATTTTCTGGAGTATTTTTTCCATTCCCAGACTCTCCTCCTCTTCATTTCCTGGATATTGTTCTAGTGCACATTTTACACACACTGATTCCCTTTCTTTCTTGAAAACAGCCTCATATTCATTTTAGAATCAAGAGCACTGAATTGTACAATCACTAAAAGGAAATTTCTGGAAAAACTGCTCTGAAAGGCATTTTTCTCCCTGGTTAGCATATCTTGCTTTGGCTGGCACTCCAGTTTGGTTAATTAACAACGCATGGGCCTCTCATTTGATGGTATATTATCTCTTGTGATCTTCACAACAATATTCATAACAATAAATAACAGCTGAAGCGTTAGTGATCCCTGCCTGTTACTGAGGAATTTAAGACGGCACACTAGCCTTATGATTAGCATGTGATTGGCTAGTTAACTGTTGAGGTTCTACCAGAATCACACCCTTTGACTCCTGTTTCTGTCCTGTTTCTCCTTCAACAGCTTTGCCTCTTTCCTGTGCAAGAGGTGGGTGTGTTGATTCCTATTCTTTGCCCTCCATAGGTTTTTTTTTTTTTTTTTTTAACTGTTGGGACAGACTGGGTTTTGTTTTTGAGATAGGAGGGTTTCCTCTCTTAGGAAATGCTCTGCTAAACCTGTCCCTACCCAGTTGAATTTTCTGTGTGGGCGACCAACAATCTCCCATAGATATTTATAGTACTTTTAAAAGTCCTTTTCATTGTAATATTCTGTGTAATCTCCATAACAATTTAGAGTAGGGCAGAAGACTCCCAAAATACAGATGCGAAGACTGAGGCTCTATGGAGTTAACATTCCCACTAGAATGCGTTGGAGTGTCTATGTGCAGGATCCTCAAAGTAGCGTCCTTTTTCCACTCTGCTACCTCTCTCTACCTCAGTTGTCTCCGCAAATAGCGGAACCAAAAGTAGGCTTCTTTATTTTATTTAGGAAAGGACATGAAGGATAAGTTATCTTGGAACCACAAGAGAAACAAGAGGTAAGCAGAATGTAATTACCCAAGTTGGAAAGTTGCCATATGTAACAGCGGCAGAACTCCACTGTGGGACAAAAAAGCAATATTGACCAAGAAATACCATATTACCCTTCACAGACTCATTCTGATAGTTCGTTCTTCACCCATATTTATTCAAAAGACCTAAGAATCTAGCTATTTACTATGAGAAACTCATTACTGGCATTTGCAGATGCTCAGGGATGTAGTGTTTGAGACTGAGAGTAGGAGACACCTAAGAAAAATTAATAATGCATACAGTAAAACCCATTTAGGTTTCTATTTGTGAAGAAGGGCTCTTATGAGTCAAGATAGAGGAGTAAGAGTTTGGAATGATATGCATGAAGAGAAATACAGCAATGGAAGAGTGGGAATAAAGCTTTTGACTGTGGTGTCTATGCCTCTGCTGCCAAACTCAAACCCACCCTCAAACAAAGCAGAAGGAGCTTTTAGTGCAGAGCCCCAACTTTTTTCCCCACTTTCTAGAAGATGGAGTTTGCAAGCACTGCAGAGACAGACTGGGATCAAGGCTCCAGAAAGCAGCTTCCAGATCAATACTGAAGCCTTTGTAGCACACCAGGAGCAGAAAGTGTCTTGGAAGCATCTAACACTAAAAATAGAGCTGCTTCCTAATGGGCTGGGTTGGCTTACAAGAGGCAGAGGTGGGAGGAAGGGCATTCCAGGAAGAGGCGCTCCTGGAATCAGGCATTCAGGCTGGAAAGACTGAGAGAATAGGGAAAAGGAGAAAGGGTGGGGAATAGAGAGAGGGAAAGAGAGAGAGAATACGGGAGTGAGCAGGTGGAGCAAGAAATGCTACATTGGAAGTAAGATTGGAAATTTAGGATGTGGCTCGATTTCGAAGAACCTAAAATGTTGGGCTTTGTTAGTTAAGGAAATACCACTGCAGTTTCTATGTGCACGTGTGTGTGTGTGTGTGTGTGTGTGTGTGTGTGTGTGTGTGTGTGTGTTGGGGAAGGGGTTTTAATGTGTTTCATGGGGGTATTTTAGGGAATATTATTTTTCTATAGAAAGGAATGGTCATCAGAAGTCTACCTTAAAAAATAAATTATTTTGAAAAAATGGTTATGACGGATGCCCTCAAAAGAATTTGCATATTTGCAGGAAGAAAAAGGCCAAAAGGACCATTAACGTGAAGGATGGTTTTCTCATCGCTGGTTTAGCTCCTATTTAACAACAGGAAGCTCTGGGTACTTGTGGAAAGGTTCTGGGAAGTGGGGGGCATTTTTACAGAGCATTTGGCTGAGCCTCTCTTGAAAAACTCTTCTAAGTGTGTGTTTTTATTAATGATTTCAAGTGAACAACTATTCTGCCTTACTCCTGCATTCACTCTTTTGGAAGGCTGGTGAATGATCTTTGGAGATTTGTGTGTAAATCCTGTTCTTATATTTGCTTATTTATATTTTAACTCTACTTAAAATGGAGATTTTTACTTTTCTGCGGTTTTACTTAGGCACAGAGAGAAACAATGTGGATACAACACTTTTCTTCTAAAGATGTTGATATTACTTGCCATGTGTCTGTTTGCTTGTTTTAAATAGAGGACTGACTCATAGCACAGAAGGAATGTCAAGGAGTTCCAGATATCTCTCATGCATTAGGTACTTCAGTAAGAGTCAATATCATGCTGGCCATATTGCTTCTGATATCTTTAGGATCCATAAAATTGAGTTTGGTGTATCATCATGTTATTCTGCTCCTATAAACCCACTTTGAATATCAAGGTCGCCTGAGACAGGCCAAGGTCCTGATCAAGAGGGAGGCTCAATTCAAGTTAACATTTTATGTCCTTCCTGGGAAAAAGAACCTAAAGGTTGTCATTGTTTCATATTCCTCCCCTTTCCATTTAGGGAGAAGTTTCACACTTTAGCAGCAAATTGCACTTCCTAGCAACATCAGGAGCTCTTAAGCATGTCAGGAAAAATCGACATCCAGTGAAAGTGTGAACAGTCTAGAGAGGTTTGCAAACAGCAAATTACATGCACCAAGAAGCTAAAATACAGGTTCCTTTTTCAAGAGTTCTTTTAGGAAGGTAGCTGCTATGGTTTGAATGTGCTTTACCCCCATCAACACTCAGGTTAAAATTTGATTCCCAATGTGGCAGTGTTGGAAAGTGGGGCCCGGTGGGAGGTGTTTGGGTCCTGGGGGTGGATTCCTCATGAATAGATTAATGCTTTCTTGAAAGCGAGTTCTCACTCTCATGGGACTGAATTAGTTCCAGAAAGAGTGGGTGGTTCCTCCCCATGTTTGGTCTCTTTGCACACACCCACTCACTACTCTGCTTCTCTGCCATGTCTTGACGCAGTGTATGACCTTCACCAGAAGCCAAACAGATGCCAGTGCCATATTCTTGGACTTTCCAGCCGCCAGAATTGTGGGCTAAACGTCTTTTGCTTTTAAATTTCCCAGCCTCAGCTAATCTGTTACAGCAACACTAAACGGATTAAGACAAGGGGTACCTCTGTTCAATCAAGGTAACCATATGGGGAAAGGAGCATACGTAGAAACCTATTGCCCTCCTCCTCCATATATAGATCTCCTCTATGGTGGCTAGACAGCCAGTATCTACCTCTGATTTGGAGCAAATTTCCTAACCTCTCAAAATCAAGTTTCTTCACCTGAAAATAGGACAATCTGCTTAATTTCCTGTTTGTAAATCCATGGTAATGAACATGCCTTCCATAGCCATTCCCATTATCCTCTTGGACTACCAAATCCCATTTATGCCTAAAAGGAAGGCCCTCCTCCCACAGATGAAGGGAACATCTCCCACCCCACTCCTGGTAGATGCTGTAGATTTTACTGGTTCCAAAGCTGCGTCTTAGAGCGAACCCTCTCTAAGACCCTCAGATGGTCTCACTCAGGTCTTCTCCAAGAGTAGGCATTCATAGAGATGCCTACATAATGAACCTGCCTTTACTGAGCTCCTAAGCATTGCCCGGAATGCTTGAATGATCAGCAAGTCTATTCTCCATTCATAAACCTAGAAAGAGGGTCTTTCATTGACATGAACCTCCTACCCAGCTGAATGAACAGACTTAGAATACTAAAATACTAAGTACAAGTTAAGTTTCCCAAATTAGAACAGAGTGTATTTCAAAGTATTTGTTGACTATATGGAGCTTAGCATACATTTTTCCAGATATGCCATAAATGATTGTCAGGGTGCCTCCACGAGCCCACAAAAGTAATCTAACACGTAATGTGACTGAAATGCACTTATTATGGTGCTGCTACACTAATAATTAAGCAAAATGTGAGAACAATTGAACTATATAAATCAGCCTCCCTTCTATGAGTTCACTGAGGGTAGAAACTACATTAAATACCTCTTTGCACAGCAAAACAATAATCGTTGCTAGCACTTTTACAGGGCTTACTGTGCACCAGAAACCATTCTAAGTGTTTACATATCTTAATTAATGTAATCCTCACATTAACCTTCCTGTAAGCTCTATTACTATCCCCACTTTACAGGTGAAAAAACCGAGACTCAGAGAGGTTGCCCAGTGCTAAATAGTTAATAAGTGGTGAAACTGGAATTTGAATCCAATCTGCCTGCCTTCAGATCATCTGCTGTTCCAGAGAAAGCACTAAGGATACATTTATTGAATATTTAGATCTAAATAAATTGCTTTGTTTTTATTGGGGTTCTGACACTTAGAAATGGGAAGGAGTAATTAGAAGAAATGAGGCAGATTGGACTGATATTCTTTAGTGGGAGTGGCTGATGATTTAGGAGCTATGGGAACAGGGAATATCACCTTTGTTGGGCCATGTCTAATTTTACATATGAATGCGGGGCTTGAGTTTTTCTCCAGTAGGCATATGACTCCAGCACTTCCCATTCGGATCAGTCATGATTAGACTTTTATATTTTCCCCTCACAAATGGAAATAAAAGAGAACAAATGTAATTTTCCTGAGGTGACTAGGGAGTCTTAACGAGAAGAGGAAAAGCAGGAAAAAATAGAGTTGAGGCCAGGCGCGGTGGCTCACTCCTGTAATCCTAGCACTTTGGGAGGCCAAGATGGGCGAATCACCTGAGGTCAGGAGTTCGAGACCAGCCTGGTCTATATGGTGAAACCCCATCTCAACTAAAAATACAAAAATTTGCTAGGCGTAGTGGCGCACACCTGTAGTCCCAGCTACTGGGGAGGCTGAAGCAGGAGAATCACTTGAACCCGGGAGGCAGAGGTTGCAGTGAGCCGAGATCGCACCACTGCACTACAGCCTGGGCGACAGAGTGAGACTCCGTCTCAATAATAATAATAATAATAATAATAATAATAATAATACTGATAGGCTGGACGCGGTGGCTTACGCCTGTAATCCCAGCACTTTGGGAGGCTGAGGCGGGCAGATCACCTGAGGTCAGGAGTTCAAGACCAGCCTAGCCAATGTGGTGAAATGCCATCTCTACTAAAAAAAATACAAAAATTAGCAGGGTGTGGCAGCGGGCACCTGTAATCCCAGCTACTTGGGAGGCTGAGGCAGAAGAATCGCTTGAATCTGGGAGGCAGAGGTTGCAGTGAGCCGAGATTGCACCACTGCACTCCAGCCTGGGTGACAAGAGACTCTGTCTCAAAATAATAATAATAATAATAAGAAGAAGAAGAAGAAGAAGAAGAAGAAGAAGAAGAAGAAGAAGAAAGAAGAAAAAAGAAAGAAGAAAGAAGAAAGAGAAGAAGAGGAAGAGGAAGAGGAGGAAGAGGAGGAAGAGGAAGAGGAAGAAAAGAAGAAAAGAAGAAAGAAGAAAGATGGAAGACGGAAGAAGAAGACGGAAGACGAAGACGGAAGACGACGACGACGACGACGACGAGGAAGAAGAAGACGACGAAGAAGAAGAAGAAGAAGACGACGAAGAAGAAGAAGAAGAAGACGACGACGAAGAAGAAGACGACGACGAAGAAGACGACGACGACGACGAAGAAGACGACGACGACGAAGAAGACGACGACGACGACGAAGACGACGACGACGAAGAAGAAGAAGACGACGACGACGAAGAAGAAGAAGACGACGAAGAAGAAGAAGAAGAAGAAGAAGAAGAAGAAGAAGAAGAAGAAGAAGACGACGACGACGACGACGACGACGACGACGACGACGACGACGACGACGACGAAGAAGAAGAAGAAGAAGAAGAAGAAGAAGAAGAAGAAGAAGAAGGAGAAGAAGAAGCAGCTGAATGCCAAAGTGTGTGGACTTGAGATTGCCTCCTGGAGTGAAATGACCACTGCTGCAGCAGGTGAAGGAGAGGAACAAGGCAGCATGGTGCAGGCACGTGGTCTCCATTCCAAGCCGGGCTCTCGCATGAGGCCTCACCCATTTCTCCACTGACATCCTTACTCTTGTTTCCAGATCCAGCCCTCCTGGAGTTCACACATTGTTTTTTCTCTCTCTTTGGCTTGCTCTCCCTCTCCCTTTGGTTTGTATCAACTGTGCATACAGAACTGGTTTCAACAAGTCTTCAAATTTTGCTCCACAAAATAGTCTTCATCTTTTTTGGGTTCCTCAAGTCCTCTCCTGACCAGGGCAGCCCTAGCCTTTTCCCACTCTTCTCAACCCTTATCTCTATCTGTCTTCAGCCTGTCTCTCTCTCTCCTTCATTACCTACAGATGACGGCAGTTCATAACTGTCGCTTTCACACAGATGCTTCCCATATCTTTATTGAATCTCACCTTTCTCCTGCCTCCTGGGACCTTCACCTGGCTGCTCCCAGCAAGAATCCCTGCTTTCTCTCCAGGGACAGCATAAGTTATTGCACTGAGCTGTCAACATAGCTTCAACCAGCATATCTGAAGCTAAAATTACCTTTCCCTTCCCACTCAAATGTTTCCCCCTAATTTCCTTAACAATACTATTTAACCATCCAGGATAATAATGAGGATTAATATTTCCACCTTCACTATCCCCTAATTTCAATCTATCAACAAATCTGATCCATTCTTCCTTCTCACGCTCTGTCTCATCCATCTTTCCTTTCATTCTCATTACCTCCACCCTGACTTTCAAGCTGTCCTCATTACTATGCCAAGTTCCTTGGCTTTTAGGGCATGAGTTTGCTGGGTTAGAGCCCAAGCTCTGACTTTTAAGAGCTCTATTAAATAATAATAGCACATACATCACAGAGTAGTTGATATGATTAGTTGGTTGTGTGTTAATTCTCAATAAGTAGTACTTATTAATATTATTTACTTTCCTCTATTCTCACCTCTATTTCAATCCACCATGTCTTCTACCAGCAGAACACTTTTTAAAATGTATTGTTCTGACAATATGCTTCACTGATCCAAAACCAAAAAAGGGTCGCAACTCATTAATAAATAAATTCAAAAGTCTGTAGCTTGGCACTCAATGTTCTTCTCAACATGTTCCCCAGTGGCCTGACTGTCTTTATCCCACTCTGGTCAGAATGATTGTTCTATTGCTCCCAAGACCTATGTCCATGTCACTCTTGCTGTTTGAAAGTCTTCCCAGCTTCACACTGGAGCCTAAACTCTGCTCAAGACATTGCACTGATATCCCTGGTTATAATTTCTTTAACTTCCCCTGATCTATTTTGCACTTTTATCAGAATTGCTTACTCAATACAAACTACAAATACTAACTACTGTCTATTATTTTAATCCCTAGACTATCAGGCCAATGAGGACTGGGCTTTCATTTTACTCACATGGGTAGTCCTGGCAGTACATAGCACACAGTAGGTTCTCATGCTTTTTGCTGAATAAAAGTGCATGAGCTGCCTATTTCCACTGACACACTGAATGGTTGATAAATAAGAGGTGTGAAGGAACGTGCAAAAGAGAAAGTAGGGTGAGCATGGCATAGAGATGGCTGTTGTATGATGGGAATTCTGATGACTTCAGGCCAAAGTCCAAACGCTTTTTCCCCAAGTGCAAGGACTATGAGAAGGCACTTGGAGGTCTCTGCCCATACAACACAGTCTGGGCAAAGAACTCCAAGTGCCTTCTCATATTCCTGTGCCATGCATCTTTCAATGTGATTGTAATTGTGCAACCCAGGCATGGGCCATGCTGCTGGCTCTTGTCCTTAGATGTGGTTGGATACCTGCAGTCCAACCTCTCCAGAGACCACGTTCCTCACAAACAGCCCCAGTGTGTACTGAATATCTACTCCATGTGAGGGGCCTTAGCAGATGAGTCAGACTCCAGAGTGTAGCTGGATGTTGGATGGATGTGAGGAGGAAGCAGTCTGGCCTCCTCTGTTTCCAAGATAGAATGTCAGTGACATATGAGCAATAGCCTACAGCGACTGAAGAGAGACTGGTTAGATCTCACTAGGTCTGTCTCTCCTTCTAAGGCACACAGAAACTACCTTCACAACTCCCTTCCATTTTGGTGGAACACTATCATTAGCTTTGCTGAGTGGAATGAGAGTGAGAGTAACGTGGCCATCCCAGGGTGAGGCCATGTCCTCTCCTCTCCCATTCTCTATGGGGTGGAATGACCAACATGACCTAGAAACATCAGGTCTGCAGGTGACAGATCCACAGCATGAAAGAAGTCTGGGTCCCAGAATGCATGCATGGAGCAGACTCCTTGCAGACCCACATAGTATTGTGACATGTGAGAAAGGAACAACAATTTTTGATTAAGCACTAAAATCTGTGGGTTGCTTACGAGAACACTTAGGATCTTTTAGAATAACTAATGCACTGTTCAAAGCCCTTCCCCATATCTCATCTCAGCTGGACCTCAGAGCAAACTGAGATAAAGGAGGCATGAATCGGATGATGCCATTTTCCTTGTCGGGTAAATGAGGAAAGGGATGTTTATTGGCCTGCCTTAACCTCTCAACTAGAAGCCAGGACTGCTGAGAAAGTGCCTACTTATCTTTCTAGGTTAATAAATACCATTGTTATTTTCTTCCACGGAAATACACATTCAATTGCTGTGATACTAGCTGCAATCGGCTTATAAACCACATTGCTCTTTCTAAGAGGCAGGAAGAGGTAAGAGAGATGGAAGGTGGAGGGCTCTTGAGATGCTACTCTGTGGAGATGGAGGAGGGCTCATATGGCCCTTGAGCTCATGCTGTTTTGTCTGGTTCTTGTTTCATGTCTGGATGTGAAGAGGTGCCACTTAGGGTCTGCCTGCCTCCTTGTGTCTCATCTTCTTCTCTCCTCTGAGAGAGGACGTTGAAGGGAGCTTCAAGAAGGGCATGTGAAGGAGGGACAACTCCCTTTTTCTTTCACGACGAATGCTTCAGTCACTAGAAAAACAGGGAAAAAACAGCAGCCCATCTCTGCTTCACTGCGCTCTCTTCCCAGGGCTGGTTCCCAGGGATTCCGTGAGGATTCAGCCCCATGCGACCATGGCACTCCCTGCCACCTGCCTGCACAGGCCCTGAGCAGAGCCTGGCTCCAGCCCAAAGGGAGACACACATCCATGCCATTAAGCAACCCCTTGCCCCTTTTGTTTAGAGGGTTGCCTTTTGACCCTCTTCAGCAATAATGTTTTATTTCTTCAGGCAGCTGGCGTATCCATTTCAAATTCCTCCCCATCCAGAAGTGATGGCAAGGAGGGATGGACTCGATTTGTGAGTTGTGAGAACCTATCAAGAGTGTCTTTCCTACAAGCCCAGGGAAGCCTTCAGCTGTGCTTTCGGCACATGGGAAGCATCTAGCACGCTGGCCAGCACACAGTCAAAGCTTCGTAAGCATTTGTCGAGTGCATAAGTGATTAGATGAGTTTGATTATGGTCTGACTTCCTATACTTGTATATCCATCCTTATCTTTATGTGTTTATATCCAGTCTTATCTCAAATGAATTGAAACAAGTGATCAAGTGTCTATATTCTAACAAAAGAAGCTATTTTTTACATGTGTTTTGGTAACAGGTAGCTAAGAGATATTTCCATCATGTTCTAGTAAAACAGCAGAAGCTATAGATCCAAATTCAAGCAATGAATCAAAAACAATACACAGACATCTGGGTGACAGACAAAGTGAAATTAGCACAGCCGAGCAGCGAATTAATTCAAGTTTCTGGAAAGCAGAAAGCAGCTACTTTGTGGGCATCTAGGCAAGAGGTAACCTGGGCTCTTAGCAACAACAGTGGCCAGATGGGAGCTGAGTCTTCAGGTGGCATGTGGGAATCAGCAGAAAACGGCAGCGAGTGAGACCAGGTGAGAATTCATTTAAACAAATATGCTTTGGACTTATCATGTATGCTTACCTGATTCTTTGGGGGATAAAGAGATAAAGTTGTCTACTATTAATTAATCTAGGGCTGACTACGATTAATGACAGTGCTATAACTGAGGCAGGGTGCTGTGGAAATGTTCTAGAAAGACATATTTTATCAAGGTGGAGGAGAGTGGCCATATCACAGGACATTTACGAGGAGATGAAATTTACTGAAGCTTTGCAAGTTAGATGCAATGTTGACTGGCAATTATAGAAAAGGGAGAAGGTAGAAAAGGCAATTGTAGCAAGACAGAACCTCTTAAAGGTAAACCAGAGAAAGGTAATTATTAAATTGGTCAGCAAGCAAATTAGGCATGGGGATAGGAGTAGCAGTTGAGAAAAAGTTGTGCTGGAAGGAAACCTGGAAAGTTTGATAAGGTCACAGTGTTGAGAACTTCAAATGTGAGGCTTAAATACTTGTGCTTTCTTCTGAATGCAATGAAGAGCCACCCACAGCTTGTGAACACAGGAGAGGCAGGACAAAAAGAAAGAAGCAAGGTAACCCTTACGGCAGTACATAAGGCACATTGGATAAGAAAGAGCGTGGAGGTAGGAAGACTGATTTGAAGGTGGGGACATGGCCATGAGGCCCTGAGCTGGTGCTGTGCCCTCAGCTGTGTGCCGGAGGGGTCAGCACTGGAAGGTATAACCAATGGGCAGGCTGTGGTTGCTGAGTGAATTCGCAGACAACAGAGAGGAAGGAGCAAACAAAAGATCTGGAAGTTGGAACCATGATGACAGGAAGTGGAGAGTGTCATTTAAAAAGTAAAGGGAGGAGAGAGAATGAATTTACACTGGCGAATACCTTACAAGGTATTAATGATGTTCATAGACATTTCTAACAATGGTAGCCCTGTGATAATGTCTTATTATTTCCATTTTTAAATGCTAGCATAGATCCATGATTGAAGCGAGGGACTAGAGTTCTAAGAGCTGAGATTTTTACTCTAGGCTTACTGTGCCTGTACTGTGTGCTGCCAGATAAATCACTCAGCCTTTGTGGGACTGTGGCTGCGTAAAAGAGAAATGGGGCTACTAATCCCACTAATGGTCTTCTTGATAAGGACACAGGGATGATGAGTGAGCTGATGCTTGGAGCTCTGGGAGGGAGAGGTCATGATCAATGAGAGTGTGGAGATGTTCCCTGCCATGCTCTATCTTCCATCTTTTCTTTTTTTTTTTTTTTTTTTGAGACAGAGTTTCTCTCTTGTCGCCCAGGCTGGAGTGCAATGGCACAATCTTGGCTCACTGCAACCTCTGCCTCCCGGGTTCAAGAGATTCTCCTGCCTCAGCCTCTCGAGTAGCTGGGATTACAGGCACCCGCCACCATGCCCAGCTAATTTTTGTACTTTTAGTAGAGGCGGAGTTTCACTATGTTGGCAGGGCTGATCTTGAACTCCTGACCTTGTGACTTGCCCGCCTCGGCCTCCCAAAGTGCTGGGATTACAGGCATGAGCCAACGTGCCTGGCCATGCTAGGCTAATTTTTCTCTATTTTTAGTAGAGATGAGGTTTCACCATGTTGGCCAGGCTGGGTCTTGAACTCCTGACCTCAGGTGATCTGCCTGCCTCAGCCTCCCAAAGTGCTGGGATTACAGGCATGAACCACCACGCCGGGACCTCTATCTCCTATCCTCATCTGTCTCTTGCATAAGTAGGGAACTCCCCCCAGCACAGGCCCAGTAACATGACAGGGCTAGAGCCCATGTTCACTGTGGACAAGGGGAAAAAACACACACAGTTGAGATTACACTTCTAAAAAGAGCTGTCCAATTTATCAGCTATTCCCCTCCTGACCTTTGCTGAGTACTGAGAAGCCGTGGTGCCTTCCCCTGCAAGCTTCCCCTCTGCAGGAGACTCCAATGAATGAAGCATGCTTAAATAAATGTCTCCAAGGCAGCCCCATCAAATATTAAAAGAACAGAACTCCTTCAGTCAGCAACAGGGCACGGCACCCAATCCCTGAGTGTCAGGGGCTGCCGCCTCCTCTGATCACTTCAACTTTAAATAGCTCTTCAGGGGGGTGTTCCTATCACTAAGGCTGATAGGCAGTGCCACTTTCTACACGCAGGCTTTGTCTGCAGCATCTCTCACCAACACAGAGGAACAAGAAAACCTGCTGACCACTCAGAAGGGGAGAGGCAGGTAAAAGAAGACGAGGGAGGCAGTAGGTCATGGGAGATTTGAGGAGTTATCACTTTTGATAGTCTGGAGGCCAAAGTTGAGAAAGGAGAAAGCTAG
The DNA here is from genome assembly GCF_000001405.40 of Homo sapiens. Classification (NCBI taxonomy): domain Eukaryota; kingdom Metazoa; phylum Chordata; class Mammalia; order Primates; family Hominidae; genus Homo; species Homo sapiens. The sequence goes on from NC_000011.10 coordinate 133,147,382, forward strand.
GCCCAGCGTGCAGATCTGGCATCTGGGAGGTGCATCTTGAGCAGACAGGACACGGAGAAAGCCCTACCCGCTTCAAAACAGGAAGACTCTACCCTCTGAGCGAGAAAAAGGCCAATTTCGATGGTAAGCAGCAGTGACTTTGACCTTAGCAAGCATGTGTGGGTTTATAAAATGGGGATAAGAATGCTTACCTGGGATCGATGTTTTGGGAATTAAACCAGGTAATACACAGAAGGGATGGGTGGCTCTGCCTGATACTTCACAGGGGCTCAACAAAAGCCGATGTAACCCGCCCTGCTCCCCATCTCACCACATCCCCCTTTAAATCAGTCCCTACTGAGTGCCAGGCACCAGAGCAGACAGGTCCTGGTTGTACAAACTGCAAATGATAGAATCCCTGTCCTTGAGGAATTCACCGGTTCACACTGTTACTCATCACTTGTGCATACTCAGCTAGTTCATAACCTCTGTTACTTCATCTGCAAAGACGGAATGATGATGGCATTTAACTCAAAATTGCCCCGTTTACTGCCCGTCCTGCAGTTGTTACTCAGCGAACGCTTTCTTCCTCCTGCCCATCTCTCATCCCTCCCCACCCCAGCTGCCATCTGATGTTGGGAAGCCATGGTGATAAAGGTGAGAATGTCACCCTGGGGCCACCAGGCAGCCACACAGCCAGCTTTTCCACTGTCTGCCCCCAAATAGCTGCCTTTCAGGAGAAAATTAAGTGGATTTCTCAAAATGCTAAACTCCTATAGAATCCAGAGGTCTCATTTCCCTCCTCCCTTCAGAAGATCCACTGAGAGCTCCCATTTCCTCTACTGCTCCTCACGAGGTAGCCTCTCTCCTGTGGCCCAGGTACTGTGAGGTGAGGCTTGCCCACTGCCTTACTCTAACACTGACCAAGCTTGCTCCCTCATGCCATTGATCAGATAATTTGTACTGAGAGCTCACAGCCAGAGACGATAAACTTGGAGGGAACGTGCAATCCATGCAGACTCCCCTGTCGCCTCCAGATATCTGCTTCTTACTGCGTTGGTAAATGGAAATGATGGCTCCAACCTCTCTGAAACAAGAGGGAGGGAAGTATCGCTGGCTGTTGGTTTTCACAGCCCTGGGCACTGGTTTGGAATCTCTGTCCACTTTGCAGGAGACTGGCCTTCGGGTAGACAGAAGAGAGGAGTGGTGAAGAACTGAAACAGCCATGTGCACTTCATTGCTCGCTCCATCCCACCGCCCTGCAGGGGGCGAAGAACTGAAACATCCATGCGCACTTCAGCGCTCGCTCCATCCCACCGCCCTCCAGGGGAGGAGGGGAAGTGGTTCTGGTGTCCCAGCTCTACAAATGGCAGAGACGAGGTCCAGAGTTTCAGTGAGCTGTCCAGGATCAGAGAGACCCAACTCAGATTCTGACTCTGAGCACAGCATGTTTTCCACCCTGGCACTCAGGAAGCTGCCTTAGATGACAGCTGAAAAAGGGAAGGAAGGAAGGCTTAGAGTGATGGACTGGGCAGGCAGCATCCACCATACTTCAGGATTTAGGGTCCTGATTAACCAAGCAGGCTGATGCATTCAGTCTTGAGAAGGAGAGAGGGGTTAAGGTAGAGGAGGAGAGTGGAGAAAAAGTTCCCTCACCCACTGCCAGCCGTTCTTCCCCTCCTTCCTTGAACACCACACTTCACCTGCTCTCTGAACTGGGAAAAGCAACAGACCCAGACAGCCACCTCAATTCTACTTAGCAGCTTAAAAATCTAAATTGATGGCTGTCCTCTTCATCTCTGAAGGTCTGTTATTTAGGTTTTGTGGTTTGTTCGTCCTAACTTTGTTACGCACCATGATACTTGCAAATGGGGCAACATAAATTAAGAACTGGTAACGGACGACATTTGGAGCAGGTCCTACGGGAGATTCAGATGAATCCTGATTTGTGGATATGAGGAAATCTTCCAATTTGACATTGTAGTATATCACCCATATATTTCCCCCTGCAAATGTTCTTTCCTACTGTTTTTAGCCTGCCTCTTTAAGCCAGTAAAAGGAGAGGCCCCAGGCAACTGCTAGGCTTCCCACTTAAAGTAAAACGAAGTTAATTTACTTGCAAAGAAGACATACAATTTACATCTCCTCTTTTCCATCCCTTCTACCATTTAGTGTGTCCCTGATAAGTCGGTTGCCACCTCCAAATTCTCTCAACCCCCACCCGCACGCTTGATGTTGCCAGAGACAGAAGAAATATCAGTTTTTGACTTGATAATCGGCTGTGGAAACTTTGTCCAATTAGTTATTAGAGCATGTGCAGTTGAGGATGGTGCTGCTGGCTCACTGAAGCTGCTGCTGTTTTGTCATGTGGTGTCTGGCTGACCGTTAGGCCACCCTGGGCACATCCCATCAGCTCAGTAATCCTTCATTCTCAACAGCAGACATCCAATTTGGATCCAAAGCCTGACCATTCACAGGAGGATCGTCTGGGGAGATAAAAGTAGAGCCTGCTTTGGGAGCAGGGAGGTGGTTATGCCAGAGTTGAGTCACTATCACTCTTCAAGAGGCCGGAGCACTTGTACTCAGCACTGGGGAGGGGAAGCGTCTGGTGCTTGTGTTCTCCCAGAACTCCGTCCCTGCCTACAGAGGGCTCCAGCCAGCATCCCTTGATTAACACTGCCCACCTCCACTCACTCCTTTCTCTCTGGGCCAGGCCCAGGCCACAGCAGTTTTCTTTTGTTATCTCATTTAAACCTTAAATAGTGGTCTTGGGAAACATGTTTTCTGTGTCTTTATTCTCCACAAATGAGGAATCACAGCCTCCAGATATATCAGGTGCCCATTTAGGGCATGCTAGTAATAATCACAAAGTCTAATGTGTATCGAGCCCTTACTCCATGTCAGGGACTGCGCTAAACCCTTTGCATGGATGGTCTCACCCTTTCCTCCAACAGCCCTGAGGGCTTCTGTCATCGTCTTCATTTTGCAGATGAAGAATCTGAGGTTCCAGAGGTTATGAAATTTGCCTGAGTTGATGCAGGTGCGAAATGGTGCAGCTGGGGTTTCAACCCAGGACTCTGAACCCTCTGTTTTCAGTTGCCACCTCTGTAAAAATTAGAGCTGCAGGAATTTGAGCCCATGGCTGTTGTTTTCGGAATCCATGCACCGTATGCTGCCTTACAGTGTCCTCTAAAACCTGAAGCCACTTGATGCCTTGGCCCCTTACTGTCCTGATAGCTTCCTGACTGTGGGATGCAGGCTGCCTCATGGCACTATAAGACCCCACTCCACCCCAGCACCCACTGTGCAGTGTCGGCAAAGGTGCCCTGGCATCTTACAAAATCTTCCTCCTCTCTCTTTTCTTTCCCCAGGAAAGAAACCTGCAGGAATCTCTCTAATGGACCTTGTAGACCTGGTCATAAAAATGAGTGTGCCTTCCAGCTCCGACACTGCAGAAGTGGTCAGCTTGTGTGGGATGGCCACAGGGCTGAGCAAATGGGTGCATGTGCAGACCCAAAGGGCAGCTGAGAAGGACTGAGAGCTCCTCAGGAAGCCACATCCTCCCCTGCCCCGGAACCCTTCTAGAAAGAGAGTGGCCTCCAAAGCTATTTCAGAGACATTAATAATTCGTCGGCCAGGTGCGGTGGCTCATGCCTGTAATCCCAGCACTTTGGGAGGCTGAGGTGAGCGGATCACAAGGTCAGGAGTTCGAGACCAGCCTGACCAACGTGGTGAAACCCGGTCTCTGCTAAAAATACAAAAATTAGCTGGGCGTGGTGGTGCACGCCTGTTATCCCAGCTACTCAGGAGGCTGAGGCAGGAGAATCACTTGAACCCGGGAGGCGGAAGTTGCAGTGAGCTGAGATTATGCCACTGCACTCCAGCCTGGGCAACAGAGCGAGACTCTGTCTCAATAATAATAATAATAATAATTCATGAACCCCAGGGGAAAAAGAAAAAAACTTTAAAAGAGGAAAACAAGGATCTAATGGGCCTCAGAGGCTCCCACACAATTGGCAATGGCTGGTTTGCCCTTTGGCTGCTGGAGATGCAGGAAGATGGGGGAGGAAGGAAGGAGGAAAAAGAGAATGTATTTTTTTTTCAAAAAAGAAGCACACTTTTAAAAGCTAGAAGAGCCTGTATCAATATGACCTTGTCCAGAATTTATAAAAGAGCTTTGGTATATAAATTTGATCCCTGAAAATTATTGGATGAGGAAAGTGCAGTTATGATTAATCTAATTTTTCAGTTAAGGAGAAATACATCTTCACTAGTTTGGGGTTTGCTGGCAGCCCAAGCCCTGACCCTCCACAGCTCTGTCCCAGAGGCTATTCTTCACCCTGTGGACACTGCTCCTGGTTCCCACCTGTGTTCTATCACGGGATCAGTTAGGGCTTCTCGAGAGAAGAGCAGGAGATGGAGGTGGGAATCTTGGTCTAGAGTTCTCTAGATTTCAGCAAAAATCTCAACTGAGATCCCCAAGGCTGAAAAAAGACCCCAGGCCCTCAGAAACCATTATCCTTCCATTCAAGACACCTGGGACTCCTCAGAGTGCCTTGGCAGGATCCCCCAGGAAGAGAATGCTTCTAGCTCTTGACCTTCCAGAGGGTTTTGGTGATTTTTGTATGAAGAACAATGACATCTTTTTTGTTCACAGTTGTTGAGGAACAGAAACAGAGATTTAGTTTATAATCTGATGACTAGTTGTCCCTTTTATCCCCCATGTATTGTTTCTACCTTGGAGTTCAGGTGTCAGAAACTGTCTGATCTTATTTTTAACCTCCTTCAGAATCCAAACCGCTGAACAAAAAAAGAGGAATGATTTAAAAAGAGGGTCAGATACCCCTTCCAATCTCCTTCCTTACCTCCCCACTCCCACTCTGATTCCCCTACCACTCAGCTCCCCGAAGAAAGCGGAAAAGAGTGTTTGCCTTCTATTTTGTGATGCTTATCAACAGTAGGCAAAACTCCATTGTTATCTGGAGCTGTGTGGCATTGTTTCATGTGAGTGCCCACTTCGTTATTTAAGAACTCGGAGTTTCCTTTAAAGGTTGCTTCATCAAAACATGCCATTAGTTAGAGACTTCTGCATCCACATCGACCGGGAAGAATGTCTAATTGCCGGCCTCTTTCATACCTCTTGCAATGCCCACCCTCCCTAATCCTCTCCACTCCCACCTTGGACCCAAGGTAACCCCTTCCCTCCTGATCCCCCCCCAACCTCCACAGACTGGTCTGTTTTGACTCTTTTCCTGGTGCAGAGACATTTCTTCAGTAATCTGGGAGTGTTCACGTGCTAATGCAGGTAAATTGTAATTAATTTCTCTCTAATTGATGCGTGGGACTACCTAGGCCCCTCATTTTCCTCCCTTCATTCCTTTATAAATATATGATTTGACAGGTTAATTTGAAAGCAAAAGTTAGATTCTTTACAGCCATCTAAGCCGAAGCCCCAGCACGCAATTTGCTGTCTAGTTGTGTGAAGCATAATAAAAGGGTTGAAGTCAGGTTATCCTTTTTTTTTTTTTATCATCATTTTGCTAATTTAATCTTTTTCCCCTTCATAAGGTAATAAAATATTCATTTCACAGCCTGAAAGCCTTGGCAGCGATTGGCGAGGGAGCAGTCTCCACAGCGGGCTGTGTGTTCCACGGGGTGACCTTCTCCCTGGGGTCCCTGCAGCCTGGACCCTGGAAGGGGCACCGCGAGGGTCTTGTGGGCGGCTCTGGAGGAGTTTCGCTTTGGCATCTGGATCAGGACTGAGTCAAGCCTCCCACATTCTGCAGCAGCTCAGAGAAAAGCGCTAGAAATTACTGGAGCTGTGGGAGAGACGGGAGCCTGCCCCGCAGCCAGATACCCAGAGGCGTTCTCGGAAGATGGGGGAGGTGGAAGTCCGTTTCCTGTCAGCTCCGGCATGAACCACGGGGAGGGCTTATGGCTGGATGAAACCAGCGCAGGAGTCACAGAGAGGCTGCTCCACAGGAGAGCGAGTCCTCCAGAGGACAAGGCGAGAACCCAGCTGCTCAAATGGTAGGCTCAGGCATCGCTCAGCTATTTGCGTCCACACGGAAGGAGCACTGCAGTGGTCCACGGGAGGACGGCTCTCAGAGCTCAGGTTGCCTTGGAACCCATCTTAGCTTCTTGCTGGTTTGCTACAAAGCTCTCTGCACCCGGGCCTGCTCACTCGAGAGCTGGCCTTTCTGACACTAGCCAACCTACTGGAAATATCCAAGACTCTAAGTGGCTCAGCTCTTCTTCCCTGAGAGTTGGGGTAACAGCAGAGGGGCTTATGTCTGATGGGAGCATCTCTGGCCTCCACACCAGGCACCTTTTTCCCTGGGCCTCCACTTTCCCATCTCCTTATTCTGTTTAAAACCGGAGAAATAAGGGAAGGAGGTTGCTTCCCTCTTACAAGGTGCTATAGAATAGACTGCCCCCTGGGAAACGTGCTTCTCAGACTACCCCACAGATGTGAAGTATCACACGTGGGGGCTCCATCTGGATATAGAAGTTGGAGTTCCCTTGCTGAGATGCATTCCCAGGTAAGACAGTGAGACACGTTGTCACAGCTGACACTTGTTTACTTCTCACCGAGAACACGGAAGTGCCCACTTTTTGGTTGGAGGACCCTGGGTGAGAAGAAGCAATCCTTAAAAGGACGAAGGCAGATCAGGGCCCAGCATTCACCAGAGTCACCCTGCAGAGAGGGTGAATAGGAGCAGCTCACACAGAGATCTCTGACCAGAGGACCCACGCTCATCTGTAGAGGGTCCCTAGGGGATGTGCGGAGCAGGATGGAGCCAGGAGGGAGGCTCCTGCTGTCATTCCCATCCGCACGAATGTGCTCATGCTTCTGATTAAAAAAAAAAAAAAAATTGAGGAAGTTGCCATGAGCAGGCTGACCTGACCCTGGCCCCCCGCAAAAAGCCACAAAATGAGGGTTCTGATAAATCGTGAATGCCTTCAAATCACGAATTCCTTCTCTAAATTTAATAAAAGTGCATGTTTTAGTGGCCATATCCACCCTTACTTTTCTCAGGTCGTTAGAATTTTTTATTTTTGTAACAGGTTCTGCAATTATGACTATTCTTTTACATAAGGTTTTGTCACATTCTTTTTGTCCAAAAATTTGGGAAGTTTCATTGGGGAAAAGGTCTCTTCATCCCATTGTTATTTTTAATTATCAGCATTAAAAAATAATAATAATAAAAAAGAATAGAAGTAAAAAAAAACAGTATCTTAACAAGCTGCCTGAAAATTACAGAGGAACACCACTTATTAGGAAAACAATTCAAGCCCATTCGAGGGAAAATACTATCAAAATATGTCATGAGCAGTTGAGGGGACATTGGGAAGTGAGAAAGAGTTCAGACTGAGAGGTGGCCAATAGAAGGAGAAGGAAAAAAGAGGAGGGAATGTGAAGCCTGAGAAAGGAAGAATAGCGAGGAGGATAGTAAAATGCTGAGCTTTGCAAAGATGAGAATCAAAGTTTCTGTGAACGGAAGACACGGCTCTGCATTGCCTTGAATTGCAATTTTTCTTATCTCAGAGAACTTTGCACCAGAACCGTTGCTTGTGTCTTTCCAGAAGAGTGATACAAGATGGGATTAGAGTGCAACCTGTTTATCCTATTCCTGGGTTAGTGTAGATTGCTGAGGATTTCCACAGGAGGCACACTCTGAGTATGTACTTGAGGGGAAATTCACCTCTTATGCTACTGGGAAGGTCTCTTAATGCCAGAGCAGAGAACTGGAGGAGGAGGAGGAAATACTTGCTAGTGAAAACCAACAGTCTGTGAGAGGAGGGACTCTTTACTTGCCTCCATCCCTGCTTTCATTTTACTGTCTTGAATGCATCACCTTTTCTCCTTTGACAGAGAAATGTTATGAAAGAGTGGTCTACATTTGGAGTTCTCTTTTCTCACCTCCCTGTACCCTTCATTCCGTCTATCATCTGCCTTCTGCTTCTACTGTAATATTGAATCTGTCGAGCTCTGAAGAGCTCTAGTTTGTAAATTTCAAAAGATCATTTTTCACCACCCGTCTCCTTCTTAGGGATCATTCTGACCACTCTGTCCTCCAAACACTTTCCTACCTTGGCTTCCGTGAAACCAGCTCCTGCAGTTTCTCCACCTTTTTGGCCATATCCTTCCTTTCATCTTTCCTGGGCTTCTACAATTCCTTGCATGCAAAGGCCCCCAAGCCTCCTTACTTCACCCGCATACCCAGCCCACACCCTCAGATTAACTATGCCGAGCAGGCTACTATATATAATCTATACATCTATATGTCTATATCCATATCTACATGCAGGCCAGAACTCTTTTCTGAACTCAAATTTATTCAACTGCCTACTTGACATCTCCGCAGATTTAAATTTACACCTACATCTCCTCTCTGAATGCCTGCTCCTGGCTCATTCCTCCTCCTCCAGTCCCCATTTTGGACACAGCTTTCCATCTACCCACTTTCCAGAATCAGAATCCTGGGGACCATCCCTGCTCACCTCTTCCTCTCACCACCCATATCCAAACTATTAAAAGATCCTGACCTTTGTACCTACTGAGTATCTCTCAAATCACCCTCTTCTCTAGTCCTGTGTCTTTTTGCAAGGTCGGGATCTTATTTCTTATTTAACCCATCGGAGAGCAAGACACTCTGCCACCAGTATTCATTTCTCACCAGTCCATTGTCTTTGCCGTTAACGAATCTTTATGAAAGGCTAATCAGATCTTATCACTCCCCTCCTTACACAATTTTTAAAGTCATCCTTTGATCTTGAGGATGAAATCCCAATTTCTTAGCATGGTAAACAGAGCTCCCATTTTTATACGATCCTTATCTAATCCCCACCCTCTTACAACATGCTATAGAATGACTGCCCCCTGCTTACTCAACATGTTACCTGGACCCTTCACCCTGCCTATCTTATTTCAAGATCCTAGCAGCCACCTGGAGGCACAGATTTCTACGGGGTTTTTCTTCTCTATCTAGCCAACTCTTCCTCAGCCTAGGTGACTCAGTTTTACCGCCACTGTCTGTGGGGAGGGCGAGCCCCTTCCTGACCCTTCTCTATGTTCCCAGAATTCCCAGAACCTACGCCAAGAGACCAGCCAGCTGAGCACATGCATTCCAGTCATCTCTATTTGCTCCTCTCATCAGGCCTCTAGGCTGAGACTTTCTGGGGAGCAAGAGCCATGTTTCTGCATCACCCCTTAGTGGAGAATCCTCCTCATAATAGGAGCTAATGAAAAGTTGTTGAGTTGTTCATAAAATAAAAGTAATATGTAACAATTTACCACAAGGCTACCTATAAAGAATTATGAAGAAAATCCAATGTTTATTGCAAAGGATGTCTATTAAATGGTGTCCCTTGGGTAAATGTCTATTTGGAATCCCCACAACAGAAAATCTACTTCTAACTAAAATTAAAAATAACACCAAGCAAGCAGAACAAAAAGTAGAGTTTCGTTTTGTTGTTGCTGTAAATGAATTGCCTGAAAACCTGAGTAAGACACCTAAGAGTTTCTCTCTTGCTGGAGCTGGACTAAGAACACCTGGAAACCCTGCCTCTCAAACCCCCTCAGCAGCACTCACAGCAGCCTGTTCCCTGCTCACCCCACACGTTTCAGCTCATGAAACCACTTAAGAAATGCATCCTTACAGCCACGGAGATACGAGATGCTGGGCTCCGGCTACATTTGCACATTTGCATTCTGCTTATCAGGTCACCCAATGGCAAAATCTTCAGAGGGAGCCGGCAATTTCTCCCTCATACTGAAGCTAATGAGCAAAATAGCTCTTGCTGAAGGACAAGAAAAAGTCGGCGCGCACACGGTGTACTGCGGGCACCACGGGCAGGCTGTCATCATTATGAAAAACCATCACAAGACCTTACAAATTAAAAGCTGCGGATAAAACTTTTGCCCTATCGAGTTTGTAAGGAAGCATCTCGCTGTTCATCAGGTCCAGGCAGCTGCAGTCGGAGCTCTCCCAGAATGCTAGCAGGGCTGGGCTGCCTCCTGCAGGCTCCCAGAGGGGACACAACGTCAGCTGTCAATTTCTAAGCAAAGGGAGATTGTTTTATACCCATTTTGGGCTCTCTCTTCATATCCAGGCTTGACTCACAGAGTTGACTTTTATTACCAGGTTAATCACCAGCAAGCTTAGCTGAGGAGTTATCAGCAATGCCCATCCTTCCGCTTTTTCTCAGCTCCCCTCTCTGCCACCCCATCTCCTTGGTTAGCAGCTTCCTGGGCTTCTGCTTTGCATCTTTCCAACTAGCTCACGGAGGGATAAAGGAAGCTCATTTCAGAACCAGTCATCAACTCCCCCTTTGGATCAAACTGCAAGTGAAAATTGTACCCATCTGTCTAAACAACTCAAGGAAAATGGGACCTAAATTGTCCAATTTTGGTGTGTCCACCTAGCCTGCTAATTTAATTTTACTTTCCAAAAATCTGAGACCCCATACTACCTCCTCTTCTGCGTTGATGCAAGAAAATGAGCAAAGAAAAAATGCACATCTCCAAAAACATATCATTCTGCTTGCCCCGGGGGGCACTGGTTATACAAGAGGCTGCATCTCTGGGATCTGTATTCAGGTCTCTGGTGAGGGCCAGCAGGAAGTGCAGAGCCACAGAAAATTGAAAAATAATAGGGGAAAGGAGAAACAAACATTTCAGCTTTGTCTTCAATGTGCATTTGGAACTTGGCTCTGGAAAAAGATAAGGGTGGAGAGATGCATTTCCCAGCAGTGGCAGGTGCTTGGCTCTATTTGGGGCTTTACCGACAGGGGCTGGATTGTTGGACTTTTGCGTTCTACGCACTCAGTTCTAGAAGGTGTGGCAAGTCCCTTCCCGTACCGATTCCTGAAATGAAGTCCTCTTCCCCATACCCAAAGATGGTTTGTGTTTCCGAACAAAATATAATGAGAGGCTTAGTTGAGAAACCCAAAACAAAGCAATAATCTCATCAAGTAAATGATAATTATAAGGAAGGTGTCAAGAATACAAATACTATATTCCTATCTCAGATTCATTTCTAAAAATAAGATCCAGGGCCAGGCATGGTGGCTCACGCCTGTAATACCAGCACTTTGGGAGGCTGAGGCGGGAGGATCACGAGGTCAAGAGATAGAGACCATCCTGGCCAACATGGTGAAACCCCATCTCTACTAAAAATACAAAAATTAGTCAGGCATGGTGGCGGGCGCCTGTAGTCCCAGCTACTCAGGAGGCTGAGGCAGGAGAATCACTTGAACCTGGGAGGTGGAGGTTGCAGTGAGCCAAGATCACGCCACTGCACTCCAGCCTGGTGACAGAGTGAGACTCTGTCTAAAAATAAAATTAAAAAAATAAAATAAAATAAAATAAAATAAAATAAAATAAAATAAAATGAAAATTAAAAAAAATTTCTAGGAGGTATGAAAGCCCCTCATTAGAAAGGGGAAGGAAATCCTGAAGAACCCCTCTCAGGGAGGGCTGACTGCTTTCCTCCTGTCTGGAGGGGGCCATTCGTACCACCAGCGAGGGCAGAAATGTGGTCAACAGCCTATCTCCCATAGTTGATTTGAACCAGGCAAAACAGTGACACCGATGAATTGCACACTCAGGTGGCATGTTCCCTTCATCACAGGCTTGTTAATAAGATGAGTGAAATCACTCTCCAGTTCCTGAAATGATTTGGGAAGTCTTTCCTGCCTTTTCTTCTCTCTTCTGCAAAGCACTCCCAAGCTAATGGAAAGTGAAATAAGGTGGTTTGCTGATCCTGAGTGAGACTGATAAGATGCGGGGTTTTTAGAAATCTTCACGACCTAGGCATCTGAAAACATGTTAGCCCATTCTCTGCATCCCGACAAGCATTTCTGAATGGGATGCTTCATTCCCATGAGGGCTCTGCCCTGGGTTCTGGCTCCTGTGGAAAGGGAGAGGTCAGAGGTCCCTGGGGCACGATGTATGCCTCAGTCAGGACAGGTTCAGTTATGATCCGACAACAAGTGGCCCTAAATGTTAGAGGCAGTGGCAAGAAGCTATGTGCTTCTCACTCACAAGGACACATTCTTCTGTCCCACAGGGTATTTGCTCTGCACCAAGACTGACAGAGGGGCCACTAAATGGCAGATTGTCAATCTCACATTAGAGGGAAGACAGGGATGCAGTGAATAATAAAATTTCTGCTTGGAATTCACACAGTCACTACTGCCCAAATTTCAATGACTAAAGCAAGTCATGCGGCCAATCTTGCATTCAAGAGCGAAGTAATAAATCTGTATTGCGTAGAGAAGGAAAGTGAAGATTGACAAACATTGTCGTAGTCTCCTATAATGGAAGGCAGGGCTCTGTCACCCTTGGAATATGGAATGGCTCCACCATTGTGGAATGTCTCCCTGTCTCCCAAAGCCCAGCTGCAAAATAAGCACAAGAACGTGTGCCCACCCTGACCTATTCCAGCATCACAGCCCACAGAGCCCCAGGGCACGCGAGTTCTCATCCACAGGGCTTCACCTCTCTGAGGAACATTTGTTACCTGGCTTCCTTTTTGGTTTCCTGTGGTTTCAGCCTTGTCTTAGGAATAGAGAATCAAAGAGAGGACTCAAACAATACAGACAGAACCAGCAATCAAAAACTCATGTGGGCTGAGTGCAGGCTCCTGGAACGCAGACACTGGCTTAATCACATAATGTCTTTTATACAAACCTGACAGAAAGGATTATGTGCTCTATTACCTTTTTCTTTACTTCAGAAATTCGAAAGTATCCTCATCAAAGAACTCTTAGGGAACTTTAATGTGCAATGTGTAGACACAAATAATATCTTGCCCCTAAGTCTCTCAATTTATGAAAAACAGAGCAATTCCAAGAGGGGCGAAGTAAATCCATCCAGGGTGAACAACCATTCCCACAGCCTTGGTGCCCTTGGGGAGGATCAGAAGAAATAGAATATAATAATAATTGAGCACTTACTATGTGCAGGCGTTCATGTGACACTCCCAATTCCTGCCCCAGGAATAGCCCCAGGAGTTTACTCCTGAGTCAACTCAGCAGTAGACAGTAAGTAAAGTCAGCAGTTTACTGAAATGCCTATTGGACAGATTGTTCTGGAAACTGACCTGCTTGCTACATTTGCCCTGAGCCTTCCTTGGAGCTAAGCATGACTTGTCTCATCAATGTTTCTCCTTTCCTAATTCTGGTTTTGAGCCTAGGCTTCCTGCTACATTGGCCTACCAACTTGATGGGCAGTTTATGCCCTTGCATCTTGCCTCCCAACCTTCTTCCCTGATTCCCAACCTTCCAGTTTTCTGTTCTGCAACGCTGCTCTGGTGCAGCATCTCTGTGGACTGAGAGCCTGGTGAGGGACCCCTCCAGATTTGGCCTGGGATTCTTTCAGCCTGGGGAGCATGGACTGGACTTGCTCCTGTCCTGGCAGGACACTCAGAGACCATTAGAGCTAGACATTGCATTCATCCTGGAGAGGCTTGGAGAGATCTGCTGAGGGATGGGAAGGAGACAAAGCCAGGGAAGCATATGGAGGGCCGGAGCACCACGTGGCTGCTTACTGAGCAAGCAGGCTGCCATGTTCTGCACGGTGTGAGGCCTGCCCTGGAAGCAGCCCCGGCCCAGGTACATGGAGCTGGATGGAAATCAGGCAGCAGGCCTGGTGCGGGGCAGGCATTGGGCCGAATGGGAATTTCACAACTCCTGCCTTACCTTTCTCTTTATCTCTTAATCGACTAAAGGGAATCCACAGGAGGATGTTCAGACAAGCCAGGGCACACCTTTGACTGTGTTTTATTGTGGTTTCTGTGGCTTTGGGACTGAGGGGAAGTTGGAGGCAGCCATCCTGGCTGATTGCAGTGACAAGATAAAAATGCAAAGAAAATATAATAACAACATGTTGTAAAACAAAAGTTCAGTAATTCAACAGAGGAGATATCGAGTGGCATGAGTGTTATTGGAATTTGGAGGGAGAGAGCTTTTCAAAGTGAAGTGATGACAGAAAGTGTTCGTAATGGACGTAGAATTAAGTCCTAGAAGATAAGATTCCTGGTAGGTAGACAAGCGTGAGGAAGGTGTTCTAAGAACTGAGTAATAGCATGGACAGGAGCGTGGGATTTAAAGCTGTGAGTGGCAGCTGGCAGAAAGATAGTCTATTTGCAGGGATAAGTGAGGCTGGCAGGACAGCTTAGGGAACAGTTACAGAGGATCCCGAAGAGTTCTGTCAGCTGGCCGATATTGAGGTTCACCACATAATGGAAACAGTGCTTAGCATTTCCCATAACTCACATCAAATGGAGAAGTTTGAAATATATACTGTATTGTAATTTGATTATTAACTGAGGAAATGTATGTGTATATGTATATATAATCTTGAGTGGGATATACTTGTTTGTATCTCCTACCCTCAAGAAACACAATTCTACGCATATCTTGGGATTTCAATGCATCTATAACCAAGTATATGAATAATATTTTGACACAGAAGAAAACAATGCTGAAAAACAGCACAACCAAAACCATTTTCAAAACCCAGCACAGTGCCTGCCTCCCGGTACCCTCCAGTGACACTTTCCTTGCTAGATCAGGGATAACCACAACAAGTAACAGGTAAGAGAGGCAGTCTCTGTCTTTTTTTTTTTTTTTTTTTTTTTTTGTATAAAATGATGCTACATAGATCTTTTGTATTGACCACTTCCTCAACCACTGAAAGGAGGGACAGGGATTTTCTTTTTCTTCCAATTTGAACACTACTCAGTTCACTATCAACCATGCCTAGATCTTGGCAGGGCAGGGGTAAGGGAAAGTGCATGCAAATTGTCTACACTGCAGAAAAGATGAGAAAGAGAGGGAGAGAAAGAACTCTCACTAAAGGGGTGTGATGGCCTCACAGGCCATGAAATGGGCGATATCCTTTGAGACGTGCAGGACAAGGCCCAGAAGCAACAAGAAGGCACTCTCAGGGCTGGTGAGCAGGCAGCGGACTTTGCCCTCCACGTGCCCCAGAATTTTGCTGTGCGGTTTCATTAACATGAAGATAAAATGGAACGTGGCTGAGTTACAGCAACTCTAGCTCATGTTTGCTTAAAAAGAAAATAAAGTTCTGTATCTCAATCCATCTTGCTTTGGCTGGGGGGCCGGCCAGGTTCCCGTCATGTCAGTGCTGGCAGTGCAGGGAGAGAGGGTGTGGATCTGGGACTGCCGCTGCCGGCTTGTTTAGAAACATACACACTGCCGGCCACATCAACCCGATTTGGTGGTAAACAGGGGTGCCGTTCATCATGACAGTGTCCTCATGCAAGAAACTTTGCAGTTACAGCCACGAGGGAAGAAAGGAAAAGGGTCCCTGTTTGTGTCAGCCGGAAAGATAGCAGAGGCTAGCGTGTTTCCCCTTCTGCTACGGGCTTCAGCTGCTCCATGCATACACGGTTGTTTCCTTACCAGAAATCCCAGATGAATCTATTTCACCAGTATGCCTACTGAAAACCAAGAAATCCTTCATAGTAGCGAAACGAGTGTTTCAGACTCAGAAAAAAGAAAGCCAGAGTTTGAATCTTGACGCTGCTAGTAACCAGCCTTGCGGTTTTGACCTTGCCACCTTGGGCCTCTGCTTACAGTGTATGAAATGATAAGAAAGGCTCTCCTAAGGCACGACGTCATTACAAAGATGCAATGATAACATAGGTAGTGTGTCTGAAAACTTTTTAGAAATCACTTTCCCACTGTGAGATGACATTGGTGCAGTTAAACTTTATTTATTTGTGTGCCAGGTCTTAATATGTTTCTTGTGTTTCCGTTTCTCTTACGAGCCTTGCCACTCTCATTATTTCAGATGCTAGGCAAGCTGGACAGAAGCTGAGCATTCTCTAATTTGGGGGCAGCATGTTACACCACAGCACGTGTTCCTGCATGACTGGTTTATAAAACATTCCGAGACTCTGTGGAAGTGTTTGCTGTGACGACCTTAGGACAAAAATTGCATAGATAGAAAATGTAATAAATCTGAAAGTTTAATCCTGGAGCACATACCAGGAAAATATGAGGCAGTGCTCAAGAGTGAAAATTGTTCTCTCACCCATCCCATGAAGAAAGCAAAGGCTCATTCCTACCAGACAGGAAGGGGCATGTTCATAGACGTTTAAAAGGCAGGAGTCATTCAGGAATAATAGTTTGTTTGAAAGTTACAGACCACTGCAATACCTCTTGAATGAATTTCTTCCTGACAATCTCAGTATATGGTGTATACCACAGCCTCTTCTCCGTCTTTCTGGCTGTCTGGACAGCACCCTCTAGTGGTTCCTTTTTCTCCAAACATTTCAGTGTGAGTGTTGCAGGAAGGACTAATTTCAGAATGCTCTCCCACCCACTTTTTAACTTTAGCAGTGCAAAGAGGTGTTCCTGTCTCCTTTAATTCCGCTATAATTATACTGGACAGAGAAATAGCAGCTGCGGTTCAAATGAGTAGGCGCCATTACTCCCTCCCAAATTTCATTTTACTTTTGCTCACACAGCAACCCCAACCAGACTTTCATTAGAAATCTCTCATACGGCTTTTGACTTAGTGTTTCTGTGTTATGTGGATAAATTCTCTCCTGTTAATGAACTGAATGAGATTGTCCCTCCCCCTCTACCAATAAGGGGTTGACGTCTTACACGCAACATTTCTACTTAAAATAGAGCAGCCATTCTGCCTATTTCACAAAGGGCAGGGCTTTGAAGCCACCCACGGCATGAGCTAACTTGCTCCTGTATTAAGTGACCTTATACCAAGTCACTTTTAAAAAGTTGCTCGGATCAGAGCAGCCACAGTGCAGTGCCCTCGAGTTCCCCTTGCCTGCAGCTTCTGTGCCTCAGATGGTAAGTGGCAGAAAGACAAGTGGCTCTGGGCAAGTAACAGACCCTCTGAGCCTTGTTTCCCAACACACCCACCCTTTCCTTATCTGTAGAATGGAAACTATGATGCCTCTCTTGCGGGGTCAGTATGAGTACTAACTTAGTGCCTGGAACTGGGGCCATCAACAAATGTTTCTCAAATGAATGAATAAATGTTCTTGGTAATGTTTTGGGCACCTTGTCAGTGCTTTGAAAAGCCAGCTGGTACTCTTACCCTGGGAAAATGTCCAAGGCCATGAGATGGGAAAGAGCTTCGAGTCAGAATGATAGATTCAGGTGCCATCACTCGAGACCGCAGGTAAGAGGATTCATTTCTCTAAGCCTCATTTGAATAACGAGGACAATTCCTTCCTTGTAATTATGTAGGGATGACAGACATTAAGGCACAGAGCCCAGGAGCTGGTATGCAGTCAGTGCTCTATAAATGTTATCTCCTGTTCAATTTATTCCTCAATAATTCCAGGTGTAAGTTAAAGGCGCTCTCCTAGACCCAAAGTCAGTAAAAGCAAGAGAATTATTCTTCTGCCTTCCCTGTACTGAGGGGATTGTATATTTCACCAGGATTAGGATCCCTTGCCTTACATAAAACATTGACATAGAATTCCAAACCAAACTGCATCCTCTGGAACTCTGAGTCCATTTGCTTCCGATGAAACTGTCCCTGAGGGGAGAAAAGAGTCTTTCAAATGCTTATTAGAATAGCTGGAAAAGCTCCTTGGATGCCTAATGTTCTTAAACAGCATTTTAATGATTTAAGGGTAAATGAACTAGAAACCCATGGATTTCATTTCCCTTGAAATACATATACATTTAAAAATTAAGGGGGAAGGTACTCAGAGCAAAACATATTTGTGATTTGGTCACAGCCAGAGCACTTACAGTGAGCCGAGCCACAGTCCAGCAAGCTGCCGCGCAGCCGCATGGCCTCAGCTCTCTGCTGGGCTTTGCAGAGGCTTGGTGTAGGCAGATGGTCTGTCTCTCCAGTCGCACTGGGACGAGGGTTTTCCTGTGCCAAAGCTGAGGTGCTGAGGCTGTGCAGAAAGGCCTTCTGCAGGGTCACGCTTGCTCAGACCCAGGGACTCAGGTATACAGGGTCTGGAAGGGCCCCTCCCCTTCATCCAGAAAACTCTGCACCTTGGCTGCAGCAGGAGCCTCCTGGAGACCCTCCCTGGCCAGGGACCCTTGTTTCAACGAAGGGTTCCTTTTCCCTGGGCCTGGACAACCCAGCTCCTCTGGGTTTGCAGAGGAACTCATTCCCTCTTTGTCTGTAAGCCTAGGGCCTTGATACTTCCCAAGTTTTCAAATATTTTATATTTTCTCCTAGTTAAAGGTCAATTGGAATAAATTTCCTCCAAGTTCTTATCCAATTAACATAATGGTCTTTTCCCCGAGGGTGGAGGCTGTGCCCTCAGCTTTTTGTTTCCTGTGTTTTACGTTTGTTTTGTCACACAGCATCAAGCAAAAGGAGACCCAAGCTGTGCGCTGGCAGGCCCTCTCTCCTCCCCAGGCTCTTGATTACTGGTCTATTCTTGAAGCTCACTTCACGTGTTTTCTCCAGGATGCTTTTTGACAACTCCAGACCACCCTGGTCCCTGGACCCTGAAATCCCACACAAGAAGAATCTGACCTAGGACACCACAACCGCAGAATACCTCAATAAAAGCAATTGAAGACTCAGTGGGATCCAGCTGTAAGGCCAGCGGATGCCTCGGTGATGAAGACAATGCCTCTTCATCTTGAAAGACTTAGCGAATGCCTATTCTGTGTCAACTACTATTCCACAAACTCCATATTCACCCATTCACTCACTCACTGGATTCATTAATTGTCAGATGCTGTGTTAGTCACTTTTATATGAAAGTCACTCTGTTCTTTTAACCAGCAGTAACTAAGCTTGCTTTGGGGAAAAAAATATAAAAACATTAAGGAATGACCAATGCCTACAAGATCCTCACAGTTCAGTAGAAGAGTCAGTGCTCTAAATAAATTCTTAATAGTAACTAGCATTTCTATAGTAATTCCTAGGTGCTAGGAGCTGTTATATGTCCCTTACATGCACTAGTTCATTTACTCCATGCAATAGCCAGGTAGTAGTAAGTGCTATTAATATCCACATATTCTAAATGACGGAACTGTGACATAAAGATGAGATGATCTGCTCAAGGCCATACAGCTCCTGATGGCAGAGCTGGGAGTCAGGCCCAGGATGTGCAACTCCAGTGTCTGTACCTTAATACTTTTCTATGTGTGGTGTAGTTAATGTTATAATATTGGCATATGTTATGGGAACACAGAGGAAGGAGTGATTTCTTCTGCTGGGAGTAGAGATGGGGATGACAGAAGATTTGCCGAGAATTGTGTTTGAGTTGCCTGCATAGGTGTGCGATGCATGCCAGCTTGATGTGCAGGCTGGCTCTGAGCCGGACCGTGCTCCTCATCAGACCTCCTTCTCCCTCCACAGGGAAGAATGACCTGACAAACTCAAGAGGCAAGCCAATTTGGTTACTAAGCCCAGGATAATTCAGATGTGAAACAGATTAAACTCATTTGCAATTACCAGACCTGTCCTCTTTGTGGGGAGCATTAGAACCTCTTAGCAATTCAGTTCAATGAGTATTGGCATTGTGTTGGATCACTGCCCTTGCATGGCTTGCACGCTATCTAGAAGAAAAGTGTGTGATTAATGGCAAATAGGCTTGCATTTTTTCTCTCTCAGTGTTTTGTTTTCCCTGTCCTCCCATTATCAGTCTAGGGTTCTCATCAGAACAATGAAATATCAGTGCCTAGAAGTAGGAAGTAAAAAGAGGCTGAACAGCCACAAAATGGTTTACAAGAGAATGTCCTGAGAAAGCAGAGAGGTACACGGTGTCTTCTGTAAAAATGAGAGGATTCAGAGTTGGTGGCCGGCGCTGGAAGGCTGCTCGGGCACTAATTAGTTGTATTTCTCCAGCGTGCTTCCTCATCCCATTGGGTCTTTGCTTCCCTCATCATCATCATTATTATTTTATTATATTATCAATATTGTTATTATTATTGGAATGATAATACCCAGGTTGCAGAATTTCTGAGAAATACAAAATAAATACCATATGTGAAACTGCAAGACCCAAGTTAGATATTATTGGTCAACACAATCCTATTTTCTTGCCGAACTCCATTGAATTCCAGGCAGATCTAGAATCTGGTTGCCTTCTAATTTGGGCCAAAATCTCTGACCACTATGGACCCTGTCAAAGGTTAGCAATGTCTCTGGGAGTTTCTTGTGCCAGCTTTCTTTCTCTTTTTTTTTTTTTTCAGGTTATGGATAGCTCAAGTTTTTCCATTCCTAAGGAAATCTCAGCTCAATATCAGGGTTTTCCCAAATTTCACCTTGAGTGCCCTGGCTACCTCTTTCTGCATAATCTCCAGGGTGATTCGTCCACTGTGGGGTGATCAGAGATCTCAAGGGTATGCTGGAGTTCCTAAAGCTGTATTGCAGCACAGACAGACCTTTCTGCAGCAGTTCACTCCAACACAACTTGTCTAACACTTTTTCTCCTCTCCGTGGATTTCTTTCCAGTTCTCTCTATCTCAATCTATACCACCCACCCAGTCACCCAACCAGAAACTTGCATTTTCTTGATGTATCCTTTTCCTTAACATTCCTATCTATCTTTCAGTTCACTCATTCATTCCATTTACTCTCGTTCCTTCTCTCTAGCAAATTGCAGAAGACAGTGTCCCCCTTAGGGTGTTAGGTTCATTTATCTTTCTGCATTTTTATAATAAGAGAAGATAAGAAAACTAAAAGGTGTGTCAATGAATTCCCATGGGAAAAAGTGAGAAGTGATTCAGTGATCCAATGATGTCCCATCTCCCAAGGAGAAGAATTGGAAGGCTTCACTTGACTGTAGGTGACCATTAAGTCTGCTAGGTCATGTTTAGCATCCTTAACACTGGACCAGTGAAATGCCTCCCCGAATTGCGCAATAGCAGCCATGACACCAGGGAGATACTCCAGGGATGTGCTTTCCTCCTGGAATGAGACTGCTTTGCTGCTAGCAGAAAGGTCTCTAGAAGGTCAGAGGCAGGGAAACTGGGGCTTGGGGGGAAGAGAGCAGGTGGGTAAAAAGAGGAGTGGGGAAGGTGATTATGCCAATATGGTCCTGTTTTCTTCTGACTAGATGGTCAGAAAGAGCCAGTCATGAAGGTTTCATTGTGGCCCAATGTTCAATGGTGTTTTGGGGTTAATAAGAAATGACCAAAATTGGTGTCATGTAAAAAAAGAAAAATTACAGAGTTGAGCTGGCAGAAGACTTTAAGTAATAAAATAAGTAAATATAAAATATGGTACAGTTTATAAAATTTATGGTGAGTTGTTTTGTAGCTAGCCTTAGTTGATTCTATCTTGCCTAAGAACCACATCTTTCCAAAGGCATTCAGCAACCAATGGATCTTCCAAATGTAAAGATCAGTATGCAAACAAAAGCTAGACCACTCATACCCAGCATGCCCTAATTACGGACACTGATGTTCGATATTTTTCTAGGAATTATTGTAAATTCTTTATACATGTTACATTATTGCCAGAACCGCATGAGAAAGTAACTATTATTATTTGGCCAGGCACGGTGGCTCACTCCTGTAATCCCAGTACTTTGGGAGGCCAAGGCAGGTGGGTCACCTGAGGTCAGGAGTTCAAAACCAGCCTGACCAATATGGTGAAACACTGTCTCTACTAAAAATACAAAAAGCTAGCTGGGTGTGGTGGTGCATACCTGTAATCCCAGCTACTTGGGAGGTTGAGGCAGGATAATCGCTTGAACCTGGGAGACGGAGGTTGCATGAGCCGAGATCGCGCCATTGCACTCCAGCCTGGGCAACAGAGCAAGACTCCATCTCAAAAAATAAATACATAAATAAAAATTTAAAAAGTAACTATAGTTATTCCATCTTCACTGATAAAGAAACTGGGGCACAGAGAGATCAAGCAACTTTCCCAATATCGTACAGCTGGAAAGTGATAGTGTCTGCATTTGAACTTAACCTGGCTGGGTCCAGAGGCTAATTTCTTAACTATTTTGTCATATTAGCTCACAAAAACCACATGAGAAGGAAATGATCCTTTACTGAGTTAAAAAATTAAACAAAAATAAATAGCATGCACAGATGAGAGAAACAAAACTAAATGATTATTAGGCACTAATCTCTGCCAATTTTCAGTCAAAAATCTAACTTCAGAGAGCCAATTATTTCTTTCTCTGGATACAAGTTTTGCTGCTGTAAAATCACTGTTCTTTATTGTTGTAATCACATATTAGCAAGGTTATTAAATACACATATGTATTAGGTTTGCAAAAGCCTGGGATATAGAAGCGAAAACAAAACAAAAAATTATTCCAGGATCATTTCAATGTTCAGTTAGATCACAAATACACAGGTGACATATTTTAATAGGGGTTGACAGGTGGATCAGTGGAGCAACAAATTATCCCCAAGGGAGTCTGAGAAGGTTTCTTGGAGACATGCAGTTAATATTCATTTGAAAGAGATGGATTGAGATGCATCTTCTTGGGGGCCCACTTAGAATGGTGATATATGTAATTTGGGAAAAAATCATATTATAATTTTATATTTTGAAAGCCAAGTAAACATTTTAATAATAATATGAGCACCAAAAATTAAAGCTAAATAAAATCATTTTTGTTTGTGGGCTATGAAGAAGATCAAAGAACATTGTATGAGTGTTTCTGTTTTTAAAATAGGAAAAAAAAAGTTATAAAAGGTTGAGAAGCACGTTTTTGAAAATTAAGCAAACTTGTGATTCAAGCTGTACAATGAATATGCACTGTGAACCCTCCCCTCTACTCTTACAACCAAGCAATAACAAATATTATCTACCTAACTACCTGTCTGTCTACCCATCCATCTATGATTTACTTTTCAGAATAAAAGGATATAGCCAGGCAACTGGGCACGGTGGCTCACGCCTGTAATCCCAGCACTTTGTGAGGCCGAGGCGGGCAGATCACGAGGTCAGGAGATGGAGACCATCCTGGCTAACACAGTGAAACTCCATCTCTAATAAAAATACAAAAAAATACAAAAACTTAGCCGGATGTGGTGGTGGGCGCCTGTAGTCCCAGCTACTCTGGAGGCTGAGGCAGGAGAATGGCGTGAACCCAGGAGGCAGAGCTTGCAGTCAGCCTAGATCGTGCCACTGCACTCCAGCCTGGGCGACAGAGCGAGACTCCGTCACAAACACACAAACAAAAAAGGATATAGCAAGGCTTGAAATCAAACTGGATAGGTCATGGATCAGAAAAGAAAAAGAAATCCAGTTGTGAGTGGGGGTTAGCTTCTCCAGATTCAGCAAATAAAAATACAAGGCAATCAGCTAAACTTGAGTTTTAGTTTAAATGCATGAGACATATGTAATGTAAAGAAAATGATGTGTGTTTATCTGAATTTAAGTCTAAATGAGTGTTCTGCATTTTACCTCACCACCCATAGAAGCCACAGGCCTACAAAGCCCCAACACTGGAAACAGGAAAGGTCTACCTGGAGCCACAGCCCTCTCCATCTAGAAGGAGCTGGATCCTGGTAAAGCTGGGAGGCAACTTGTCCCCCCAAAAGCACAATTAGCCAGCTCCTCATGAGCAAAGAAGTGGTCAGTAAGGAGAAATTTGGACTCAGACTCCCTGGGGAGACTCAGAGTTCCTGAGCCTTAGGCAAGAGTTTCTCAAATCTCTCCTCTATAAGACAGGATCCCAGATAGACTGTAGGAATGAGGCTCAGCCTGTTAGCCTTGGCTGTGGAGACCTCACCAGCAAGACAGCTGAAAGTCATCCACTGACAAAGGCCAAATTGAAGAAGAGATTTCAGGGAGTGAGGCTGGCCCTATACCTCTTTGTTTTACTTGAGAATTGGCCATCCAAACTCCCATTTTCTTCCTGTCTGCAGTTACCAATTCTGTGGCTGCAAAAGCACCTCAAGAAGGTATTTCCAGTTTGCTTTGTGGGGTCATTATCTCTGTCTTCCATTATCTCACCAGATTTGCTTTCTCGACCCTCTTCTTGTCCACTTTTCCAAAAGGCTCTTATCTTGCCCTTCCTAATACCTGTTATTTGCCTCAATCCGCTCCACAGTCTAAAAGTCCACTCTATGACCCCTGAAGGGCAACCGTGTGCCACATCAGTCCCCTCTCAGCTGGAATTCTCATATAACCCATAGTGTTAGAACAGTCTGTCACTCAGTATTTTTAGTTCTTAAAACCTCATGTTTCATTTTTCCAGTGGATGCCAAGAGGATGAGGAAAATGCTGTAGCAGAGAGGGAAAATCAATATCCCACAGGAAGCCAGCGCTCGAACTGTTTGCTCTGTGTCTGATGCCGGGTTGTCTGGGGAGAATTTCACAGTCAAGCTCTAAGACTGCTTGTCTTTTCCCAAAGTTTTAGTGAAGAATCCTTCTGAATATCTGCTCTCCCAGGAGAAGAGACCAAGACATTTAAAGTGCTCTTTAACACTGCAATTCTTGAAAGATGTCAAAGAAACAGCAAAGGGTGGGGGCTGGAAGAATCATTGCTCTTTTCCCAGGGTACAAGAACCTCCTTAGGGGAGAGAAGAGGTGAAGAAGGCATGCTGCTGAGAAGGCCAGGGGCTGGAACCTAGGTACTGCAAGTGTGGTTGGTTTATTTCATCATTATTGGAAAATTCATGGAATTGATTTAATGCTGGTCTGTTCCTTCCATAGCATGTGAATCATGGAGGCTGCTTATTTGAATACATAGCAGAAGCTCCCTGTATGGAAATAGCATGTAAATGCAGATGCTTTGAACTCAACTGGAAGATTAACCCTCCTTTAATTTAAAGTGTCCTTTAAATTATTTTTGAAACTCCTTTCTATTGGAGTTGACTTTGAAGATAGACTCATTCATTCAGTAGTGTGGTACCAAGCACCTACTCCTCAATCTATGAAAGGCTCTGGGGACACGAGGTGATGAACATGACAGTTACTGAATTATAGAGATCATGGATCAGTAGAAAAAATTCAGATGCATTTGCCATACAATATGCTAAGTGCTGTGGTGGAAACAGTGCAAGACAGCACCGAGTGCTTAGAAAAGGCCTGTCAGAGAAGCATGAAGGGTTAAGAAAGCTTCTTGGAAGAAGTGACTCCTACCTGAGACCTGAAGGATGCAGAGTAGAAAAATAGTTAAAATAAGAGAAGACAGTGTTTCAGGCAGAGAAAACCCCACGGACAAAGGCCCAGAGAGAGGGAGAATCAGGCGTGGTAGTGAAAGTGAAAGAGCTCAGTATGGCTGGAGCCTAGAGGCATGGGACAGTGTGGGTGGGAGACTGTACCAGGCTTTGAACTCGAGCATCTGTGTAGACAGTGGCGACACAGTCAGATTTATTTGTATCCGACAAGCAGCAGGAGGAGCAGATTTGAGTGAGAAAACTCAGTCCTTTTTTTAATATTCTGATTTTGAAGTTTCTGTAGGATGTCCAATTAATGATGTCCAAAAAACAATATATAATTCTAAAACACAGGAGAAAGAGCTGGGCAAGAAAAAATAAATCTAAGTAACAGACATTGGTCAAATACCTACAAGATACTAGGTATCATGATATATATATTAAATACGTTATCTCATTTAATTTTACAACAAATGTATAAGGTAAGTACTATTTGGAAGTGAGAAAAATGAGTTTTGAGATGTTGAATCTTTTGCCTGGGATATAGATTTGGAAATTATAACACTTAAAGTTGAATTTTTATGAAAAGTTACATGGCTTAATAATCAAACATCACTTGGACAATTCTGAACCAAAGTTATTATTAGTGAACTTAATCTTCCACTTTACGTTGGGCTTGCTTCCAAGTGGTAATAGCCATTTCCAACAACCACACCCATGCTTTAAAAAAATTACATGTGAGGGAATATTTCATATGAATTCCTAAGAAAATGTCTTCCATGTTTGCTTCAAATATTAGAAATAGTCCACATAACTGTGAAGCATTTCTCAGAATGTTATCATTAACATTGTTACAGCTATAATAACATGATTATTTAATATGTTTAATATCTGTCTCTACTTGTAGACCCCAACATTCTTGGAGTCTGAGACTCATAGAGAGGGTATCGATAGGAGTACAGATCCCAGTATGTTGCACACTGTAAGAACTTAAAAGAATAATAAATCGAGTGAACAAATAAATAAATGAGCAACCACTAGCCACAGATGGATTCCTAGAATCTACAGCAGAGTGTCCCCAACAATCTTTTCTCTATAAGGAATTGTTGCAGTGGTAAATTGTTTCCCCAAAGGAGGAAGCCACCAGCATTCAAATCACATCACCTTTCAAATCACCCCCCAGATGCCTCTCATTGCAAAAATTAGCAGTAACGCGATGAGGCTAACGTAAGGGTAGACACCTCCCTGCAGATAATAACGAGAACCATCAGCACCGACTTAGCTTCAATCCTGTGGCAGTTTAAGAATCTCTAAGAATGCATAAGTAAAGAAAAAATAGAATTACGTTTTTCTCTTTTTCCCCATCCCAGCTTCCATAGCAATACGACAGAGCCTAAAGATGCAGGCCTTGAGTTTATGAGGCAAATAATGAAGTTGATAAATGGGTCTGCACTCTGAGGGCTGGAATGAAGATTGGACCGGGGCCGGCCGGCACTGGAGCAGCCCTCTCCCTCCATCCATTCTACAAGGATCCCCAGTCAGCCAATGCACCGGGACGCTGACATAAATCAGGGGCAGCAACGGATGAGCATGGAGAAACGGCCTGGCAGGCCCTGCACTGCGGCCATAAATCAGGAACTAATTCAATCCTGTGAGATGCCTCGTTTGATTAATTTATGTCAGCGTTTTCTGTGTTGTCAGGCTGGTCCCTTGTGTCTTCCCTTCCCTCTCATTCTCCACCTTCTTTGGCACAAAGAAATGCTTCCCTCCCCTACCACGACAGGAAGAAGGAAATGGAGCTCCGGAGTAACTCCTAGAAGGCGAAGCATGATTAGAACCAAGCCTTCCTGCCAAACGTAGAGACCTGGAGAGAGAGGACAGGGGCCTCGCATGAACCTAGGTTCCAGGTCAGATGAAATGGCCATTTCTAGTTTCTCAAAAGCCCCATTCCCTGTGCCTGGTAGTGAAATAAGGCAGCTAAACCTTACCTCTGGATATAGGAGAAGGAATGGTTTTCTCAGACGAGTTAGAATAACATACCAACATTTAATTGTAATGACGTAAAGGTGATTATGAACATTACGATTTATAATAGTGGAGGACTGGAAGCAACCTGCATACCCAAAAATAGTCGAAAAGAGTTGTACTCTATCTATACAGTAAGTATATGCATTTATTTGTGTTGAAAAAATGCTCATGGAATGCTGTTTAGTGAAAAAAAAAAAAAAAAAAAGCAGGGGGAAGTTAAACACCTGAGTGAAGTGTGTGTATTTCTTGTCTCCTGAAAAATAAATTTATGTTTGCCTATCTATATTTTCATCTCTCTGACTGTTTTAGTCATTCAACTCTATATTATAATTCATTTATGATGAGTGTATACTTCGTGTGCACTAGAAAAAGAGTACTTTAAAATAACCTGTAATCCCAGCACTTTGGGAGGCCAAGGCAGGAGGATCACTTGAGATCAGGAGTTTAAGTCCAGCCAGAGCAACAAAGTGAGACTCCTGTCTCTACAAAAAATTTTTAAAAAGTAACTGTACATGGTGTTGCACACCTATAGTTCCAGCTACTTGGGAAGTGAGATGGGAGGATCACTTGAGCCTAAGAGGTTGAGGCTACAGTAAGCTACGATTATGCCCCTGCACGCCTTGTTAATCTTGGAAGTAGAATTTTAGCTAACTTAGCCACAAACTCAGTCACATAATAAAAGATTTTCTTGGTGTTTTAGGATCAGTCTGAGCAGATTTAAAAAGGAGACTATGTTGTATTTCAGAGGCCCACCATCTGTGTGGGCAGACAGAAGAAGACCACAGCTCAATTCAGATGGAAGAGGCAACAATCAGAAAGGATGTGGCTGAGAGGAAGGACTCACATCTGCTGTGAGTCCACTGGAGCCATGAGTAATAACAGTGCCTTCTATTTTAGAGCTGGTGGTGAGAAAGCTCTCTCAAAGCCTGACAAGTCATCTCCTCTACTGCTTATTTATTCGTGTTATTAAAGATGTTTATACCTTACTTACTTTGGTATAGGTCTACAAGTGTAACGGAAGAGAAAAATAGAAAAAAAAAAAAAACAGAACTAGGTTTTCCATGATGGACTGCAACCCACGACAGGTTACATCTATCAAGAACACAGTTTCTCTGTTCACACATTTAATTAGGAAACTTGAAATTGAAAGGAAAGGACAGAAAAGGACAAAGAGCCTTAAAAGAAAATTCTGTAATTCACTGACTTTTTTTTTTTTTTTTGAGAGTCTGGATTTAGAGTGTTTCTAGATGATCCGCATTAGATATGACGAACCCACTGAGGTCAGCATGCACGATGCAGATGGATACACTTGGGAGTCTAAATTCTATCTCCCTTCGCAGCTGAGTGCTGTGAACCTCAGTGAAACACAAGCAAGAATGTGCAACGGATGAGACCTGTATGTTGGGAGCCTAGTTCTTTATTCCATAAAAAAAAGTCGTGCCTGTGGTTATGAAAAAATGTTCAACTAACCTAGAAGAGTTCAGCTACCAAGTGAAGGATTATGGGAAAGCAGTATTTTTTCAGACCTGGGTATGCATGAGTGATACCCATGAAGCTTTATGAAAATATACATCTCCTGGGCCCCTATTAAACAGAATTTCTGTGGGTGTGGCCTCCAAGTTCATACTTTAAAATGGATCTCCACATAATTCCATGTACACCCAGGCTGGGTAAACACTGAGTTTCATGTATTTATTACTATTCCAGAAACAAACACAAACTCTTGGGTGGAATTTAAAGAGAGCAAGGTTTTAGGCTGGTGTAAGCAAGCATTTTTAAGATAGTCTGTGCAAACTCAAAGCTGTGCAAACCTGGAATTGAATGCTCCATGAGGTAATGAGGCTGCATCAGGAAAAGAGAGCAATGCAGTAGCCTTCATTTTCCTTTTTTTTTTTTTTTCATTTGTGGCACTATTTCAACATGAGATTTTTCAACAGCATTAGGCAAGCAATATGGTTTGGATATTTGTCCCCCAAATCTTATGTTGAAATGTAATTCCCAATGTTGGAGGTGGGGCCTACTGGGAGTGAGGCCTGGTGGAGGTGGGGCCTGCTAGGAGGTGATTGAATCATGGGGTGCATTTCTCATGAATGGTTTTACACCATCCTCTTGGTGCTGTCCTAGAGATAGAAGCTCTCCTAAGACCTGGTTGTTTAAAGGTGTGTGGCACCTCCCCTTCCTCTTGCTCCCACTTCACCTTCTGCTAAGATTATAAGCTTCCTGAGGCCTCACCAGAAGCTGATGCCAGCACCATGCTTCCTGTACAGCCTGCAGAACCGTGAGCCAATTAAGCATCTTTTCTTTATAAATTACCCAGCCTCAGGTATTTCTTTATAGCAATGCAAGAACTGCCTAACGTAGCAAATCAGTCATAATTGACCACACAATCTCTGCTGTGGTCTAAAAATAAATCGCCTGCAAGAACTCTGCAGCTGTCCGGCTAACAACTTGGCCAACTTTCAGCAGAGCTGTGTAGCACCCTGACCCTGGCCCAGCCATGAGGCTGTCTTCACACACTCCTTGGGCATGCAGCTTGTCTTCAGTGCCAGCTCAGCTCCTCCTGTGCCATCATCCTGCCAGCGGGACCCTGGCAACACCAAGTTGCTCAGCACCTTCAGAGCAATGGTCCAAGGGCCAGGTGTCACCACAACCATGTATGTGTGATGGTTCTGTAAAAATGAAGTGTATTCATTTATTAATATTTATTCATATTTGAGAGCACATCTGTGAAGGGCTCAGGGCACAGCAACGTGTGTCTGTGTGCCTGTTGATAGCGTCTGATCCAAGCAGGGGCTAGATGCAGACCTATCAGAGATCTGAAAGAAGTGGGAAATAAAGCTGGATGACTTTGAAGGACTTTTTAAGATTCTATCATTTGAAGGAAGGAAGTGGAGAGGGCTATAAATTCTGGCAGAACCCTGAGGAAATCAGTAATCTTGAACCACTAATGCTAATTTATGATTTTGGACAGGTTACTTGAACTTTATTAAGCTGAGCTAAATCCACTGAAATGAATGAGAAAACAAATAAACAAATCAAAATCCTGCTTCCTGATGGACAGGAAAGACTGCACCAGACCCTAGCTTTCCCAGGGAAAGGAACTCTAGAATCTAATAGTTGGAGTGGCAATAAAAAATGTGAATACAACTCCAGTTCTGTACCCGACCCTGCCCGGACTGCCCCATGGTGCAATTCCCTCAAAGGGCAAGACTTCTCAGAAGCATCCAGTGAAATCGCAGTAACAGTGGGTGGTACACTAAGGTCCACAGATTTTTCTAGCTGCTCGAGCAAATGTGGAATCTCATGGAATCGGCCCCACACACTCACCGAAATGGCTCCAAAATTTGATATCAAAGCATCAAATTAAACATTCAAGATCACTTACTGCAGACTTTCATTTACTTCATGAGGAAGAAAGAGAGGAAAGGAGGCTGACCCAGTGGGCCATCTGGCCTCTTTCAAGAGGCCTCTGTTCTTTTGAACCACACTGAATAAATGAGAGCTGGCAGGAGGCAATCCCAAGGTTTAAGGCAGAATTATGATAGTTTTGTCAATACACATATTCCAGGATCCGTTTTGATCAGTCAAGTGGTATTCGTTTCCAAGGACAACTGACAATAGATGAGCAGATTCATGAGTGCTCTAAAGTCAGGAGCTCTTACATTCATAAATGTGATACCAACACACAAAGGCCATGCAATATCACTGGGCCTGACAAGCCTCAGGCCCAAAATGGGAATCACAGCCTGGATGACAAAGAGGTGTTAGAAACTGATTTTTGGAAGCACGGCCTCTCTGCTCATGGTTCAGGCAAAGGTCAGAGGGTGTGAGTACCACTGTGTGTGCGTTCCTCAGATAGGAAAATGGTGCAGAGCTTGCCAGCCACAGGCTCCCTACTCTGGGGGACATGGTTCGCAGTCTTCTGCATGGCCTGGCCCAGCCTCTGGGACCTTCTGCGATCTGGAAGGTCACTTTTCAAATATGAATATATATATATATGAATATATGTATATATATTAGACTCTTGCCAGGTGGAAAGTACAGAGTAGAATCACATTTTCTA
Source organism: Homo sapiens (assembly GCF_000001405.40). Lineage (NCBI taxonomy): Eukaryota > Metazoa > Chordata > Mammalia > Primates > Hominidae > Homo > Homo sapiens. The sequence continues at coordinate 133,178,517 of NC_000011.10, forward strand.
TCTACCAGAAGCCTCTGGGCTCGTTGGGGAAATAAGACATACTTCTCATCCAGCTAGAGAAAGGACAGAAGGAAGCAGCATTTTGGAATGGAGACAACCACTATGTGGGACAGTTTCACAACCAGGACAGTGTGTGTCCTGAGCATGAATCTGAGTACGCAAACGAGCAGCCAGACATGGAGAGGCCAGGGTGCCAGAGAAGGACCAAGTGAGAAGGGCATTCAGCCGAGGTAGGTGCTTCCATAGATGCTTTAATTCATAGTTTGGGGGAGTTTAATAAACATAATTGAGTTGATTGCTCAAATTCCAAAATGAGAAGACTATTTTAAGCATGCAGGGCTTACAGAAACACACATACAGTATGCAGATGTTTCAAAGAAAAATTCTTCTATTTTGGATTTATGATTGTTTTCACTCGCTGCCTCTAAAGGGGAAAGACTCTGAACTCTGATTTAATTTCTTTTAAGTAGGCAAAAGCTCTTTTCTCCATGACTGGCTATTCCCCCTCCCCCATTTTCCTCTAGGCACCCATTTCATTTACTGTCCTGCTGGCTGTCAGGCTAGAGACCCCTCTGGCCCTCACCAAAACAGAAGAAAACTGGAGGCAATGTCTAATTTTTGTCTATGTGGCACTGGCTTGGTAAAGTACTTTGGAAATACATAGGCACCTGAAAGATACAAATGTGAGGTTAAGAGAAATCAGGAAATTAAAAAATAATATAAATAAAATAATGCACTAGTTAATAAAGGAGAAGATGGTAGAATAACCCATTCACTTCCCTGGAATGCCCCTAGTCTAGGATAATAGACATCTCAGGGGTTGGTTGGCATTTCAGGGGATAGGCAGGTGCAGTGAATTGAGCCCTGTGGGGTGGGACAAAGTGTTTTCTCCAGCAGGTGCCCAGGAACAGCACCTGGGACTTCTCGGGAGGAGACTCCTCACCACTCTACAGGGGAAGGGTCTGGTTAACATAGGGAGCGGGGCCCCCTGAGGCCAGGGAGAGCGGCACTCTCTTTCTTCTCCATCCTTCACTCAGCAGACTTCCATTAGGTGGCTGCTAAATACAGGATACTGAGAGGTCAAAGGAGAGCACGACCCATTCTGAAGAAGCTCAGAGTCCACAGAGATGTAGACCCACAAAGAGGGACTGTGACCACTGATATCCTATACACTGAGAGCAGAGTGTGTGGAACACAAAAGTCCAAGTCAGGAAACAAGATGTTGGAACTACACCTCGAAGGTAAGGTTGCTAGGAAGAGCAGAGGAAAGAGCATTTCAAATAGAAGAACAGCCTCCCAAAAAGTAGGTGAGAATGAGATGCAATCAGTAACCCTGTGAGGCTTGGTGGCAGGAGGAGAGCGGCCAGTGGGTAACCATGGAGGGGACAGCTAGTAGGAGCAGAAGGTAAAGCTGGAAGGTGAAGCTGGGCGCAGGTGATGGAAGCCCTGGAATAACAGAACATTTGTTTTAGGCCACTAGGATCCCGCAGAAGGCAACCATGGGCCTTAAATATGGTCCCTGACCCTGCTTAAGAAAGACAGCAAGAATCAAAAAAGGCCAGAAGACTAGGGTGTGAGTGATGAGCACTGCTCCACGGCTGTGAAAGAACCGTAGGAAGCATGGCCTTTCACACAGTCCCCTAACCTTTACAGCACCACCCTTGGTGAGAAGTTGGATGAACTAGGGAGCTGGGGCCAGGGTATTGTCCTTCCTGCCGTAGCGGACCCTCACGTGTGCGTTCAGACCTGCCCAGACCTGGCCTATGCATTACGAATGGGTAAAATGCCCCTCAGTCTCTGGTGGGACAAACACAGCTGGGTTGTGCAGGTGGACACGTGGCAGCAGCAGCTGATTGCAAAAGCCCAGAAGTGGATGAACTCTCACTTCCTCCCAGAACCTCCCTCCCTTTCATCACCACTCACCCCTGCTCAGTGTCAATATGGTTCAAATCATAGCAAATGTAAGCTTCATGGAAACAGCCTGCAAGAGGGGCAAGAGGATCTGCACAAGAATCACATCCCCTCTGCTCCCTCCACAGCGTAGGCACCTTTCAACTTGAAGAAGGGAAATGAGAGGAAGAGTGTCTCCGGAGAAAGATGGAGTTCAGGCTAGAAGGGAGGACACATGGTTGGGAGGAGGGGCTGTGAGTAGGATGAGCGTCCTACCTTGCTTTCCCTGCCTGCAGAATAGGTATGACATCGCTCGCCCTCATTAAGGCTGTGAAGGCTGCTTTACGGTACGCATCACACGCAGTCTGGAAAGACGTCTGTACTCTCTGCCCATGAGCTAAGATTGTGGAGACAGCGAGTGCTCAGCAAAGCAAAAAAAAAAAAAAAAAGTGGGGATGAGGGAAAGTAGGATTTAAAACTGTTTTATGTTCACATAAAAATCTGCATGCAAGTGTTATGTAGCAACTTTATTCATAAGAGCCAGAAAACGGGAAACACCCCAGGTGTCCTTCAACAGGTGAGTGGCTGAATAACAACCAAGCTAAATCTCAAATAAATTATGTGGTTTAAAAAAATCCAATTCTGCAAACTTAGATACTGCAAAATTTCATTTGTGTAACACTTTTAAAATAACAAAATTATAGAAAGGGAGAACACGTTAGTGGTTGCCAGCGTTTGGGGACCGGAGCAGAAGGAAGATGGGTGTGTTTGTGAACACACGGGTCATTGTGGTGTTAAACTCAGGAACCTACACATGAGAAAACTGCAAAGGACTAAATACACACACAGCGGTGCACAAGGAAAACCGGGCGAACCTGATTAGGACCAGTGGGTTGTATGCATGTCAATATTCCGGTTGTGATTTTCTACTAGAGTTTGATAAGATGTTACTGCACGGGGGTGGCGGGGGTGGACTGGGTAAAAGGGACACAGGATTTCTCTGTATCATTTTTTTCAACTACTTGTGAATCTGCAATTAACTCAGAATAGTGAACTTTAAAAAAAAATTTACAAAGTGGGGGGAATATGAACCTTTCTCCATCTATTATACTTTTGTTCTACAGGGCAAATATTCTCAAAACCAAACTCCAGGGTGATCCTTCCTTCCTTCCTCCTCAGAAATACCTCTGTCCAGGCTGGATCTCAGCTACTGACACTGTGCTAAGATCCCTCTCAGAGCTGATCAATGCCCCTTGAGCCCTCAGTCTGGAGGAAAAAAGTATGATTGGCAAATGCTGCCATCAGACAAATTACTAATCCATGTGCTCACATGTATGGTGAGGATTTGCATAAATTGGACATGTTTCACACTCCCTTTACTGGCCACTCTCTCAAAGCCCCATCTTCAAAAGGCAACAGCCTAGTACTGATCCCTCCACAGAGTAATTGGAAGGCAGCCCCGATGCTGAGTCCCTCCTCCAAAGCTGGCACAGTGAAGCCTCCTCCAACATCTGCCTGCACGGTGCAGCTTCTCTTCCAATCTGCCTTCAACAAGGCCAAGCAGGGCCCAGAAAAGAGACACATTTTCTTAATGAAGAAGGTCCCAAATACATGCTCCTTGGGAAGTGTCACTGTTGTTCTTCTGGAAGAATTCTCCCTTTAGGTGATTAACACCTTCAGATTTTCAAAACAAAACGTGATGCTACCCCTAATGCTAAATAACTGTACTGCCCTCAGCTGACTGCCCATCTTCAGTGCCTCACCAAAGAAAATCCATGTAGCAGGAATAAAAGAAGTCTTCCTTTGCAAGATGTTAACCTTCTGAGAGATGGCTAATCTCTTGTAGCTGAAATTCATGCTAAAATGATACCAAAAGATTAGCCATTCCATTGATTTCTTATTATTTTGGTGCTAGAAAAACATTGTAACCTTTATAAAATGCAAAGAAGAGATGCAGCAATGCAATTTCTGTGTTTATCTAAGCTGAACAGATCTCTTATTCTTTTTTATTAATACCAAACCAAGGCTAACACCTTGCCAGCTGCCTGCCAGTTATGTTCTCCAAGGATAACATGACAGGAAAAAAAGGAAGAGACAATTCTGGTGCTAAAGAAAGCAGCCGCCTGGATGCTCCACTTAGAAGAATGCCACTTCATCCTGTCTCTAAAAGGGGTATCCTAATGTCCAGGAAAAAATGCCAAGTGCTGGGAACCTCCCAGGGTTGCCAACAGTGGCAATGTCACCTGTTGGAAACTGAGAGAGCCAGAGCGGAGATGCCAAGAGGTGGTTCACCTGCAAGGAAAACAAAGTGAAATGGGAAAGCATGTTCCTGGTTAGGTGGGGATGAGTTTCGCAAGGCTTCATGTTATGTGAGTGCCCAGGAACGCGGTGGTGCTGAAGCGAAAGGATGTGCATATATATGATGGCTGCTGAGAACCGTCATAGATGCCTGTTCTCTCAAAGAACAAAGTCATTCTTCCTGGAACACCACGAAGGCGCCCAACCCCAATTCATCTGGCTAATCTGTAGTTCTAACCTGAAAACCACCAAGATGAGGACTCAAGTGTGTCAAGGAAATTGAAAACGTGATAATTTTGTTAGCACCACCTCATGAGGTGAGCTGGTGGAGGTTATATATGGTGCTGTTTTTACTTTAAAATATGAATAAAATCTCATTAATAAAGCTTTCTCTGGGTCCACATCTCTGACTATAAATACCTACAGAAAAGGAAACTTTATGAGTCCCAATCTCATGGGATTTCTAGGTAGACCTGACACTCTAAGGAATAAAATCTGTTTTTAGCTTAATCTTTTTGGATTCTGCCAAAAGTAAATAAGAAACGCACACTGACTGCACGATTTCTGCTGGATAAAGCAGAGACAGAGAAAAACCCTTCATCTCAAGCTAGGTCTTAAATTCTATCTCACTCTGCAAAGTTACATCTCACTGGCTAGGACAACTTTTCACTCCACAGAAAATAGTTCCTAAACCTGTAGGATTTCCTGAAGAAGAAAACATTCCTGATGGTGGCAGAATTCCAAGCTGAGAAATAAGACTTTGCTAGTATTACTGAATGACTGTCTCATGACTGGAAAATATTTTCTTCTAACTACTGTGACATAAGTACCATCCCTTCAAAAAACCTCTTCCCAAACCTCCTCTTCCACTCATTTATTAAGGATCTACTATACTGAAAAAATGCTACCTAAATTTTCGAGAGTGTATTGTATGTGAGATCATGGTCATGTTATTTTAAGAGATACAAAGGATTACAAGGTTGAGTTTTTGCCTTCAAGGTACTCAAAATGTATTTGGAGATTCTAGACAAACATTCAAAATACATGAATACAAGTAAAAGACAGTATGGTTTAGTGCCAACATGAACTATTCAGCTCATGAACCTGAGGGAAACTCATACTCTAAAGAGAAAAGTAACCCTGAAATAGCTTCCGAATGCTTTTTGCTCATCTGTACTCTAAATACATGCCATGATTTTCAATTACACCCGAGTCTACTCTGGCTCACACGGGAGATTAACCAATTTTCCTCCAAAGCCCACTTATTTACGCAGCACACACCCATTACCATGTTTGATAAAACGCAGTGTAGCTATCTGGCTCAGCAGAGATGATCTGAGCTTGACATTGAAGGGGAGGAAGTAGGGACTCAGAGGCTGACCCTAATCCTGCAGCAAGAGGGTTCAAAAGGCAGGTGCTTCAGGTTGGAGTGGCAAGTGACTGCTTACTGAGATTCATCCATTTGTCTATTTCCTCACTCGCTTAACACTTACGGAATGCCCACTGTAATAAGACACCACTAGGTATTTGGGGAGATAGGGTGGTGAATATTATGCCAAGTGGGAAAAAAGGTAACTGCTGTAACTGAGGACAAGGCAGTACAACGTGCACGTGCAGAAGAGGAGGAGTTTACTTTTTATGGAGGTGGGATTAGTCTTCTTCAATGAAGTGGCCTTTGAGCTCTCAACCTTGAAGGATGGGAAGGTTATGAATGAGGTACCGCTGGCATGGGATGGGGAAGGGGTGGCTGAAAGAGAGAAAGGACCTTCCGTGGGGAGGGAAGAAGGCGAGCAAAATCCTGCTGGCTTGAGGAGCGAGGCTGGTCATGGCAGAAACATCTGTGCCTTAGAAGTGTGCTCCGCTGGCCCTCCGTTATCTACTCATAAAAATCACCATTGGCAGATCTATAAAACCCAGGTCCATTAAATTAACTATCTACTTAGAGTAATTAAGACGGGGAAGTCTACTTCCGTTCAGTAGGACAGTAGATCTCGGTTACCAAATAGGGCAGCTATTCACAGAAGACATATTGACTGCAGTTATTAAATTTCAACAAATATGTTTTAATCATATGTTATTTAGCACAGGCAAGAGCATTATACAGGATATATGGAAATCTTTTCCTAGGCAGGTGAATGATAGCCCTGAAGAATAGAGAACCGTTTCCCGCAGGACGTTTTCTAGTCTCATCCTAAATGTAATTTCTTGCACTTCCCTTGGGAACCTGAGTGGTGATGAGCACATCTTGCCATACAGATTTTTGTTCGATGGCTGGCTTGATTTTTTCCTTCAATTTTGACTCTACCATATTTCATTGCAGAAAATGTCTGGAAACTTCTACAAAGCCAACCCAGCTTTCAAACCTCATACTCACAAAAGTGTAGGGCACAGAGAAGCCAAATATAAGAAATGCAACATATTCATAAACTCCACACTTTATGAAGAGCTAGTGTCAATCTATCAATCACTGTATTAGCCCTAAAATACCTTAAGAAAGGCAAGAACTGACACCCATAATCAGAGTTCATTCTCCAATTACATTAGGATAATCATTGTCGGAGCCCATTTATGTTTGTATAAGATTATTTGATTTCCCACACTAAAAGGTCTTTTATTACCAACCATCAACACCATAATAGCAGTCCTAAATGTGAAGAACAGCCACTTAAATTAATACAGCTTTCTAACTTTATTTCACTGTGTCAGCAGGGCCTCACTGAGAGCCGCTGCAGGCTGCAGCCCATTGCAGGGAAGGTAGACAGCCGTCTACAATGCAACTCATAGGAAGGACAAAATGGTCCAGTGATGGAGATGGGGTTCGGAGGGTGAAGAACTTAGAGAACACTTGAGCATAGGGAATAATCTGGAAGGTTAAATCTACTAAGAACATTCAGTGAGAAAGGGAGAGGCAGAGAATAGATGGGGTTAGGGAATGAGAAGCAAGAAAAATGGCATATTTTGGTTCTAAGGCTCCCATAGATATTTTATTTGAGAACAAAAAAAACAACCGCTCATCGTTGATCTGGTGCCTTTCTTTGGTGGGTCTGCAATCAATTTATGCCTATCCTTCCTTGCACTCCCATTTTCCCACCATGACTTGAAAAGAACATTCTTGACTCCCATTCTACAGATGTAGAAACTTAAATACAGGTATCTGAATTCTGTGAAAAGCATGAGGTATGATGATGGTATAATGATTTTTCTTTACATTAAATTCTCAGAAGATACATGTGAGTACAATTTTCCAAGTAGTCACTGTACTTATTCCATATGTACTTATTCCAACAATGGTATGACCATGTTTCTGGACATTTATAGCAAATTTAGGTTTAAAACCAGAAATATATAGCCTCCATCCTTTGTAGTTATTTCAGATCCAAACGATATTATCCAGCTTGATCATTTAGTTTGTTCATGAGACTTGGCTTTCAATGGCATTTAATTGCTTCTCAAAAGTAGTCCCACTCTGAGGGAAGGCGAATCTCTTACCTAGGGCAATATGCAAAAGAATCTGCTGTGGGCTATGCCTGTAAGCTCCAAAAGAGAAGTTTTTACACATCAGGGATACAATAGAAAGAAAGAACCTGGCTACCCAGGCTGCAGATTTTTAAGGACACATAACTCATTTACTTTTTGTCAGTCTGAGATGCTTATTGATTTATAAATATCACTTCTGTGACCTCCTTACTGGGAAAAGCGATTCAAATTCAGGCCCATAGCTGCCTCTGCTGGCCTCTGAAGTGGATGCTTACACCAGATGGGCAAATTAGAATACAGGAGAGATGAGAGAGTAGAAAAAAGGCGGGGGCGGGGGGAAGAGAAAGTAGGGAAAATGGAGAGGGGTAAGGGAGAAGGGCCTTGCTTTCCACTCACCTCCTCGCTATTCTCAGCTCACTCCTGGGTTCCTTCCATTTTTGTGGCCTCTGCACTCAGCCATTCAACAGATACTTAGGACATGTATATTATGCACAGGTGTTCCATAGGTTTGGGTTACATCCACGAATGGAACATGCAAAGATCCTTGTATTTATATACTCTATTTTAGAAGGTGCAGGCAAGCACTAATCAATAGCATAATAAGAAAGCCAAGTACACAGCCTGCTGACTGGTGCTCAGTGTGGGCAAAGTTTTCCAGCAGAGGAGGGTGAGGGAACTGAGGCTGGAGGGAGTTAGAATTCTAAGGATGGTTCTCAGGGTAGGCCTCATTGAGAAGCCTGGAACAGGGTGAGTCTGGTTGGCGTAGGAGGGAGGTCAAAGAGGCATTCGTCGTGGTGGTGGTGGTGGTGTGTGTAGAGGACAAGGTCTTCAGATGATCCACAGCCTGTTTAGATCTGAGCATTTACTGAGAATCACTGCAGCATTATAAGCTGAAAAGTGACATGATCTGATTTACATTTTACAGGATGCTCTACTGAGAATAGACTGCAGGGAAGAAAAGTAGAAGCAGGGAGACCATCAGGAAGGGACTGCAGTAATCCATACAAGGGAGTCATGGAGGTGTGGCATGGTGCTCAGATGTGATCTGCACCTACAGCCACATTTACCACAGGCTTCCACATTCTCACTTATAATACACATCCCACGTCTTTCCACTTTCAGTGTAGTCTCTTCAAAGTTGCCTCTGCTTGGGTATCAGCTCCAGCTCTGGCAGGAATTGCGTAAAGAACTACTGGTTGGGATGATCCACTCTGCAGTGCATTGGTTTCAGGCCTGATGGTTTCCACCAAAAGTTGTAGCTGTCAAATGCTGGACCTGCTTGCTCTCTACCCCAAATGTGGATACCTATTCAGTTGCTTCTTTTCGCATGGTCTGTTGGTTTTTCTGGCCTAGCTCCTCAGATCCAACCCCTGCGCAACTTCTACCTTTCTGCTTCACCAAGACAGGAGTATAAGGCATATGCCAAAAGCACTAAACAGTTAAAAGAGGCTGGGACTTGAAGTCCCCTCAACAAGAGGGCACCCAGCAGCTGTGCAATGCAGTCTAGAGCTACCGTGCTTAGGAATGTTGAAAGAGTATCTCTTTCCCAGTGTTAGGTATCATACGCATATATTGTGTACAACTTCTAAAGAGCTATCATATCCTTTATTTCATGGATCTTTGTAATATTCCCATGAAGTACAGTGTACAGATGGAACTGTCACATGTTTTTATATTTTTCCCAACTTATAAACTGAAGATCAGAAGGATGAAATAAACTGTCTCAGACCACACAGCTAACACATGGTGGAGTCAGAACACAGTTCCAAGTCGTTTCACTCCTGGTGCGTGATGCTGTCCAAACACTCAGGCAGCTCTGGGTGACAACAAAAAACAGGTTTTGAAGCCTTCTGTCCAAGCCAAAGCTCTAAACTAGGTTACCTAGCTTCGGACCTCTAAATCTTACTATTTTGTTCTCAAGAGGAAATGACATCAATTAACAAATAGTTTTATTTCTGGTCAGGATTAAGTGAATGGCAAAGAATGAATCCATTTGCCAAAAGCTGTCATTGCAATTATCATTAGGACTTCATTGAGTTCCTGAGTGCTGTCAAACACTAGAAGAATCATATGGGCCTCATGCTACCTCCAGGAGGGGGACTGTATCTTTGGGAAAGCTTCACTTCACATCTGTCTTTATCACTGGCTCTTTCTGTGGTCACTGTTCAATATAAATTCATTTTCTTATTTACTAAATACTTCTCTGAGGAAGAGTGGGGAAAACGATTAAAGTCTGCCTTCTCTTTCTCAACTCCATCGCGATCCACATTGTTACAGGTTAATTCAAAAAGGAAAAATAAAAGGGAAAATAATCTTCACTTCCTCTTCCATAGAAAATAGAAGATTGAATTAAAAAAAAGTTTGAGATGTCTTCTAAGTGAACCATGAGAAGAAAAAGTCACAGATGCAGGAGAAAAAACCCACAAAATTATTGTTTTAAAATGTGTTTGTATGAAAACATTTGTTAAATGCAAAGAGTTTGGGGAAGAAATATAATAGTTGAGAAAAGGGAATCTTCCCTTTTGTTATTCTATTTTTAACTATAGGTAGTTTATGTTCCCCAAAATTTTCAAATGAAGATCTATAAATTATCCTTGCTAGTGAGGTTCTGTCGCATGTAGATCTCACGTAGCTAGTATATGTACCCTGAATGCAGTCTCTCTGCACCCCACACTTCTCATCCAGGCCTGAGTTCTGCACTTTGACACTCACAGAAGGCTGGTTTAGTGATGGATTTGCATTTACTACTAGCCAGGTGATATCACCACTTATATTTTCAAAGATATCCCAGTACAAACTCTGTATATTCAGAACAGAGCCCTTGGCCCTTGTCCCCTGCCACTCCCCACTCCTCAAATAAATGGGCAAAAAATATCTTCCCCATTCTCTCTCTGGTTAAATGGTTCTCACCATCCATCCACTTGCCCAAATCAAGACCTCATCCTTACTGCCTTCTTTCCCCTCACCCCTGACTTCCCATCCATCACTATGTCCTGGTTCTTCTTCCCTCAATATATATTTGCTAAATAAATAAATGAAATCAGAACCTGGATAAAGAAATAAAAAATATGATTTTCCATTAAATTACATAAATTTTGAATATTAGTGTGTAATTGACCTTAAAGGCTATCTGTCCCAGTTTATCCACTTTTATTAGAGAAGCAAGGTGAAGACTAAGGAAGAAAGCTCTAGATTACATACTTACTGGCAACTATGGAACCTAACATTCTTTACAAAATACATCTCATATTTTAACAAGGATCTGAAAAGTGGACTCTTAATTAGGAAGTATTGTATATTGGATACTAGTTAAATCTTACCTGATAAATAAATGTAGTATCCATTGTTATAAATACTGGAATACTGAGAAGTCAGGTTGTCCATCTCTCATCTTGTTTAGAAATAAGAGTCCTTCAGGAGATCCTAGCATATCAGATATCTGGTCTACAAAGAGGTTGTGGCCAGGTTTCATAATTCCCTATATGAAACTCCCTCCTAAATCATTGTATCTGCTGGCCACTTTATCACATAACACACAACCAGCTTATTAATATAAATTAGAGGACAGTCACCAGGTAGGGCTCCAATCAATTCAAGGTAGACTCCCAAAGGAACCAGTTGTCTGAGTAATTGAAACAAAACAAACAAACAAAACACAGTTACTTCACATCTATCCCTGGAGGTTGCTTGCAGCTAGGGCAATTGAACACTCTTCTAATTGAACAGGGAAAATAAGGAGTGGTTGCTGCCTTGTACTGAACAGATTCCACACAGATGCTTCATCCTTCCCTGGCGGGACCTGGTTACGTTTTCACCAGATTCTAAATTTTTATTCCAAAGGACTTTACCACTTCCATATAGTTCCCATTGGTCACAGGCAGGCAGGATCAACAAAGATATAATCCTACAGACAGTAGCACACACAAATGTGCCTGATGAATTCCAATCCTGAAATCCAGAGTCCAAACATGCTGTGACCAGCTGGGAATTTGCTGTAAGCTATCATCAGTCCCCAACATCTAAAATTTCCCCATGGAGACAAAAGATGGAAAAGCTGTGTACAAGCTTGGTTCCATCTTGCAAGGCAGTATGTGCAAGTATAATTGTAGCCTTTTCCAGAGCCATTTTAAGGGACAAAAAAAGAGGAAGGGAGAAGGGAATTGATGCCTATCAAAAATGTTGTGGTAATCTCTTTGAATGACCATCACCATGAATTCCTGTTGCTCTCTTTCCCTCCCTCCCTCTCTCTTTCTCTTCCTATCTTTCCTCTTTCTTTCCTGACATCTTTATTGAGATATAGTTCATATAACATACAATTCACTCATTCAAAGTATACAATTCAACTGATTTTAGTTTGTTCACAGAGTTGTACAACAATTACTACAATCAATTTTAGAACATTTTCATCACCCCAGAAAAGAAATCCTGTGTCCTTTAGCAGTCACCTCCAATCTCCCCATCTCCCCAGTTCTATACAACCACTCATATAATTTCTTTTCTCTCTAGAAACAAATGACTATTCTGGACTTTTTGTATAAATAAAATTATGCAAGAAATGGTCTTTTGCGACTAGCTTCTTTCACTTGGTATAATGTTTTCAAGGTTCATCCATGTTGTAACATGTATTAGTGTTTTATTTTTTTTAATTGCCGAATATTATTTCATTATATGGCTTGACTATATTCTACTTATCCATTATTCAAGTATCTTTTAATAAGGTATATGTTTGTTTCTTTTTTGGACTATTTTGAATAATGTTGCTATAAATATTTATGTGAAAGTTTTTGTGTAGACATACATTTTTATTTCTTCTGGTTATGTCTCGGGGTGGAATTACTGAATATTAGGGTAACCACACCCAAACTTTTGAGGAACTGACAGACTTTTTTTGAAAACGGCTGTACCATTTTTTCATTTTCCTATATACGAGGTTTCCAGTTTCTCTACATCCTCATGAATACTGGCTATTATCTGTCTTTTTTATTATGGCGAATGAGAGTGATATCTCATTATGACTTTGGTATTTATTTCCCTAATGATCAGTGATGACAAGCATCTTTTCAGGTGCTTATTGACTATCTGTGTATTTTCTTTAAGTGAATGTCTATTCAGATTTTTTGCTCACTTAAAAAATTGGTTTGTCATTTTATTATAAAATGCAAGAGTTCCTTCCCTGTTGCTTCCTTGTTAATGATTGTAGAGGGTAATTTAGAATGTTCAATGTATATTTCAACACATTATAAATCATTAGAACAAAATAAATTCTATAGTTCTACCTAAGAGTGAAAGTATTTCTGTATCTTTTTCTTTTCTGTGTGTGTGGGTGTGTGTGTGTGTGTGTGTGTGTGTGTGTGTGACGGAGTTTCACTCTTGTCATCCAGGCTGGAGTACAAAGGCGTGATCTTGGGTTCAAGCAATCCTCCTGCCTCTGCCTCTTCAGTAGCTGGGATTACAGGCACCCACCACCATGTCCGGCTTATTTTCGTATTTTTAGTAGAGAAGGGGTTTCACCATGTTGGCCAGGCTGGTCTTGAGCTCCTGACCTCAGGTGATCCACACACCTTGGCCTCCCAAAGTGCTGGGATTACAGGTGTGAGCCCCCATGCCTGGCCTGTATCCTTTTCTTATCTCCAGCAATCTCACAGATGCCCATTAAAACTTCCATTTGTGTGTTGCATGTTGGAACCCATGTACAGTCATTGGTCATATTTTTAAATGGGCAAGGCTTTTGGTGAATGGTCTGCTTGTCTCTAACCCAAAATATAGAAAACCTTAGAGCTAAATAGAAACACTTGAACTGTCTGCTGTTTTTAGTTCTGAGACAAGTTTGAAGATAGATTCTTTCTAGATAGGTACAGTAAAAAAAGAACAATGAGACTTCATTGTGCAGGGTAAATGCTCAATAAATGTTGGTTGCAGGAATAAATGCACAGAAGGCCTTTGTGGGGCATTGAATTGTAAGTGCTTGTCTTTGTTCGTTTAGCAAAGCAGATGAAGGGGCAGAATTATTTCCTTCTTGGTCAGAGAGTTTTTGATCTTCTGAAGCCAGAGTCAATAATACTAATATCTTGATGGCCCTGAATGTTTTTCCAAATTTGGACAGGGAGGAAGCTCATCTGCAGATTGATAGCCCTATCTACAAATGGGTCTATTTCCCAGTGTAGGTCATAATATATACATGAGATGGTTTCTATCCAGGTCTGGAAGAGAAACAGATCTAAGTTCTATGTGATTGTCCGACCAATTGCCTACTCATAGATCCAGAAGGAGGCTTAAAAGTTATTTGTTCAGCAATTCTATTACCCTTGCAGTTACCACTCCCTTTCTGAAGGTAAAACTTGCATTTCCTTTGTTTCCACCGCTGGTTGCCTATTCTTTGTCTCTTCCTTGACGTTATTCAATTATAAGTAGTAGAAAGGGACAGAGCTTCAATTTCTGCAACATATTGGCTGTTTAATTGCGGGCAAGTCACTTAGCCTCCTTGAGTCTGTTTCCTCTTTCATACATTTGGGATGCTAAATATAACACACTTCCTCCCTCCTGTTCAGGACTGTTGTGAATATCAATTTCTATAAGGGAAAGCACTGTGCAAAAGGCTAAATTCAAAACAAATTTTAGTTGTGGTTGCTATAATTATCTGGTAACCTCCAATCAACAGCATTAGTTGCTTCGTGTTTTCTTTTCTTTTCTTTTTTTTTTTTTTCATTTCCAGTTTTGTTAACATGGCATTTGAATTGAGGTTAAAACAAATTACTAAAATAAAGGTTCGAGATAAATGGCAGATTTTTTGGCTGTAGGTTTCTTCTCTGCTAACATAGACCATAGAAGTGTTTGCTGGAAAATAACCATGGGTACAAAGACTTTGCCTCCCTGACCAAAAAAAACCAGAATTGAGTGCTTTTGTTGATAGTGGTCCTTCTGGTGGTGGCAAGATCAAGGAGCCTCAGCATGCCTCTAAACTGTGCATGAGAGAGCCTGCCTCTTTCCAGTCAGATAGTGGAACCAGAAGAATCCTGGATCTGTACATTCCTGGTTACAATCCCTCCATTTCTGAATAACATAAAAAAAAGTCAGATCCTAGGTGGGCTGGCTTCTTTTTAGTTGGCCAAGAGGAGAAATCCAAGGAGTGAGTAAAAGCATCTCCCGCAAAGAACTGAGCTGGGCTTTGTTTAAGTCACTAATGAAGAGAAAATCTTAGAAGGTATCAAGCCAAAGCTACTGAAATTAAATTATGGGTAACTTTCAAGAAGTAGGAGGTAATTCCCAACTTGGAAACAAGCCAGAAATGAGAGATTGCCCCCATTTATTCCATTCGAAATGCCACAGGAGTTGAATGACCACAAAGACAATATTTTCCAGGAAATGAAAACCACTAATGGGCACTATTTTGGTAATTCAAATACTTTCTTTCATGATAAACACCTGCTCCTTTTGGAAACAGATTTAATGATGATGTTTACCCATTTATATTTGTATACTGCTGAGCCCACTGACAGCACTCAATAAATAATAAATAATGATAATAATAATTCTGATCCAAAGTCTTCAGGAGGAAAAAATAAGAACCAAAGATTTATGGTCGGCATATCCTGTAAAAATCGATCTGGCTCTTTAAATAGAAGAAGTCCTTGAGGGGAGATAATGCATTGATTTATGATTCAAAGAAAATGTAATTTTAAGAATTACAATAATAACAGCAATAATCAATGTCCTATATGCCCCATAATGAAAACAGAAAGAAAAAGAAAACAACACTTAGAACAATACAAGCTATTACTTTAGAAAAAGAGGAAGTTTTCAAAAGCATGATACTTTTAAGTTACTGGATTCAGCAACAGGCTCTGTCCTAGATATAAATGTCCACATTTTGTTCATTTTTTGAGAAAGAATGTTGCCTAGTTGAGGTTAGGGGAGAAGCTAATATACCTTGATGTAACTGTCTAAGTCTGTCCAAACCTGACTCCCTCCACTCATTGAAGCCGATGGCCATTCCTTCCCTTCCCTTCCCTTTCCCCTTCCCCCACTTTTTTTTTTTTTTTTTTTTTGAGATGGAGTTTCACTCTGGTTGCCCAGGCTGGAGTGCAATAGGTGCAATCTCGGCTCACTGCAACCTCCGCCTCCCAGGCTCAAGCAATTCTCCTGCCTCAGCCTCCTGAGTAGCTGGGATTACAAGCATGCACCAACACACCCAGCTAATTTTGTATTTTTAGAAGATATGGGGTTTCTCCATGTTGGTCTGACTGGTCTCGAATTCCTGACCCCATGTGATCTGCCCACCTTGGCCTCCCAAAGTGCTGGGATTACAGGCATGAGCCACTGCGCCCGGCTGCTTCAGTTTTCTACATTTATCACTATCACTTTACTTCAGGCCACATCTTCTCAGGATAATGAAGTTAGAATGAGTTATAATAACCTCACAACTACCCCCTGATACCAAGCCCTTTCCATCTCCGATACGTCCTTCACTTTGCCCATATAGCAAGTTTATAAAACACAAAAGCCTCTTCCTCAAGATCCTTTGAAAATTTCGTATTGCCTATAGAATGAAATTCAAAATCTATGCTAATGACCTAGTCCCACCTTACCTTTTCAGCTTCATCCCCACATTTTCCCTTCAGAACCTTGCTCCAGGGACACATACGTAATGCCCCTGAATCTCTCCCCACTTGCTTGTGTCTGTGGTTTTGTTCAGCTGGCTTCCAGCATGGAATTCACTGCTTTACATGCTGAGACACTTAAGGTGCAGCTCGGATGTCAACTCCTTCACGTAGCCTTTCATGATTAGTATCAATCCCTGTTTCCTTTCTACTCCAGTAGAATTATTAACTGTTCCACTTTTATAACATTGATTTACTTCTTTCTGGTACAAAATTAAATCTGTGCAATTTTCTCCTAGTAAGTTGTCGGATTCCAGAGTGCATGAGTTTTGCATGTAGTAGGTGCTTAATATATACTTATTGAATTCCATTGCTACAGGGAGGAGGATACTCATGGGGGAAAATGCTAGTAACTTCAAATTTAATACTCTTTGGCCTTTAGTAAAACTCTGACTGTTTCCATATTCAGCATCACCCTAGCATTGACCACCATTATTCTAATCCATAGAAGTCTCCTCCTGTATTGTGCATGGCAGGTAGCAGCGGTTCAATAAATGCTCATTGGAGGCCATTGCTTAAGTAAAAACAGCACCCGTGAGAAAAGATGCTGGAATCCTGCACATGTATGTGTGCCTTTCTGCAAAACCCCAGCTTGTCCTTGCGGAACCTCATTCTGACTTTGAAAAACATTTCTTCAATATATTAAAGTTCCTTTGGATTCTATTTCCGCATTCATTATGACACCCAATCAAGTGCCATGGACAAAATTAATGAATATGTTCTGCCATCAATCACACAGTTCATAAAACATCTCCATGGTATCTGTGTAGGATTCAATTAGCATGGGAAGAAGTATAGGATTAAAAGTTATCATGGAAGTGGTCTTTGTCTTCAAAAGTCACATTTACTTCTACATTTTAAAATTGCCTGCTTATGCCTCTTATGTACCTTCATCTTCCCATAAGATTATAAGCTCTATAAGGACTAGGGACACATTTGTCTTCTTCATAGCTATATTCTCCCTCACCAAGCAGAGTCTTAACACATAGTATATGCTCAATGAATATCTGTCACATGAATGATATATATTGCCATACTAAACCAACAATGGTCTTGAAAGGTAGCGCACTCATAGACTACAATATTTCTACCTTTTCTCTAAGTCAAAGCAATTCCAAATGCTTCCTTGAGCTTAAGGGCTCAGAGAATATAAATTTAAGGTAGTGAGTTGAGACTTTTGTTTGTTAAATTCCTTTGCAAGAAACTTTAGTTTTAAAATATTCACGAGCTGCTGAGATCAGTATACACCTGTGTCTTAGCAAATTGAAGAAGGAACTAAATAGGATCAGTGAAAATAAATGTAGGAGGAACAAGGGGGCTTAACTAATTCTTCTTAATGACTTTGGGGTTTACTGCACCAAACCAGGTGTGGAATTTCCTGGACTCCCTAAATCGATTCTGCCCCTGAGCCTTGCTAGGTGTTATTAGTGGATTTCTCAAACACGTTGGTGATTTTAATGTCAGTTTAATGCATCCATTCAAGCAGCTGTTCAGTCCAACTCTTTATCTTTTCTCCATGGGGACTTCAGTGACTGGGTTTCCACCCTCCACCCAGCGATCCTTTCAGAGGCTCTGGAGAGATGCTCATACATATTCATCTTTTCAAAAGTGAGAAGACAAAATCTAAGCCCCTTGGTGAAGGCTATTTTCTAACTCTCTTGCCAGGTAGACTGCTTGATACCAGAGGGGATAGGTTGGTGACCTAAGCACCAACTCTGAAATGTAAAAATACTTTGCCCCTTAATAGCACTGCTCACTGAGAGATTTATTGACAGTCAAATATTATTTCTTCTTTCTTATGCAAAGCCAGCATAGAGTAATGGAAGAAAAGGGCAATGTTTGTGAGGAGGGTGAGGGACAATTGAGACCATCCCACAGCTACAGCAAGTCAAAGAAAGACTAATCTGCGAGCCAAGATGCATAGTCAATTGCCCAGTTGCACTGTGGTTGGGCACTCATAATTGATAAGCCTCTGAAATACTAAAGAGCTATTTATTTACATGTCTGAGGCATAAGGACCTGTTCCTGTAACTGCAGTGACCCCAATGGCTTACTGGAAGCAGGCGCAATTCTGTGTACAATTTGACATTACTCAAAGAGAGGGCATCTTGCCTTTTCTAGTAAAGACAGGGTGCAGAGACCGCAAAACCAAGGAAGCCAATCCAACTGGGAGTGAATTGCCTGGAGTGTGTTGTTTTACTTCAAATCAGTACACTCTCAGAAATGTGCTGTCTTAGTTAAATTAAGTTTCTCCCCCAGTGGAAGATAGAATCTATTGAAACACCTATAAAATATTTTATACAATATGGCATTTTAGCAGGCAAACAATTTTTCTCCACTACACAATCTCTCTTCCTTACCGGCACCCTGAGTGATACCATCAGGTATAATGGATCCTTGGAATCTCATTCTATGTAATCTGAAAGCCTTGGCGAGGTGAAACTATTAAATTGTTGCTTTACTTGTAGAATGATACATTGTCCTTTATCTAAGAAAGGATCAATTCTTTGGTAAGAGATCATTAAACCTTAATATGTTCACTCATTAAAGGCAGCTACCTTTTCATTTCAAAGTCCTCTACCAAACTCAGCACATGGTGCCTGCCTAATAAACGTGACAATAGGAGAGCTGCCATAATGCTAAGCCTGCTAGTGTGGACTCATTACCACATCTCACTGCTTCTCATGGGTGACTAAGGTCTGGAAATGCCTAGATAATAAGCCACTTGCTCAATTAGATGGGAATGACTAATCACAGGAGTGAGCCAGTCTTTAGGTTGGTCATGGAACTCTTCTCTCTGGAAGGCTGACAAATGGTGTTTATGCCAATGAATTCCGAGTCAATAGCTACATTGATGCAGCTGGTATTGAACTAGCAAGAGCTTGAGATCCAGCAAGTCTGAGTCACCATCTCTTTCACAAGTGCTTGTGTGTGATCAACTTTACTGATGCCTTGCTTCAATGGAACAAGCGTGATCCGAGTAGGACGCCTCCCCAAACAGCCTTTAGTCAAAGAACGGGTGAAAAAGGGAGAAAACAGGCATATATCTGGGACGTTCATAGCCTGAAAAGAAGGCACATGGCAGACACTAAAATGCCTTCCTCCAGGAGGCTTCACTGCACAACCGCCAGGCCTACTCACAAAACCTATCAACCCAGACAGACGACCTATTTTCAAGGTACTCCTTCCCCTGTGTAAGGTCCACACTTCTACGCTAGCAGAAAATAAATGAAATGATATTTTTCAACCTTCCTAGAATAAACAAAAACTCACATGGATATCCTTCCAAAATGGGTTCAAAGGATTTCTATCTCATTCAACGATTTTTATATTGATGGATATGATGCAGCTGTTTAAAACTCTATTCAATTATGATTGCTGGTCCTGTACAATAACCCGCAGTGGGGAGATGTGTTTTCATAGCAAGACGTGTGAAAAATCTTCAGGAGTTTTGTAGTTTTCTCACAGTTCTGAGTTTTAAAAAGTGAAATGGCTGTTTAACAAAAGGACATTCGATCATACATTGCATTTTGTTTCCACAGTAGGTACATTTAGCAAGTAAAGAATCAGAACAAAAGAGACAAAATGGCTCTGCTCTGCTCTAGGGAGCCCATATCTGGTGACAACATGTAATAGGAGACTGTACAAACCAAGACATTGGGCATGAAAGAGCCGGAAATGAGAAGAACTTCACGATTGGGAACTAGATGGACATGAAGAAAGGCGTTGTCAGGGGAGACAAGAGGGCAGCATGGGAACACGTGAAGCACTGTGGAGAGGTGGACTCACATCTATTCTGTTGTCTCCCAGGGCAGGACTAGTACTAGCATGTGGATTTTACAGAGAGACCATGGGAGTGTGATGGGATGAGGCCCATTTCCATAGCCACAGCTACTGGGAGCAACAGGAGCTGTGTCAGGTAGCAGACATGCTTAGGCCCTTAGGGAGGGCCTGGCAGAGGCTGCTTGAATGCATGCTGTGGAGGCGTAGAAGATGTGTATTCTGGATTGGGTGCATATGAACCAATGAGCTGCAAGTTTTCTTCTAATACAGATAGTATATGAATCCCTAAATCCATCTCTGTATCTTAAAATAGTTTATTTGGGAAGGTACATAACTCAAAGCACTTAAATAAATAGCTTACTCTCCTGTACACCAAGAAACACAAACAACATGATGGATAAGAGAAGAGAAGGATTACTTTCCCAGCAACAAAATAATGCATATAAAAAAAGGAGAAGTGTTAAGCTGGCTAACTGTAAACAACGGGGGGCTCTAGTTCACACAGACATTTTGGGCAAACCTAGGTCTTGAGGGGTAGAAAAAACTCAGGAAAAGAATCAGAACCACCTATGCAGGAGGTGGGGAGAGGGTGGCAAGAGGGAATTGTAGGTGGAGTTCTTTAGAGGATCTTACAATAGTTTCTTGCTTAAAATTAGCTCTGGGGGAAAACAAACAGAAGAATATATTGTTATATGTTGCTCTTGGAAATTACCTTTGCTTTTATTATTGTCTTATAAGTAATAAATTATTTTTTGTTTTTTAGTTTTAAGAAATTTTTTTCTTGTGATAAGATTCACAGTTCAGTGCTTCAACATACACATATGACGCTACAGTCGCCTAGTGATGGAAATCCAGTGACAGAGAGGCAGGGGAACAGTTAGCTGGATAGATGAGCTAAACAAGTCAACCCTCTATCTTGCAAAAGGACTGAGGGGAGGGGAGTGCACAGCTATTCTGAGGTTGATGTTAAGAAGTCTTGGTTCCACTTGTACATTTTCATCCTTCCCAAGTATTCCGCAAAATGTGGAATATCCATGCTGCTCTGAATTATAGATGTGATGACTAATCCTTCAGCAACAACTTGATTTCCCCTAAAGGCCTCTAATCCTTAATTAATGCTAACTACCAACACCTCATACTGCAGTTTACCATTGCTTGTCTTTTTTGGAAAGAAAGGAAAATTATCCAAGTCTACTAAAGTAGAGTCTCCAAGAAGGCAAGATTTCTGTTTCTTATTTATCATTAAATCCTCATACTTAGTAAAACTCTAACAGCCAGTAGATGCTCAAATATGTTTATGAAATGAAGGAATAAACAAACTCAATCTTTGCACTGACTCGGGAGAGACTCCTGAAGAGAAGTCTTTCACAGTCTGGATCCAGCCTTCACGAGACTGTCCTGCACACGTCCCGCCCTCCATCCAGCCAAATAGTTCTGCATTGCTCAAATGAGCACCATTTCCCCCACCCCTACACAGCTCCTATCTCCATGGAAAGCCTGATGTCTCTGCTGAACTCTTTACTTACTCTTCAAGAACCAACTTGAGAACTTTTTCCCTGAGATGTCGCCCCTGACTGCTGCAAACAAGACCTCTCTCCTTGGAGTGTCACACCGTCCTGTGCATGTCACGTGGGCAGAGATTGGCACACTGATTTCTACATTTATATGCACCTGTCTCCCTTAGTAAGAGGAGAGTGGTTTATTTGGGGGCAGAAGAGAAGATACTCATTTTATACTTTTTTTGTCATTGTTTTTCCCTCTGATTTTTAAATTGCAAATATTTTTCTCTTCACATAAAAAGATTGGAAACATGCCAAAGTACATAAAGCAAAATCTCCACCCTCAGCAATCTCATTCTTTTAGAGGTGGCCACTTGTATACAATTGTGGTGTGCTTTTAGAGGTGGTTTTCTGTACGTGCAATCTCTCAAACATCTCTGGATGTATATCTAACCTATAGATATAGATATATACTAGGACATAGACATACAGATATAGGTATAGATACACTGATATTTTTAAAACAAGTTACTAATGTATGTTTGCCAAATTACAACTTATTTTTTCCACGTAACAATATGTTCCAATATTTCCCATGTCATTATATGTAGAAGAATTAAAAATAAAACTACCATTCAACCCAGTAATCCCTTTGTTGGGTACATAGCCAAAGGAATATAAATTGTTCTACCATAAAGACATATACACCCATATGTTCATTGTAGCACTATTCACAATAGCAAAGACATGGAATCCACCTAGAAGGCCATCAACGGTGGACTGGATAAAGAAAATGTGGTACATACACACTATGGAATACTACAAAGCCATAAAAAGGATGAAATTATGTCGTTTGCAGAAACATGGGTTTAGCTGGAGGCCATTATCCCAAGCAAATTAATGCAGGAACAGAAATCCGAGCACTGCATATTCTCACTTATAAGTAGGAGATAAACATTGAGTACATATGTATACAAAGAAAAGAATAATAGATACAGGGGCCCACTTGAGAGTGGAAGGTGGAAGGAGGGTAAAGACTGAAAAACTACCTATCAGGTATTATGCTGATTACCCAGGTGACAAAATTATCTCTGCGCCAAACTCCCAGGACACACAATTTAGCCACGTAACAAACCTGCACACGTACTCCTGGAAATTAAAAGTTGGAAAGAAAACAATGCATGCTTTTTTTTTTTTTACCATTGAATTGGATTCCATAGCATGGAAGTATATTTTATGCCTTTTAGTCTACATTTCTAAGATTTAGCACAATTCTTGACACCCAATAAATGACTAGGTCCTACCTACAAATCAAGATGGTCAAACGTTTTGATGAATTTTTCTCCCCCATTGCTCTAAGCTTTTCCTGAGATAAATTGGGGAGCCATATCTCATCCCAGTTTATCATAAGTAAGTAGGTAAGTGGCATGAGAGCAAGAGGCTGACACCAGGAAGATGCGTTGTTCAGAAGATGAGCATTTCTGTATCCAAGCAGAGTGCAGAAAAGGCAAAGAAGAAAAAGTAAATGAAGGAGAGGAGAAAAAGATGGGATTTTCTGGAATTCCAGAGAGTTGAGGTAGCAGAATAGCAGAAAATGAGTAACTTGGAGGACTTTGTTCTCATGCTGTGTCTCCAGCTCAGAAAATGTCAACACTGGCTAAAGCCACTATGTCTGAGAAATAGGGTTGGAGGTCTCTGCCTGCCTTCTCACCGCCTCTCCAAACTTATCTGCCAGTATTTACCTCCTAACTTTTTAGGTCAGTATTTCATGCCATCCATTCATTCAATCAATGGTTTTTTATTGTTTATTAATTACTATGAATCTGGTATTGTTCAACGTGCTGAGAAATTAGCTGTCACCAAACAAAGCCTCCAAGCCTTAATGGAGCTTATATTCCAGCGGAACAGGCAGACAATGAACACACATAAAAAATAATTCACTGTCAGCCATTGAGAACTGCTGTGAAAAGATAGACATAAAGAAATAGACAAAGATCCGGGAATGATTTAGGTGGAATAATCAAGGAGGGGTCTCTGCCGAGGTAACGTTGCCCAGAGGTCTGCATGCCCAGAGGAGGTCAGCCATTCCACCTCCGGCTGAAGCCATCCTTCCCTCCTGCACTAGGTTGGGTAGATGGGAGATGGCCAGTCCTACCTGTCCGCCGAACCCATCCTCCATCATTTTCCCTCTGCCACCAATTAGCTAGATCAGCTGGGGCGATTATTCCTACAACCTGTGTCTTGCTTTCAACCTTTGTAAAACAAGGAACTGGACTCATGGCTTCTATGGTCCCTCCACAAATAACAATCATTGATGGTGTGCTGTTACTGCTGTCAGGGGGACCTCACTATTCAACCGTCATATATCCCTTCCCAACACAGAAAGACCCCAGTAGACCACTCCACAGCAGACAAAGGCAGAACAGTCTCGCCCTCCCTCATTTTGCCCAAGTACCTGAGATTAGGAGCTGTTGGCCAGCGGCTCTGTCCCTTGTTTTCGATGATTTCAAGGTAATGTTTCTTCCAGGGAAACTTCTTCTAGTAGCAACCCACTCAGTTACCCTGCAAGTTAGGCCCCAATATTCCTTGTGGAAGCTCAGGTGGGAAACAGGCATCACTGACACTGGCTCTGCCACACCAGCCAAGGGATCCTGCCAGGACCCAACATGCTGCTTCATCTCACAGACATCTCTGGGTGTGCTTCTGTAGAAGGCAGCAGGTGGCCATGAGAATACATAGGCTTTGAAGCCTCCCTCCCGGACATGCAGCTCAGCGCTTCTGCTTACCAGCAGTGTGATCCTGACCCATAATTAAAAGTAGCTGCACTTGTTTAGTATCTTCTGTGTGTCAGGGCCGAGCACGTGACCTGAATGAGCTGGCGTTTTACCACAGGAAGACTAGCAGTTTCTGCTGTTACATAGGAGGTGCTGTTATGTCACCATCACACAAACACAGAGACTGAGGTTCAGAGAGATGATAAGTAACTTGCCCGAGATGATAAATAACAAAGCCCGTGGTAACTGGTGGTAGAATTACTACTCAAAACTAGGTTTATCTCCAAATCTCACGCTTTCAGTTATACACCTTCCAAGCAAGTTACTCAATCTCTTTGGGATAGGTTTGCTCATCTGAAACCGGGATAATAACAGCTGCCTGGCAGCCCCTCAAGGGACAAATGCAGAGACCTAGAGTAGATTCTCTACAGATTCTAAACTTATTTTACTAAGAAGGGGGAGTTGAATGTGAGTTCCTTTTGCTGCTGTTTCCTCTCTCAACCTTGCCTCACAGTATGGTATGAGGCCAGGAGTATCTTCGCCTCTCAGGTGAAGCCATGGGAGATCAGGAGGCTAAGTGAGGAGGTGGAAGTCAGTGTTCGCCTCGGAGGCTTTTGACACAGGACTTTTCTATCTCAAATTACCGCCAATAGGGAGTTGTGAGTTATCTGTATAAAGAGGTAGAACTAGAAGATAAATTACTAAGAAGGGTAAGTCATTCGCAATATCTGGTCAATCCTGTCTGTGAATGATTATAAAATTTTGGATTGGTGAAGTCCATGGTAATGAGGTATACCTGTATCTAGCTGTCAGATTATGCTAAGACTTTTAAATTATATAATTTCTATTCATTGCAGAATAATTTAAACAGATGCAAAGGACGGCCGGGTGCCGTGGCTTACTCCTGTAATCCCAGTACTTTGGGAGGCTGAGGCGGGTGGATCACGAGGTCAGGAGATGGAGACCATCCTGGCTAACACGGTGAAACCCCATCTCTACTAAAAATACAGAAAATTAGCCAGGCATGGTGGTGGGCACCTGTGGTCCCAGCTACTCAGGAGGCTGAGGCAGGAGAATGGCATGAACCTGGGAGGCGGAGCTTGCATTGAGCCGAGATCCCGCCACTGCATTCCAGCCTGGGGGGACAGAGCGAGACTCTGTCTCAAAAAAAAAAAAAAAAAAAAAAAAAAAAAATGCAAAGGACAAGGGACCTTTTTTGTCTTAACTGATAATTGACATCTTCAATTAGGAAGTATTTAAGTTATGCAAAATACATATTCTGAAAATAAAAGAACAAGAAATAATTAAGCCAAGTTTATTGTTATCTGAATGTCAAATTAAAAGAAAACCAATAAACTGGTCATTTGAATTACATGTAAATCGTTTGTAAGCCCACATTTGAAATTTCTATTTCGTCATTCACATGAGTGGGTAGTTCCTCCCTGACTCTTAAACCTACCCTTATTCTCCATTCTCTGATAGAGAAGAAGAAGTTAGTGAGGAAGAACTGGATCACGTGGCATCCATCAGGTCTTCATAAAGAAGGATGTTATGATATCTGGGCACCAGTGAGAATATAAGGCTACCAAGGAGTGGACACTTTGTCAGGTCCCTGTGGCCTAACTTCACTAGGCACCTGTGAACACACACAAACCCACAACAGAACTATGCAAACAGTGAGTTTCTTGGGTTTTGTGTGTTTGGGTATTTCGTGTTGATATTCCTAAACTGACAATTAGTTTCATGATCCTTCAGAATTACAAACACCCCCTAAAGAGCAAAAGCAATCTTAGTTTTCTAAAGGGCTGGTGAGTAACAGGCTAGGGACAGGAGAGAACGCTGGCTTTACTGTAGCTGTTATTTCTCAGAAACAAGGAAAATCAGTTTATCAGTTGATACTGACCTTAAATGAGTTCAGGATAAGAAAATATTACTTTTTGTATTATTGTGATCTATTATATATATATATATGTGTATATATATATATATATATATATATATATATATATATATATACATACACATTTAGATATGGTCTTTGTCCTCTTTCTTGGAACACTGCTCTGAAAACCCTTGGAATCTCCAAACTGATAGTGTCTTCTTGCAGGCTAATGAGATGCCTGGCAGCTGGGGCCCAGGATGGCCTCAGGATGGTGGCTGGCTGCCAGGGAAGCCAATTCTGTGATTAAATAATTGGAACTTTCTGTCCCACCCTCTTCTTCCTGGGAGGGGAGATGAGGTGAAGGTTGAGTTGCTCACCAATGGCTAATGATGTAATCAATTATGGCAACCTAATGAAGCTTTGATAAAAAACCCAAAAGGCAGGGTTTGAAGAGCTTCTGGTTGCTGAACACTGGTAGGTTCCTTGAGGGTGGTGCTCTGGAAGAGGGCCTGGAAGCTCTACACCCCTCCCCGCTGCCTTGCCCCACACACCTCTTCCAGCCGGCTGCTCCCCTGTATCCTCTATTGATACACAGGCAAGTGTATGTAAAGTGTTTCCCTGAGTTCTGTGATCCACTCTAGTAAATGAATTAAACCTGAAGAGGTGGGGGCTGGGAACGCTGATCAGCAGCACTGGTCCCAACCCAGGGCTTGCACCTAGCACCTGAAGTGGGAGGCAGTGCTGTGGGCTGAGCCTCACCCTATGGGGACTGACGCCGTCTCCAGGTAGACAGTGTCAGAATTGAATTGAATTGGAGAACGCCCAGTCCTCACGATCATTGCTCAGTTGGTGTGTGGGGAAAAATTTCTCACTCATCTGATGTCAGAAGTGTTGCGTTGCGTGAGACAAGAGAGTAGGAAAAACATTTAGTATTTTTTTTCCTTGTCTTTAAGAATTATCCTGGATGAGTAAGAATCCCAAGAAAATGCCACTTGGTGTAAAGATATTTTGTGCTTATAAAATTAGGAAGAGTAAAGCGCGGTGTGAATGAGCAAGAGTTTTGGATTCCAACAAGCCAGGGTCAGGTCTTCCTAAGATGTCAGAGTGCAATGGCAAAGTGGGGGCCAGGGTTCACAATCTGTCTCCAAATCCCAGACAGCTCTGTAATCTTGCACAAGTTATGTATATCCACTTAGCCCCAGCTCCCTGATGGGTGAGATGGAGATGCTACTACTGCCGTGAGGAATACAAGAGCTAATGTACATACATGATGTAGTACCATGTCTAGTGCCTACAGTTAACATTTAATAATAACTGTATTATTCTGTAAATCAGGGTGATGATATTGGCTATATTTTATAAGGCTGTTTCAAGGTTTCAAAAAGACAATGCACAAAAAACTGCTTCCCATGGTGCCTAAAACGTCATCAATGCTCAATGAATGCGAGCAGTACATTAAAGATCAGCAGTACATTAAGATCAGCGTGATTAAAGACAGTGAGCAGAACTCGCCATACTGAGGTCTGTTCCTGTTTCTCTTTCTTAGAGACATTGATGAGTTCAGTTCTGTATCTACTACCACGTAGCAATGAAACATTTAGGAAACTGCATAACTTCTGGAGTCCTCAGTTTCCTGAGCTATGAAATATAAAAACTATATGATCAAAGGCCCTTTCAGCTCTTGAACTGCTGGATTCTATGATTCTTCCGTTAAAGTTGTGAAAGCGTGTTAAGAGAGGAAGAGAAACACCCTGTACTCTCAGAAACATTTGCATATCTAAGCCACTAATAAATGAAGGGTAGTAGATTTGGAAAGCTGTTTATAGGCTGTTCCAAAAACCAAGCACCCAATGTCACCCTGAGAGATCACTAGGGCCGAGCAAAGGCTGTGCTCTCCTGCTCGATGAAGCTTCTATCTGTGTATCCTGGTGTGCTTGTTTACCAGCTGTGACCCACTGGTCTAAAATGGAAACAAGAAATGCACTGCCTCGGCGGAGTCTTCTGGTCCGCAGGTTTGTGAATGGATGCAGCACCCACGCTTACCCTCCACACTCTCACGATGTCCACACAGCTACGGTGACCTATTCATGTCTTAGGACGGGTAGGTGGAGGGAGCCTGGGATCACCAATGACTGAGAAGCGAGGCCCGGATCACGTAATCCAGATGTTGCTCCTGAAATGCACTCACGTGATCTCTCAGAGGAACGCCATAGAAAATCTCCTTCTAAGAGCCGGGCGCGGTGGCTCACGCCTGTAATCCCAGCACTTTGGGAGGCCGAGGCGGGCGGATCTCGAGGTCAGGAGATCGAGACCATCCTGGCTAACACGGTGAAACCCTCTACTAAAAAAAAAAAAAAAAAAAAAATACAAAAAATTAACCAGGTGTGGTGGCGGGCACCTGTTGTCCCAGCTACTCGGGAGGCTGAGGCAGGAGAATGGCGTGAACCCAGGAGGCGGAGCTTGTAGTGAGCCGAGATCAAGCCACTGCCCTCCAGCCTGGGCGACAGAGTGAGACTCCATCTCAAAAACAAAAAACAAACAAACAAAAAAGAGAACATCTCCGTCTAAATGGTGTCTTTGATACTGAGCAGGTTAACAGGCTTTAAGTCAGGAGGGTAACAATTGAATATCAGAGTTTTCAGATGTTTCTCCAACTAATGAATGGTGATAATGATGATCCAGTTTAAAGGGTTTAAACTGTCATACCGTGATTCTAATTTCAGATCTGCCTGTAGCTCTGCGGAGATCTCTGGACAATTCGCTCTGTCACTAAGCCTCACTTTTTCCATCTGTGAAACGGCGGCGGTTGGGCTAGGGTTAGCAGAACTAGATGACTTCTGAGATTCCTCAAATTCTGATTCTAATCATGTATTCATTTAAAGAAATCGATATCTGAGATTGCCACTGGTGCCATAAGTCTGTCATGTACTATCCAGACTCAGATGGCAATGCCGACTGAGGAAGAAGGCAGATTGTCAAATGCTATTTGGCAGCCCAGGCTTCTAGATACATTGCCGTCACTATGATTATCTTGCAATATGAGAGGACCAGACATCCCTGTGGCATCTTTCCTTCCTGCCGTAGTTCTCCTCACACTCTACTGTGGACTTTTTGGACCCTGTAACACGCTCTGTTTTACTTCGCCGCAGGGTCTTCATTCATGCTGTGTTTTTGCCTGAAAAATATTTTTCCCTCCTTTACCCATCTACTTAGCACCTCTACGCTTTGTAATTAAGAACTCAAACTGCATTTAACCACCCTAGGCAAGGTTAAGAGCTCCTTACTCTGAGCTCCCATAGCATTATTTTTTTCTCTCTTCAGAGCATCTACCATGATTTATTGTAATAGCTTATTTAGCTGTTGGTCTTCCTTACTGTATTATACATTATGCTGGGGAAGGCAGACTGTCTATCTTGCTCACCATTTATCTCAAGCATTTAGCTTATTGCTTAGCACATTGTATTACATTGCATTGCACTGTATTGTTGTATTACCACGTATAAATACCAGTGAGTGAATGAATGCGGGACAGAAGCCTACACTACCGTGTGTTCTACTACATTCAGTATCATTGTCGAGGGGCAGCTGGGGCATGGTAGAAAGGGCCATAGGTTAGGATTTTATAACTCTCTGGAGTTTACTCTGGGCGCAGGATGTGGTGCAGAGTAAATCATTAAATTTCTCTTGATCTCTCAATTTTTGCATGAATAGATTTGGATAATAAAGTGCAATGAAGTATGTCAGTAGGGCATCGTAAATATAATTCCAATGCTGGCTATCCACATATGTGTATTAGTGAAGTTGAAGCAGGAAAAGCTGGATTTTGACACATATTTGACATGCATCTCACCTCGAGTTATCCTTTGTCTGCTGTTAAGCTTCATGCACCTTCTCATGTCCATTTACTGAAGGAATTTCTAAGCACTAGCCATCCAAGTGAATAAAGGCTGCTGTAAGACTGAAGCACACGTTATCTAAAGCAATGGCCCTTCTCTAGGACCAAAGGGATACACCAAGTGCTGGAGTGAAGATATAAGACTTCATTCCCTATAAATCACGCTATTCCATGACTACCTATTCTAACTGCTCCCAAAGCACCCCTACTTTAACAACCTCCTCTGGTGTCTAAGAACCAAACCAACCCACTCTTGGGAGAAGACATACTTACATGGAAACAACAATAATAAAAAAATTACCTGAAATGCTGTCCTACATTCTCTTCACATGACCAATTCCTATTGTAAATTTCACTCATCATGAATGCCTTTCTGGAATCCTCCCTCTTCCCCCAAACTGTCAGGACCTCATTTAACACTCTTAAAGCATTCTGCCATGTGCCATTATATCGCTTAATTACAGCTGTGATTAAATAATTATTGGTGTAATTATTTGTTTGATGTCTATTTCCCTTGACAGATTAAAAACTATATAAGGACAAGGACTGTGTGAGACATGTTTACCCCTAGAATTTCCGCATCTAGTGCAATACCTGGCGTGGAAAAGATGTTCAACAATGATTTGCTGAATGGAAGATTATAGAACCAGACAAGTTTTCAGTATTGAGAGGTTTGAGAACAAGGGTTTCACATCACACATAAGAAAAGGCACACTTCTCAGCTGTCTTAATGCCACAAAATTAAGTTCGAAAATAGAAATGCAAGTGTGTAGATATGGCACACCCATCCAAAGAAACCCATGGGGCAAATACTACCCATTTGAGTTTGCGAGACAACCTATCATTCTTCAGAGGGAAGGTGCTAATAGAATATAAAACACTTGATATTTCAGATATTTGACTTTGGATATGTCTGCTTTCCCAACCAGATCAGAATTCTGATAGAGGAACGTTGCTTACTCAGCTTGGTAACCACCCGGCTCCTAACACAGTGCACAGCTACGAGTAGACTTCTATGAATGGTGTGTTGAACAAATGAATACATGGGTGGATGAATGAATGAATAAACTAGAGATATCTAAAAAGGCAACTAAAGAAATGAGCCCAGACTGTAAGGCAGAACTCATTCATCCATTAATGCCCTTGCATCAGGTATGAGAAAACATAATGTATCTGTTTCTAACTGAGTTTCACCTCTATTTATTATTAATAAATAACTTCCATAATGAACATGACTTTTCTCAGAAACCTGCTAGATATTCAGGAGGAAGCAACTGTTGTGATGAGTTGGGAAGAAAAAAATGGCAGCTCACCCAGGAGCAGGTAGGTGCCTTCCAATTTAATTTAAGTATGCATATTTGCACGCACACACCTCTCCGTACGTGCTACCGCGACAATGCATAAAGTCTCTCTCACGGCATGTGCCTGACAGACGAAGCTGGAACTGGGACGTGCCTCATTTGGCTGGGCTGTCACTCACTATTTTTTCATTACAGAAAAATGAAGTCCATTTCCAAGCGTCTGGGGGATACACAGTAATTGGGCTCTCCAAAGCCTTTTCACTGAATTTGCTCAAGTTGTGTTTATTTTTTTAGAGAATTAGGTGTTAACAGCGGATGGACAGAACATCAGAAAAATGAAGGCAAATGGACATGATAATAAAGAAAATGATGTGGTTTTTGCCTGCTCCCCTGCACTATCCCCTCTTTCTCCCGCCAGCCCCTCCCTTCTCTCTCCCTCTTCCCAGGTTGCCCCACTGCAGAATTCAGATCCCTTTTTCTGGTCTGGGTTCTTTCTCTGATGAAGTTCCCTTCAAGGTTTTTGTTACAAAAACTTATATGTATCATGTATTTCTTTGACTGAACCTCTTTCCTTTTTGAGTGGAAAGCTATGGAAACTGAGCTCAAAGGGACATTTTTTCTTTGTTCCCTTCCTCATCCCCTGTTCCATCAAAGTTGAAATGACCACAAAATGGCTTTAGAGGAGCTAAAGGTTCCAACATACATGGCTATTTTTTTTTCTTTTGGGGTAAATGTGAAGGTGGAATGAAGCTCTTTTCTAGGGGAAATGAACCTGGACCCTAACTCAGAAAGACCAGGTCTCAAATTCCACTTAGGTATGATCTCCGGACATTTTTTTAACTTCTCTGAACTTGCTCCTTTTTTGAGACTACAGAAGATTAAATGTAGTGCCTGGTACAGAGGTGTGTGCGGTTAGAATGTTTTGGGTCTCTTGACACTTATTGGTGCCCTCTAGGAGCATTTATCTGTCTCAGATTTTTGAACATTGCCATAATCCCTTTACTCCCGTAAGAGGAAAGGATTTAGCTGAAAAACAAAAATTAAAAAAATGTGCAGAGAAGTCTCTCTACAAACTATAACCACCTAGTAATAGAAATGAAATGAGGCATCATTCAAAACAGAGGCTTGCCCACTGCAACTCAGCTTTCTAATCATTCGTGATTGATGAGCCTGCCAGAAGGAATCAAATATTTCTGCAAATTCTGATGATTTAATGTACTCATTTCCCTCAGGTTCTGCTTTCTGGTGATGGTTTCCTGGGTCCCAGTGAGTGAGGTGGTGGACATTTGTTATTTTTAGAGCCTCTAATTGAGACCACAGCACCCAGCACCTAAAAATCCACTCTTTAAGCATAATAGTCTATTGATTACCTCAGTTATTGAACCCTGGGAAGTTCTGAATCCTCTCCCTCTCAAACTGGGAACAATAAGGCTTCAGAGCCTTGCACCTGTCAGGGATGGGTTTCCTGCACTACAATAAGACATTGTCAATCAGCAGCCTTGAGTCCTTGGAGATACCCCTCCTCAGACACTGTTGCATATAAGTCAGAGGAGGGGCTTTGAAAACTTGAACACTTCCGAAGGTTCTGTAACTATGCTTTGGCATCAACAGTGGAACATGGTTTCCTAGAAGGGAGCTGAGGTACCCAGAGGCCCTTCCCTAATAGCTGGAATTGTATATCTTGTACCATGAGGCATCTGGGGCCAGGGAGTCATCTGGCTTTGTGGCAACACAGACTGTGTGGACTAAATCATCGTGAGCATCATCATTTATTATACCATCACCATTATCACAACACGCTTTTCACAATTTTTTTAAGTCTTACAACAATCCTAATAAAGTAGACAGTTAAACCTTCAAGAGTATAAGCATTTGACTCAAACTCTTCAAGATAGGGAGTTAAAGAATGCAAAGTTGAAGCCAAGACTGTCTGCTTCTAAGACCTGCAGTACAAATACCATAAGTTAGTGTATATACTCAAACAAAGCCATGAACGCTGGGCTGTCAGATGGCAAGCCTAGTGCATACAGCCTGATAGCAGATTGACCGTGCCAGCTGTCACTTTTACAATCTCCATCACTCTAAGCAGAGCCTTTAAAGGGGTGGGGTTACACCTGCATAGTGAGGTGGGGGGTCAGGATCCTTCACCTGCTGGAACCTGAGCATGAAAGTACCCACACCACCACCAATCACAACATCATAATGACCAATCAATCAACCAAACCAGCAAGGACAACAACAAAAGCAATTTTTCCTGCCCACCACCCCGATAGGTGCACAAAGTCCTCCTAATAGTCCGTGACAGCCTACACAGCTGGGCATCATCTACCGCCCTGCTTCCCATTTCCTCTCAGATCTCATCTCCTGCCACTCTCCCACTGCCCCTGAATCCTAGCCACACTGACTACTCTGCTGTTCATCAAATACATCAAGAATTTCGTATGCCCTGCTTCCACTTCCTGGAAAGCTCTTTCCCCATGCCTGGTCAACCCCTCACCTTCCTCAAGTCTTTGCTCCATTGTCTCATCTTCCAGAACGCCGACCCTCGGCACCCTATTGAAGTTGTAACCTACTCTGCTCACCCCGCTGCACTCTTGATCTCCCTTACTCTCTTTTACTTTCTCACTTGTCCAAAGCCCTTGTCATCTTCTAACAGCCTCTGTGATTTACCTTCTCACTGTGACTGTTGTTATTGTCTGTCCTCTGCTAGAACAGAGGCTCCATGATTATATGGCTCTGTGTCTATTATCCATTCGCTTAGAATAGTGTTTGAATGAATGAAGGGATTTCCCAGCAGCTTTCAGACCCCTTGGGACCCAACCTGGCCCCCTAGCTGTTGAGAGGTAAGAGTGAACTCATGACACTGCACCCTTTGTATGGGTTTCCATACTCTAAAATTCCACGTTTGTATCTGCGTCATGCCGTTAAACCACACATCAAGCTTTTATGTCTGGTGGTACCTCAAAAGCTCCAAACAATTATGTTGATGATACTGGGCTGGACACCTTAAATTCTAGTGCTATATTACAATGAAACATGGGAAATTGAAAGTGTAGAAAGTTGTTCTGCAGCCAGACACCTCCAGTAGCTGCCGCTATGATGTAGAGCAACACCATGGACTTTTCTGTGCCTCAATTTTCTCATCTCTCAAGCTGGGTTCCTTTTATTTTTGAACCCACACACCCTGATGAGTTAAGAAAGAAAATGTTCTAAAACATGGGCAATAGAGAGGACATGATATTCATAATGAGTTTTTTTTTTTTTTTTTTTGCCAAATGTTGCTCATCATGTTTAAATTCTAAAGAAAACGTCCTAGAGTCAAGCAAAAGGATGACCTTAATAGAGCAATAATAATAACAATAATGAATAATTTAAAAGATCCTTTTTCATACATAACCTCATTGCATAATGAACATCTAATGTAGAAAGACATCTCTATAGGTAACAGCTAAAGTTAAAAATTTGGTCTTTTAGAGCAGCATTATTTCAAGTGTGACTGTCCTCAGACAAAAACACTAATGCTCTTTAGAAATTAATGTAGCAAATGGAGGGGCTTTAATAATAACAGTTTTGATTTTAGAGTTTTTAACAGAAGTATAAAATTTGACATTCTCATAGCTCCTGTCCTTGTATTCTCACTCCTACACTTAAAAAACTCCTTACTGACTAGTTACATGAGATGCTAAAAGTTACAACATTGCAGTTGCTGATACAAATGGTGTTAACTGGAAGTACTAAAGCATTCTAAATGTCTTGCTTATTTCTGGTATACTCTTCAGGGGGTTTAGACATGTTTAATGTTTAAATGCCAAGTCTTACTATCATGTTTATTGATCTTATAAAATAAGTAAATAGGATATGATACACTTTTGGTTAAAAATTACTGGGTCTCATTTTTACTTCAGTCTTTAAAACAGTAGCGTGTCACTATAATGTGATAACATCATCTTTAAGAAATAGCAGAATACTTAAGCCTTTCAAAGTGATTTTGATTTTTAGATCATCAGATGTATGATGAAAATGGTTAAATGTTTGTGATGTGAGCTCTGTACTCAATGGCATAACAATATTTGTTTTTATAATATACAATCTTTCCTTGAAATAAAGGATGAAACACTTTTCCCTTAAAATAATAATAATAATTGGTGGGTAAAATATACTATAAAGACATAACATTCCCAATTTTAATAATAAGATTAAAAAAATCCCCCAAAGGATCAAATGAACTGTTATTTCAGATTATGAAGGTTTTTTTAAATTCACATTTTCAGATTTATTGGCTGAATTTTTGTCGATATCTATCTAACGTCATTTATGATAGAAAAAGCTTTGAAAAGCTTAGGCTAAATTTGTACACTTTATGTGGTATGTGTGTATCAACACATGTACTTATTTTAATGTAGGTATAATTATTACTGAATTGTGGCTTTCAATGGGAAGCTCACTAGGGACAGTTAAATCTGCCTGCATTTAGCTTTCACTGAAACTCTAAAATTATTTTTTCGTAATGTTCAGGTTTTGAAAAAAAGGCGAACTGTTGTTTGTCTCAAATAGTCTTTCCATAATTTTTCAGACTGGTATTTTAAGGCAAATTTAATCCATATAGTTCATACTCATTTACACTTAAATTATCCAACTAGAGCTTTTAACAGCTATTTAATGTCCCAGACACCTTTTGAGCTTTTAAAGTGAGCTCCTAAAAGCCTTTTCCATCTCATTCATCCTCCTCTCATCATCAGTTTAAGAGATTGCATTTTGCTCAGAGTAAACAAATTGAATACTGAAACTTTTGGTTATTTTTCCTCTCGGTTTATGACCTCTGAATGTAAAGTGGCTTTCAGATGTGACCTAACTGATTTTCCCATCCCTACGAGCCAATAGAGAGTGTGTGTCACATTACACTTACTTACGAACAGCTATATAGCCAGCAAATGAGGCAATCTCTGACCCCTCGTTGGGCACCCAGAGCATATAAATAGATAATTACAGAAACTCAAACTTCTATGACATTTTTCATCTGAAAATTTCCAGGGCTTCCTTTAGAATGGCATAAGCATGCATCTTAGAACTTGCCATAGTCACAAATATACCTAGTTATATCTCTCAATATCTCCACCTTTTCACAGATGGCAAAGGCTTAAGCAGCTGTAAACCAGGGAACTGGACGTCCTTCCTTCCAGGCTTATGGTTCTTTGAATTGCAGAAAGGTCACATTTTAAGAGAGAGAGAGAGAGTGTGTGTGTGTGAGAGAGAGAGAGAGAGAGGAAGGCCTGATAATTTGAGACTTGCACAAACACCCATCTCTTTAAAATCGCGAGGCCACTAATCACGGGGTTTGAATTTGATGAACTCTAGTCATTCTTTTTAGGAAGAAAAGGCTTTACAGCTGCTGCTTATGTTGTTGCCACCTATTCTTATTCATTCCTTGCCCTCTCGGGCAGCAGATATCATCTTCCTGGATGTTTGAAAGGCACATCAAAAGTCATTTGCCCAATTTCTCTTCACTGATACCAGTTCGAATCCCAGTACTCAGTGTATTCCACGTCCTATTCCCAGGGTCCTCTGCGACATGTTTTTATACCTTTAGATTGGTGAAAAGAAAACTGGAAAGGCCTGGGGAAACAGTGAGGTAAAGCAAAAAATTCCTCTGGAGGGATGCTCAGAGAAAGCAGACCTTGTTGGCAGGGGCAGAATTGCATCAGAACGTCTACTTTGATGCCCCGAGGGAGCAGAACCCAGGTCACACTGACCTGGCAGGAGGCTGTACAAGTGTGGGAAGGGAAGGCCTTCCACCTGCAGTGTGGCCAGCCAGCCCCTCCCACCATGCACGAGCAGACCCGCTGTTCTGGGTGGCTGCATTTTCCTAATAAGACTTTGCACAAGCCGCTAAATGAAGCTGGCTGCCCGCTTGAGTACAATCCCAGCCCCATTTCAGTTTACCCATTTCCTCAGAATGTAATCTCACCTCCTCACTATTGGATTCCTTCAGGGCCTTGTAACTGATGAATAGAGGCCACCAGGAGGGGGTGGGAGGCAGGTGGGCAGGCAGTACAGAAACCACAGCACAGCACACTCAGAGGGCGCCTTCTAAAAAGCCACAGAATGTGTGGGTTTCAAGGTGCAAGGGGACCTCAGAAAACACGCAGTGCAGCCCTCATCTGACTTCGGATTCCCGTATGTGATTGCCCTGCCTCTGCTGAAGCATCCTGTGTAATAGGGAGCTCAATACCTCTGGGGCAACTTTCTTAGGAAGTTCTCCTTTGTTTGGAGTTGACATTTACCTCCCAGAAACTGTGTTTTATAAACCCAAACAGAAAATTCCTCCTCTGAATCACCCAGTTATGAAAGAGAAATGAGCCATTCTTGCAATAGAAGCATTTGATTTGAAAAAAGGTACCTCTTATGAGCCCTTTGGATGGTACGTATTAGACGAATTTGTTCAAAACACCTTAAATAAAAGTGCTACCAGCCCCCACCCTGATTTCTACCAACCCAAGAGAATGAGGCACTCATTCTTCAGCTGGTTGTGGTCACAGAGGTGCTAGTTACATAAATAGCTGTATCTGCCATTGATCACCTATTTTGTATATTTTATATTCATTATCTTATTCCTTACATTTGTATGGTAATTTATATGTGTCACTATTTCTACCTTACAGAAGAGGAAATTAAGGCTCAATTAAATAATCTACACAAGGAAACACCTTCCCTAAGTGACAGAACTGGGATTCAAACTTGGAACTATCTAAATGCAAAGACTATGGCTTATTAACTATCATGTAATAATGTGTACGTACATTCATGCATATGAACAAATATATACTCAAATATATACTTAAGCCTTTTTATTGGGGCATATGTATTTATATGTAAATATATGTGCTCATATGTATATTTGTATGGGTATAAAGGAAACTATATATACAAATATATGTAATGTATTTATAGATATATATTTTACACATAAATAATTATGTAAATATGAAGATTGCCATAAATACTGGGTGTGGCCTCACTACAGAGCTAAGCAGGACATGTGGCTTGGCTTGGTTTAACTTGCAGATTGTTGCTAAAGACTAAGTTTTCCACCCAAGTCAACTGGCTACACACATCTGCCCTCTTGGGAAGAACTCAGCCCTTTTCCTTCAGAGAGCAGGTACAGCCTCTCACCTCCAGGTGAGCAGCCCACTCACACTAGACCCCCCATCTCTCTTTTTTCTGGTCAACCTTCAGAAGCCTCTCTTGGTCAGACGTTTCTAGCTCCCTGGTCTGATGCTCCAGTGCCCCCCAAAACAAAGCACCCACTGGCACACCCTTGTTTTTGTAAATTACTCATCATTCTCACCCGTTCCCATGGGCAGAATTGGGGTCCCAGTGTTTTGTTCCCAGCCCTGGACTCTCAAGGCCTGAAGGTTTGCATTCCTGAAGCTCACCTTCTGGTCTTAGGTTTTCACACACTTCTCTAATGAAAGCACAGTGGGGCACCCACGGTGTGCTCAGGAGGACATTTCCCATAGGATTGCAGCACCCATGAAGGTGACCAGAGGAATGAATCTCCTTTGGGTCACTTCCCTCTGCCCCACACGAGAGCCCATGGAGGTGGGTACTCGGCTGCCTGGGCCACTGCCTGTGCATTTCCTTGCTTGGTGAAGCCCTCTTCAGCCCAATTCAGGGGAGATGAGCAAGATGGGGGACAAACTGCACCGATCTGCTGGGATTTCTGGCAGAGGTTTAAGAGTTTTTCATTGCTGGGCAGATTTCATTCAATACCAGGTTCCTGCCAAAGAAGTTTTGCTGAGGCCAGGTGCAGTGGCTAGCACCTGTAATCCCAGCACTATGGGATGCCAAGTCTGGAGGATTACTTGAGCCCAGGGCAGCCTGGGCAGCATAGGGAGAATTCATCTTTACAGAAAATTTTGAAAGGTTAGCTTGGTGTGGTGGTGCATGCCTGTGGTCCCAGCTACCTGGGAGGCTGAGCGGGGAGGATGGTTTTAGCCCAGGAAGTGGAGGCTGCAATGAGCTATGATCCTGCCACTGCACTCCAGCCTGAACAACAGAGACATACCCTGTCTCAAAAAAAAAAACCCAAGCAAACAAAAAAAGAAGTCTTGCTGAACCTGCTTCACGCCGGGGTTTTGTGTAACTAGGGTGGGAATGCCATGTGTATTTTTTTTTATGTTTTATTTGATTGCTGGTTGAGAATAAATCATGGAGAGTTCCAGGCTTGGTGTAATCCAAATTGGAATCAAGTTAAGAAGCAGAGCTAAAAACCAATCTAGGAGCACTTTTAATGTTGACTGGGTCTGTCAAGTTCCCGAGACACCAATAACTTACTGTGGAGAGGAGAATTACAGTTTGTGCTGAAATACAAGGTTTGTCGATAGAAAAGGAATGAGGGCAGTAAACGTTAAGTGATCGCCTTTAGAAAGCCAGGGAAGACTTCTTTGGTTCGCTAAAGGAGAAATGCCCTATAGCATCTTGTCATACAGGAAAGTCATATTTGGATTTTCCAAAAAGAAGCTGAGGTATGTACAAGAATTTGAGTTACTCAAAAACAAAGACGGTGAACTAGTGTCCTCCTGTGCATGTAAGCTTGGACTGGTTGGTACTGGCTGCATCCAGGGTCCACGGCGAAGAGTAGCCCAATTCATTGGTGATGTCTGCAGCTGGCATAGAGGGGAGACACAGAGACACACATGCAACTGCCTACCCTACTCCAGGGATTGCCTGGACACACGGTGTGATTAGGATTATCCCATTTTACTCTGGAGCTGCTAAGCTCTCTGGATGGATTTGATAGAGTGAGAACCCTGCAAAGAGGTCTCAGAGGTCTTTGGAATTGGCACTCATCTGACTTCAGAAATTATACATGGACCCTTACTAGAGGCAGGAGAATGGGCTAGTCTCTGTCATACCACCGTAAAACCTGGTATCCCTGCAAAGCACTTGAGCCCATAAGCCTATAATCCTTTGTTCTCCCTGGTGTGTTTGCTGAATTTGTGCTTGCTTTTATTTTGATACCTTAGCATATTGCCTTAAAGTAAGATTAAGGTGTGCTCTATATTATGCGTTTTACTCCAGACTTCCTGTGTCTCTGACCAGCTGCCTTGACCATTATCATGGATGGGCTC
This sequence comes from Homo sapiens, assembly GCF_000001405.40. Classification (NCBI taxonomy): domain Eukaryota; kingdom Metazoa; phylum Chordata; class Mammalia; order Primates; family Hominidae; genus Homo; species Homo sapiens. The sequence continues at coordinate 133,219,104 of NC_000011.10, forward strand.
TGGGCAGGTTAGTGGCATGATACCTATCTTATATGCAAGCATGACTGGGGAAGAAACACGGCTTCTCTCAGTTCACTTCTATATCTAGTTTTGCAGTGCCATAAGTTAGCCAGTGAGTATTCTGTAGGACTTGGCTGATAGCCAGAAATAGTCTTAGGGTTCTTGAAGTCGTCCACATTTTGGTAGCAACTTCATTACAATGTAGTCCAACAGAACGTTCTGCAATGGTGGAATGTTCTGTAACTGTCCTTTCCAGGACACTAGCCACCACTTACATGTAGCTATTGATCACTTGGAATGTGGCTACAGAAACTGAGAAACTAAAATTTTTAGTTTTGCCTAATCTAGTTAATAAAATAAAATTAAATAACCACCTGTGGCAAGTGGCTACCATTTAGCAATGCTTCTCGAATTTTAGCATGGATAAGAATCATCCGGAGGGCTTGTTGAAACATAATCCATCCCCTGGGTCCCACTGTCAGGAATTCTGAATCAGGTCTGCAGTGTGATGAGAAGACTTGTATTTCTAACAAGCCTCCAGGCGCTGCTGCTGCTGCCTGCCCAAGGACTTCACTTTGGGGACCCTTGACAGAGGAGCCCAGAATCATTTAACTCAGGGGTTCTCAAGCGGGGACAACTGTGCCCCCTGGAGGACATTTGGCAATGCTTGGAGACCTTTTTTATGATCACAGTTTGGGGAGGGGGGTGCTACAGACATCTATTTGGTAGGTCAGCGATGCTGCTAATATCCTATAATGCACAGAACCCCCTTCCCAAACTGTGATTGTAAAGTATAAAACTTAAAATGCCAGTGGCGCTAAGATTGAGAAACTGCTCACTGCTCATGCCAACCAGATCCTGGCTGCAGAGATAGTTGCAGTAACATCTTTTCTATTTAATGTTAACCTGTGTCCTTGACAGGCTGTGACCTTATTCCCTCACCAAATATTATAATATCATTCATTCCTTCAACCCTAAGACTGTTGAGGAAGCTTCAACACCCTTCCCATTCAGCTGGGAAGTTGGACACTGGCAGTGGAGGTTGGTACTTGAGTGTCTTCCCCTGGATTCTACATTGGGAGCCCAGGCAGGTGTGCACCAGACACCAGGTCCTAGTAGAGTGCTGCCAGACAGGAGAGGGAGTGGCTTCCTTATCTGGTCTCTGAGAGGAAGAGCACAAAGAATGTCTGATTTTTGCAGAAACATTAGTCAGCAGGAGCTGTGCTGCAGGCATTAACCCAAGAAGTCCATTAGGACAAAAAATAAGGAGATGAGGGCACAGGTTCTCATGCCAAGGTTCTGCTATTCCACATGAAGGCCACCCTTGCTTTCCCAGGGCTCTACTGCTGCCAGACAGCAGCCTCTGGGAGAGGCAGTGAACAGGCTCTGGAGTCCTGGGGAGTCAGAGGTCAGAGGAGGAGAGGTCTCCCTTGAATGTCCCTTTGCCTTGCAGACCTGAAGCCAGCACATGCTTCCTCAAGGAACGCAGGCACTTTCAGCCTGCTTGTGGTAGCAAATGCTCCGTGTTTCTGGAGGATGTTCTTACTTCAGGTCTTAAAATCACAGGTATGTATACTGCCTCTACCACCACTAAATGCTCCCCCAAAAGTCTCAGAGAGCAAAGTCTCCCTCACTTCCTCCATTTTTCTGCCCCCTCTTCCATTTTCAAGCTCTGGACTCCAAAGGAGCTTCGGGAGCCTCTAAATGCTTAACAGCCCCCCGATCTATAGCCCCCGGCTTCGTTCGAGTCCGTTTGGAGAACTGTTTCCTTCAGGTTTCTCTGCTTAGCCATGGAAGATCCCCAGGCCTCAGTGGTGCGTCACTGACTCGAAATTGGACGGAACTAATCTCACGGCTGTATGGCCCTTCCATTTTTTGTCGGAAATGAAAATCTAAAATAATTCTGCAACCATCTTCATGGCCTGAACCCGCTTTCCGTTTTTAGATCCCCAAACTATTTTGTAATGCTCAGAGGCCTTCTTGAGTGCAGCTGCTCTCTCTTTATATGACACAGCTAAAGTCTATTAGCACTTTTGAGTCTTTGGCTGGCCATACCCCGTCAACCACCCCCTTAGCAGCTTGGGACAGAGCCGGCCACCGTGTGTGATGGCACAGTGACAAGGTGATTGCTCACTTGAGGATAGCACATTCTGTCTGCAGAGTGACTTGGTCGAAGCAGGTTGGTTCGTAGGGAAAGCTGGGTCCCCTCAGTCTCATGCTCCCTGATCATTTCTGCAACATCCTAGGCCCCTTTCTCACCTTCACATAACAACTGCATGACCTGAGCAAAGTCGCTTGGTCTGAGACTCAGTTTCCTCTTTCGTAACGTGGAGCTAACACTAGCTCCCTGAGTTGTTTAAGGTGTCAATTTGATAGCACTTATTCATGTG